>NC_000024.10:11674123-12283670 GCF_000001405.40 Homo sapiens
AGGAATGAAGCGAAATGAAATGGAATGGAATTGAAAGGAAAGAATGCATTGGAATGGTGTGAAATGGATTCGAATTGAATGGAATTGAATGGAATGAAATAGAATGCAATCGACTGGAATGGAATTGACACTAATGGAATGGGCTGGAAAAATTTGAATCGAACGGTTTGGAATAGAACAAAAAGGAATGGAATGGAATGGAACAGTATGGAGTAGAATGGAATGGAGTCGAATGGAATGGAACCAAAAACCATGGAATTGAATGCAATCAAAAGGATTAGAAAAATATGGATGTTAATGGAAAGATATCGAATGGAAAGGAATGGAATAGAATAGACCCAGATGCAATGGACTGGAATGGAAAGGTATCAAATGGAGTGGACTGGAGTGGAATGGACACGAATGAAATGGAAATGAAAGGAATTGAATGGAATGGAAAGCAATGGAATGGAATGGAATGGAATAAAATAGAAAGGAATAGAATGGAATAGAATCAGATGGAACGGAATGGAATTCAATAGAGTCGAATGGAATAGAATCGAATGCAATGGCATCAAATGAAATGGAATCGAATGGAATGGACACTAATGGAATAGCAACGAATGGAATGGTATCGAATGGAATGGAATGGACGCAAATTAATGGACTCGAATAGAATGGACTCAAACAGAATTGACTCAAAAGGAATGGTTTCGAATGGAATTTATTCGAATAGAATGGAATGGAATGGAATTCAATAGTATGGAATGGATTCGAATGGAATGGAATCGAATGGAATGGGCAGGATTTGAATGGACTGGAAAAGAGCGGACACGAATGTAATGGATTGCAATGTAATTGATTCAAATGGATGCAATCGAATGGCATGTAATCAAATGGAATAGAATGGAATGGAACGGAATGGAATGGAATGGAATTGAAAGGACTCAAATATAATGGACCTCAATGGAATGGACTCAAATAGAATGGACTCTGAACGAATGGTCTCAAATGGAATTCATTCAAATAGATTCGAATTGAATTGAATGAAAGAGTTTGTAATGGAATCGAATGGAATGGAATCTACTGGAGCAGAAAGGAATGGACTGGAATAGAATGGACTCGAATGTAATTGATTGTAATGTAATAGATTCAAATGGAATGGAAACTAATGAAACATAATCAAATGGAAAGGAATGGAAAGCAATGGAATGGAATAGAATGGAATGCAATAGACTGGAAAAGAGTGGAATCTAGAGGAATGGAATCGAATGGAATGGAATTGACTGGAACTAAATGGAAATGAATGGATTGGAATGGAATGGAATGGAATGGAGTGGAATGAAACATACTCGAATAGAATGGAACATACCCGAATGGAATGGAGTCAAATGAAGTGGAATCGAATGGAATGGAATTGAATAGAATGGAAATGAATGAAATAGAAAGGAAAAGAATGGAATGGAAGGTAAGGGAAAGATATCGAATGCAATGCAATGGCACATAATGGACTCAAACGGAATGGACTGGAATGGGGCAGACTCGAATGGAATCCACTGGAGTGGAATGGACTCGAATGGAATGGAAACGAATTTAATGGAATGGAATGGAAGGGAAAGGAATAGAATGGAGTGGATTCAGAGAGAAAGGAATGGAATGGAATGCATGTAAATGGAACAGAATCGAATGGAATGGAAAGTAATGGAATGGAATGGACTCGAATGGAATGGACTCGAAAGGAATAAAATCAAATGAAATGGCATCGAATGGAATAGAATTTAATGGAATGGACACAAATGACATGGAATCAAATGGAAAGGACTCTAATAGAATGGAATTGAAAGAAATGGTCTCAAATGAAATTTATGTGATTAGAATGGAATCGAATGAAATTAAATAGTATGGAAGGGAATCGAATGGAAAGGAATTGACTAAAATGGACTGGAATAAAACAGAGTCGAATTCAATGAATTGAAACGTCATTGACTCGAATAGAAAGGAATCGAATGGAATGGAAATGAACAGAATGGACTGGAATGGAATGGACAGGAATGGAACGGACTCTAATGGAATGGATTGCAATGTAATTGATTCGAATGGAATGGAAATGATTGGAATGTAATCCAACTGATAGGAATGGAAATCAATGGAATGGAAGAGAAGGCAATGCAATGGAATGGAATGGAGTCGAATCAACTGGAATGGAATTGAATGGAATGGAATTGAATGGAATGGAATCGAATGGAATGGACTGGAATGGAATGGAATTCAACGGAATGGACTGGAACAAAATGGAATGGAACAGATTGGAATCAAAAGGAACGGAATAGAATGGAATAGAATGGACTCGAATGGAATGCAGTCAAATGGAATGGAATCGAATGGAATGGAACTGAATGGAATTGAAAGGAATGGAATGGAATAGAGTACAATGTAAAGATATCGAATGGAAGGGAATGGAATGGAATGGACTCGAATGCAATGGACTGGAATGGACAGGAAAGGAATGGACTGGATTGGAAAGGATTTGAAGGGAATGTGCTAGAGTGGAACGGACTCGAATGGAATGGAAACGAATGGAATGGAATGAAATGGAATGGAATGGAATGGAAAGGAATAGCCTGGAATGAAATGGGATGGAAAGCAATTGAATGGAATGGAATGGAGTCGAATGGAATAAAATCGAATGGAATGGCATCGAATGGAATGGAGTGGAATGGAATGGACTCGAATGGAATGGACCCGAATGGAATAGAATAGAATGGAATGCAATCGAATTGAATGGAATGGAATGGATTGGAATGGACCCAAAGATTATGGGCTTGAAAGGAATGGACTCAAATAGAATGGACTCAAAAAGAATGGTCTGGAATCGAATTTATTCGAATAGAACTCAATCGAATGGAATGAAATAGTATGGAATGTGATCGAATGGAATGGAATCGAAATGTATGGACCAGAATAGAATGGAATGGAATAGATTGGACTCGAAATTAATGGATTGCAATGTGATTGATTCGAATGGAATGGAATCGAATGGAAAGTAAACAAATGAAAAGGAATGCAATTCAAAGGAATGGAATAGAATGGAATGCAATGGAATGGAATGGAATGGACTGGAATCGATGGGAATGGAGTCAAATGGAAAGGTATCAAATGGAATGGAATCGAATGGAATTGACTCGAATGGAATGGACTTGGAAAAAAAGGAATCAAATGGATTGGAATCGAATTGGAAGGAAGGAAATGGAATGGAATGGAATGGAACTGAATGGAATGGAGTCGAATGGAGTGGGTTCGAATGGAATGGAATCAAATGGAATGCAGTTGAATGGAATGGAATGGAGTATAATGGGAAAGATATCGAATGGAATGGAATGGAATGGACTCGAATGGAATGCACTGGAATGGAATGGATTAGAATGGAATGGACTGTATTGGAATTGACTCGAATGTAATGGACTGGAGTGGAATAGACTCGAATGGATTGGAAACCACTGGAATGGAATGCAAGGAAATATAATGGAATGGAATCAGATAGAATGAAATGGAATGTAATGGAGTCGAATTAAATAGAATCTAATGGAATGGCATCAAATGGAATGGAATGAAATGGAATAGAGTGTAATGGACTCGAATGGAATGGATTTGAATGGAATGGAAAAGAATGGAATGCCATCGAATGGATTGGAATGGAATGGACCCAAATGTAATGGACTCAAATGGAATGGACTCAAATTGAATGGACTTGAAAGGAATGGGCTCGAATGGAATTCATTCGAATAGAATTGAATCGAAAGGAATGCAGTAGTATTTAATGGAATTGAATAGAATGGAATCGCATGGAATGGACCACAATGGAATGGACTGGAATAGAGCAGACTCGAATATAATGGATGGAATGTAAAGCAAAGGAATGCAATCAAATGGAATGGAATGGAAACCAATGGAAGGCAGTAGAATGCAATGCAATGGAATGGAGGGGAATCATGTGGAATGGAATCGAAAGGGATGGAATTGAATGGAATGGACTTGAATGGAATGTACTCGAATGGAATGGACTGAAACAAAAAGGTTTTGAACGGATTGGATTCAAACGGAATGGAATGGAGTGGAATGGATTGGAATGGAATAGAGTGGAATGGTGTCAAATGGAATGGAACCGAATGGAATGCAATCGATGGAATGGAATTGATGGAATCGAAAGGAATAGAGTAGAATGGATTGCAAAAGAAAGTTATTGAACAGAATGGAATTGAATGGAATGGACTGGAATGGACTCAAATGGAATGAACGGGAGTGGAATGGACTTGAATGGAATGGGCTGGAGTGGAATGCACTCTAATGAAATTGAAACGAATGGAAAGGAATAGACTGGAATGGAATGGGATGGAAGGGAATTAATGGAATGAAATGGAATGTAATGGAATGGAATGGAATGGAATTTAACGGAATGGAATGGAGTCGAATGGAAGAAAATCAAATGGAATGACATCGAATGGAATGGAATGGAATTGACTCGAATGGAACGGACTTGAAACGAATAGAAATGAAAGGAATGGCTTCGAATGGAATGGAATTGAATTAAATGGAATGGAATGTACCCATATGTAATGGACTCGAATGGAATGGACTCAAATAGAATGGACTCAAAAGGAATGGGCGAGAATGGAATTTATCCGAATAGAATGGAATCGAATAGAATTAAATAATATTGAATGGAATCGAACGGAATGGATTCAAATTGAATGGACCAGAATGGAATGGACCGGAATAGAATGGACTCGCACTTTATGGACTGCAATGTGATACATTCGAATGTAATAGAAACGAATGGAATGTAATGAAATGGAATGGAATGCAATACAAAGGAATGGAAGAGAATGGAATGAAAGGTAATGGAAAAGAACGGAGGGGAATCGAGAGGAATGGAACCTAATGCAATAGAATCGAAAGGAATGGAATCGAACTGAATGGCTTCGAATGGAATGGACTTGAGACAAAGTGGAATCGAACAGATTGAAAACTAACGGAATGCCATGAAATGTTATGGAATGGAATGGACTCGAAAGGAATGGAGTCAAATGGAATGGAATTGAATGGAATGTAGTTGAATGGAGTGGAATTGAATGGAATGGAATTCAATGGATCGGAGTGCAATGGAAAGATACAGAATGCAATGGAATGGAATGCAATAGAATGGACTCGAATGGAATGGACAAGAATGGAATGGACAGTAGTGGAATGGACTCGAATGGAATGTTCTGGAGTGGAATGGACTCAAATAGAAAGGAATCGAATGGAATGCAAAGGAAAGAATTATAATTTAATGGAAACAGATGGAACGGAATGGAATGTAATGGAGTCAAAAGGAATTAAACTAATGTAATGGCATCAAATGGAATGGAATGTAGAGGAGAGGAATGGACTCGAATGGAATGGATTCTAATGAAATAGAATAGAATGCAATGCCATTGAACGGATTGGAAGGGAATGGAATGGAATGGAATCAAATGCAATGGAGTCAAATGGATTGCACTCAAATAGAATGGACTTCAAAGGAATTTGCTCGAAAGGAATTCATCCGAATAGAATCGAATCGAATGAAATGCTGTACTTTTAATAGAATGGAATGGAGTCGAATGGAATGGAACGAAATGGAATGGACTGGAATAGAGCGGACTCGAATGTAATAGATTGCAATGAAATTGATTTGAATGGAATGGAATCGAATGGCATGTTATCCAATGGAAGGGAATGGAAAGCAATGGAACACAATAGAACACAATGCAATGGAATGGAATTGAGTGGAATCGGGTGGAATGGAATAGAATGGAATGGAATTGAATGCTATGGAATCGAATGGAATGGAATAGAATGGAATGGAATAGAAAGGGATGGACTGGAACAAAATGGATTGGAACAGATTGGAATCGAATGGAGTGGAATTGCGTGGAATGCAATGGAATGGACTAGAATGGAATGAAGTCGAATGGAATAGAATTGTATGGAATGCAATCAAATGGGATGGAATTGAATGGAATCGAAAGGAATTGAATGGAATACAGTGAAATGGAAGTTATTGAACAGAATGGAATGGAATGAAATCGCACGGAATGGACTGGAATAAAAAGGACTCGAAAGGAATGGACTGCAGTGGAATGGACTCGAAAGGAATAGAAAAGGAATGGAATGGAATGGAATGCAATGGAATGAAATGGATAGTAATAGAATGGAGTGGAATTGGATAGAACGGAATGGAATTGAATGGAGTCGAATGGAATAGAATCAAATGGAATGGCATCGAATGGAATGGAATGGAATGGAATGGAATGGAATGGAATGGAATGGAATGGAATGGAATGAACTCGAATGGAATGGATTCGAATGGAATAGAATAGAATGGAATGAAATCGAATATAATGAAGTGGAATTGCATGTAACCGAATGGAATGGACCCAAATATAATGGACTCAAATGCAATGGACTCAAATAGAATGGACTCGAAAGGAATGGTATCGAATGGAATTTATTCTAATCGAAAGGAATCAAATGGAATGACATAGTATAGAATGGAATGGAGTGGAATGGAATGGACTGGAATAGAAAGGACTCGAATGTAATGGAATGCAATTTGATTGATTCGAATGGAATGGAAGCGAATGGAATGTAATCAAATGGAATGGAATGGAATACAAAGGAATGGAATAGAATGGAATGCAGTGTAATGGAACGGAATGGAGTGGAATCGAGTGGAATGGAATTGAATGGAAAGGATTTGAATGGAATGGACTTGGGACAAGGTGGATTCAAATGGATTGGAATAGAACGGAACGGAATGAAATGGTTGGGAATGGAATGGACACGAAGGGAATGGAGTCAAATGGAATGGAATCAAATAGAATGAAGTTGAATGGAATGGAATTTAATGGAATGGACCTCAATGGAAGGATATCAAATAGAATGGAATGGAAAGGAATGGATTCGAATATAATGGACTGGAATGGAATGGACTCGAATGGAATGAACAAGGGTGGAATCGACCCAAATGGAATGGAATGGAGTGGAATGGACTCGAATGGAATGGAAACAAATGGAATGGAATGGAAAAGAATATAATTGAATGGAATCAGATGGAACGGAAAGGAATGTAATGGAGCCGAAAGAAGTAGAATCGAAACGAATGGCATCAAATGGAATTGAATGGAATGGAATTTACTCGAATGGAATGGATTCTCATATAATATAGTCGAGTGGAATGGCATTGAATGGAACGGAATGCAATGGAATGGAATGGAATGGACCCACCTGTAATGGACTCCAATGGAATGTAATCCAACAGAATGGACTCGAACGGAATGGGAATGAATGGAATTCTTTTGTGTAGAATCGAATCGAATGGAATGCAATAGTATTGAATGAAATCGAATGGAATGGAATTGAATGGAAAGGAATCGAATGGAATGGACCAGAATGCAATGGACTGGAATAAAGTGGACACAAATGTAATGAAATGCAAAGTAATAGATTCAAAGGAATGGAATTGAATGGAATGGAAATGAATGGAATGGCATCTAATGGAATGGAATCAAATGAAATGGAATGGAATGGAATCGAATGCAACGTAATTGAATGGAATGAAACGGAATGGAATAGACTGGAATGGAGGGGACATGAATGTAATGAATTGCAATGTAATAGATTCAAAGGAAAGGAAACGAATGGAATGGAAATGAAAGCAATAGCATCGAACTGAATATAAAGAAATGGACCCAAATGTAATGGACTCTAAATGAATGGAATCTAATAGAATGGACACGGAAGGAATGGTCTCGAATGGCGTTTATTCAAATAGACTGGAATCGCAGGGAGTGCAATAGTATGGAATGGAATCGAATGGAATGGACTAGAATAGAACGGACTCAAATGTAGTGCATTGCAATGTAATTGATTCGAATAGACTGGAATCGAATGGAATATAATCAAATGGAAAGGAATGGAATGCAATGGAATAGAATACAATGGAATGCAATGGAATGGAAAGGAGTGGAATCGAGTAGAATGGAATGGAATGGAATGGAATGGAATGGAATGGAATAGAATGGAATGGAAATGGAAGGAATGGAATGGAATGGAATGCAGTCAAATGGAATAGAGTTGAATGGAATGGCTTCGAATGGAATGGAATGGAATGCAATGGAATGGAATGGAATGCAATGGAATGGAATGGACTGCAGTCAAATGGAATGGACTCCAAAGGAATAGAATCGAATGGAATGGTATCGAATGGAATGGAATGGAATGGAATGGAATTGACCCAAATGTAATGGACTCGAAAGGAATGGACTCAAATAGAAAAGACTCGAAAGGGACGGTCTCGAATGGAATTTACTCAAATACAATGGAATCGAATGGAATGCAAAAGTATGGAATGGATTCGAATGGAAAGGAATCGAATGGAATGGACCAGAATGGAATGGACTGGAATAGAAAGGACTCGAATGGAATGGATTGCAAAGTAATTGACTCAACTGTAATAGAATCGAATTGAATGTATTCAAAAGGAGTGGAATGGAATGCAATGGAATGGAATACAATGGAATGCAAACTCATGGAACGGAGTGGAATCTAGTGGAATGGAATCGAATGGATTGGAATCGTATGGAATGGACTGGAATGGAATAGACTCGAATGGACTGGACTGGAATGAAACTGAATCGAACGGATTGCAATCGAATGGAAATGAATAGAATGGAATGGAATCGAATAGAATGGAGTCGAGTGGAATGGAATTGAATTGAATTAGTCGAATAAAATGGAATTGAATTTAATTAGTCGAATAAAATGGAATTGAATGGAATCCAAAAGAATAGCATTGAATGGAGTCTAATGGAAAGATATTAAATTGAATGGAATAGAGTGGACTCGAATGGAATGGACTGCAAAGGAATAGACTCTAATGGAAGGGACTGGAGTGGAATGGACACGAATGTAACAGAAACGCATGGAATGGACTAGAAGGGAATGGATTTGGATAGAAAGGAATGAAATGGAATGGACTCAAATGGAATAGAATGGAATGAAATGACTTCGAATGGAATGGAATGGAATTGAATCGAATGGAATGGACCTGAAAAGAATAGAATACAATGGAATGGTATTGAATTGAATGGAATGGAATGGCATGGAATGGACACAAATGTAATGGACTCGAATGGAATGGACTGAAATAGAATGGACTCGAAAGGAAAGGTGTCGAATGGAATTTATTTGAATAGAATTGAATCGAATGGAATGCAACAGTATGCAATGGGATCGAATTGAATGGAATCGAATGCAATAGAACAGAACGGAATGGACTGGAATAGAACGGACTCCAATGTAATGGATTGCAATGTAATTGATTCGAATTGAATGGAATCTAATGGACTGTAATCAATTAGAATGCAATGGAATGAAATGGAAAGGAATAAAGTGGAATGCAATGTTATGGAACGGAGTGGAATCGAGTGCAATGGAATCGAATGGAATGGAATCAAATGGAATGTACTGGAATGGAATGGACTGCAATGTAATGGAAGGAAAAAATGGAATCGAACAGATTGGAACCGAACGGAACGGAATGGAATGGAAGGGACAAAAATGGAATGGAGTCGAATGGAATGGAATCAAATGGAATGGATTGGAATTGAGTGGAAACGAAAGGAATAGAATGGAATGGAGTGTAACGGAAATATATCGAATGGAATGGAATGGAGTGGAATCGAATGTAATGGAATTGAATGGATTGGAGGAATCAGATGGAACGGAATGGAATGGGGTGGATTCTGATGGAATAGAATCGAACGGAATGGCATCAAATGGAATGGAATGGACTCGAATGAAATGGACTCGAATTGAATAAAATCAATTGGAATAGCATCAAATTGAATGGAATGGAATTTAGTGGAATGGAATGGAATTGAATGGACTCAAATGTAATGGACTCGTATGGAATGGAATCAAATAGAATAGACTCAAAAGGAATGGTCTCGAATGGAATTTATTCGAATAGAATGTAATCGAATGGATTGCAATAGTATGGAATGGAATCCAATGGAAAGTTATTGAAGGGAATGGAACGGAATGGAATGGACTGGAATAGAATTTAATGAATTGCAATGTAATTAATTCTAATGGAATGAAATCGAATGGAATGTAATCAACTAGAATGGAATGGAATGCAACGGAATGGAACAGAGTTGAGTGGAATGGAGTTGAATGGAATGGAATCGAATGGAATGGACTCCAATGGAATGGACTGGAACAAAATGGAATAATACGGATTGCAATAGAACAGAACGGAATTTAATGGAATGGAATGTATTGGAATAGACCTGAATGGATTGTTGTCGACTGTAATGGAACCAAATGGAATGGAATCAAATGGAATGGAAGTGAATGGAATCGAAAGGAATAGAATGGAATGGAATGTAACGGAAATATATCTAAAGGAATAGAATGGAATAGTCTCAAATGGAATGAACTGGAATGGAATGGACTCAAATGGCATGGACAGGAGTGGTATGGACTCGAATGGAATGGAAATGAATGGAATGGAATGGAATGGAATGGAATGGAATGGAATGGAATGGAATGGAATGCAATGGAATGGAAAGGATTACCATGGAATGGAATCGGATGAAAAGAAACTGAACGGAATGGAGTTGAATGGAATGGCATCAAATGGAATGGAATGGAATGACTCGAATGGAATGGACTCGAATGGAGTAGAATTCTGTGGAATACAATCGCGTGGAATGGAAGGGAATGGAATGGTATGGACCCAAATGGAATGGAATCGAATAGAATGGACTCAAATACAATGCACTCGAAAGGAAAGGTCTCAAATGGAATTTATTCGAAACGAATGGAATCAAATGGAATGCAATAGTATGGAATGGAATCGAAAGGAATTGACAAGGATGGAATGGACTAGAACAGAACGTACACGAATGTAATGGATTGCAATATAATAGAAATAGAAAGGAACCGTATGGAAGGTAATCAAATGAAATGGAATGGAATGCAATGGAATGGAATACAATGGAATGCAATGGAATGGAACAAAGTGGAATTGAGTGGAAGGAAATCGAATGGAATGGAATGGAGTGAACTCGAAATAAATGCACCAATGGAATGGAAGGGAATGGAATGGAATTGAATGGAATTGAAAAGAATAGAATGGAATGGACAGTAATGAAAGATACCGAATGGAATGGAATATAATCAAATGGAATGGACTGTAATATAATTGACTCGAATGGAATGGGCTTTAGGGAATTGACTCAAATGGAATGGAAACGAATGGAATGGAATGGAAATGAAAGGAAAAGAATGTAATGAAATCGGATGGAATGGAATGGAATGGAATGTAGTCGAATGGAATAGAATCCAATGGAATGCAATAGTATGGATTGGAATCGAATGGAATGGAATTGAATGGAATGGAGCAGAATTGAATGGACTGGAATAGAAAGGACTCATATGTAATGGATTGCAATGTAATCGATTTGAAAGAATGGAATCCAACTTAATTAAATCAAATGGAATGGAATGGAATGCAGTGCAGTGGAATAGAATAGAATGCAATGGAATAGAATGGAGTGGAATCGAAGGGAATGGAATCGAATGCAGTGGAATTGAATGGAATGGAGTCGAATGGAATGGACTGGAACAAAACGGAAATTAACGGATTGGAATTGAACGGAAAAGAATGGAATGGAATGGAATGGAATGGAATGGAATGGAATAGAATGGAGTCTAATGCAATAGAATCGAATGCAATGGCATCGAATTTTATGGAATGGAATGGACTCGAATGGAATGGACTCAAATAGAATGGCATTGAATGGAATGGGATGGAATGGAATGGAAAGGAATGGTAGCGAATGGACACAAATGAAATCGACTCAAATGGAATGGACTCAAATAGAATGAAATCGAAAGCAAAGGTCTCGAAAGGAAATTATTCTAATAGAATGGAATCGAATGGAGTGCAAAAGTATGGAAAGGATTCGAAGGGAATGGAATCGAATGGAATTGACCAGAATGGAATGGACTGGAATAGTACGGAGTCGAATATAATGGATTGTAACGTGATTGACATGAATGGAATGGAATCAAATGGAATGTAATCAAATGCAACATAATGGAATGCAACGGAATGATGTCGAATGGAATGGACAAAAAAGAAATGTACTACTGAAAAAACGGAATTGAACGGATTGGAATTGAATATAATCGAATGGAATTGAATGGAATCGAATCGAATGGAATAGAGTGTCATGGATAGATATCGAATGGATTAGAATGGAATGGAATGGACTCAAATGGAATGGACTGGAATTGAATAGACAGGAATGGAATGCACTGGAATGAAATGGAGTCGAATGTAATGGAATGGAGTGGAATGGACTCGAATGGAAGGGAAACAAATGGAGTGGAATGGAATGCAATGCAATGGAATGGAAAGAATTGAATAGAATGGAAACGGATGGAATGGAATGGACAGGAATGGAGTCAAATGGAATAGAATAGAATGGAATGGCATGAAATGGAATGGAAGGGAATGGAAAGGAATGGACTCAAATGGAATAAATATGAATGGAATATAATCGAATGTAAAGGCATCAAACGGAATTGAATAGAATAGCATGGAATGGAATGGACGCGAATGTAATGGACTCAAATGGATTGGATTCAAATACGACGGATTTGAAAGGAATGGTCTTGAAGGGAATTCATTCGAATAGTATCGAATCGAATGGAATGCAATACTAAGGAATGGAATATAATGGAATGGAATCCAATGGAATGGAGTGAAAAGGAATGGACTGGAATAGAATGGACTCGAATGTAATGGATTACAAGCAATTGATTTCAATGGAATGGAGTCACATGGAATGGAATCAAATGGAATGGAATGGAATGCAAAGTAATGGAATAGGATGGAAAGCAATTTAATGGAACGGAGTGGAATCGAGTGGAACGGAATCTAAAGGAATGGAATCGAAAGAAAAGGAATCGAATGGAATGTACTGGAATGGAATGAACAGGAAAACCATGGAATCGAAAGGATTGGAATCAAACGGAACAGAATGTAATTGATTGGAATGAACTCGCATGGAATGGAGTCGAATTGAATGGAATAGAATGGAATGGAATCAAATGGATTGGAATTGAATGCAATCAAAGGGAATAGAATGGAATGGAGTGGAATGGAAAGATAATGAAAGGAGTGGAATTCAATGGAATGGACTCAAATGGAATGGACTCGAATAGAAAGGACTGGAATGGAATGGAATCGAATGTAATAGAAACTAATGGTTTGGAATTGAATGAAATGGAATGGAATGGAATGGAATCAAATGAAATGGAATGGAATGGAATGGAAAGAAATACAATGGAATGGAATCTGATGGAATGGAATGGAATGAAATGGAGACGAATGGGATAGCATCGAATGCAATGGAATGGAATGGAGTGGAATGGAATAGAATTGAATGGACTCTAATGGAATAGAATCAAATGGAATGGCACCGAATGGAATGGAATGGGAAGGAATGGAATTGACCCAAATGTAATAGACTCGAAATGAATGGATTCAAGTGGAATGGACTCAAAAGGAATGGTCTCGTAAGGAATATATTCCAATAGATTGGAATAGAATGGAATGCAATAGAATGGAATGGAATCAAACGGAATGGAATCGAATGGAATGGAATGGAATGGAATTGACTGGAATAGAATGAATTCAAATGTAATGGATTGCAAAGTAATTGATTCGAATGCCATGGAATCAAATGGAATTATTCAAAAGGAATGGAATGGAATACAATGGAATGGAATGGAATGGAATGGAATGGAATGGAATGGAATGGAATGGAATGCAATGGAATGGAATGGAATGGAATGGAATGGAATGGAATGCAATGGAATGGAACATAGAGGACTCATGTGGAATAGAACAGAATGGAATGGAATCGAATAGAATGGACTGGTAAGGAATGTATTAAAATGGAATTCACTAGAACAAAATCGAATCAATCGGATTGGAATTGAATAGAACAGAATGGAATGGAATGGAATTGAATGGAATGGAATGGAATGGAATGGATTCGATTGGAATGGAATATAATGGAATGGAACCGAATGGAATTGAACCAAAACAAACGAAGTGAATGGAATCGAAAGGGATAGAATGGAATGGAGTGTAATGAAAAGATATCGAATGGAAACGAATGGAATTGAATGGACTCGAAGGGAATGGATTGGAATGGAATGGACTGGAGTTGAATGGACTCGAATGGAATGGAAAGGAGTGCCATGGAATGCAATGAAATGCAATGGAAAGGAATAGAATGGAATGGAATGGAATGAAACTGAATGGAATGGAATGTAGTCGAATATAATAGAATCAAATGGAATGGCCTTGAATATAATGAAATGCAATGGAATGGAATCGAAAGGAATGGACTCAAATGGAGTAGAATTGAATGGAATGGCTTCGAATGGAATGGCATGTAATGGAACGGACCCAAATGTAATGGAATCGAACAGAACAGACACAAATAGAATGGACTGAAAAGGAATGGTCTCGAATGGAATTTTTTCGATTAGAATGGAATTGAATGCAATGCAATAGTGTGGAATGGAATCGAATGGAATCGACAGGAATGGAATGGAATGGAATGGAATGGAATGGAATGGAATGGAATGGAATGGACGAGAATGTAATGGATTGCAATGCAATTGGTTTGAATGGAATGAAATCCAATGGAATGTAATCAAATGGAATGAAAAGGTGTACAATGGAATGGAATAGAATGGAATGCAATGGAATGGAATGGAGTGGAATCGAGTGGAATGGAATCGAATATAAAGGAATTGAATGTAATGGAATCGAATGGAATGGACTGGAGTGGAATGGACTCGAAAGGAATGAAGTGGAACAAAATGGAATCGAACAGATTGGACTTGAATGGAATGGAATGGAATGGACTCGAATGGAATGGAGTCGAATGGAAAGGAATCGAAAGGAATGGAATGAAGTTGAAAGGGATAGAATGGAATCAAAATGAATAGAATGGAATGGAGAGTAATGGAAAGATATCAAATGGAATGGACTGGAATGGAATGGAATCGAACGGAATGCACTGGAATGGAATGGACTCGAATGGAATCGGTTGGAGTGGAATGGACTCAAATGGAATGGAAACGTTTGTAATGGAATGGAAAGGAATAGAATGGAATGTAATCGGATGGAATGGAATGGAATGGAATGGAGTCAAATGGAATAGAATCGAATGGAATGGCCTCGAAAAGAATGGATAGGAATGGAATGGACTCGAATGGATTGGACTCGAATGGAATAGATTAGAATTGAATGACATCAAATGGAATGGAATGGAACCAAATGTAATGGACTCGAATGGAATGGATTCAAATTGAAAGGACTCAAAAGGAATGGTCCCGAAAGGAATTTATTCGAATAGAATGGAATCAAACAGAATGCAGTAGTAGGGAATGGAATTGAATTCAAAGGTATCGAAAAGAATGGACCGGAATGGAACAGTCAAGTATAGAACAGAATCGAATGTAATGGATTGCAATGCAATTGGTTCAAATGGAACGGTATCGAATGGAATGTAATCAAATGGAATGGAAAGGAATTGAATGGATTACAATGGAACGGAACGGAGTGGAATCGAGGGTAATGGAATCTAATTTAATGGAATCGAATAGAATGGACTGGAATGGAATGGACACGAAAGGAATGGACTGGAAGAAAATGGAATTGAACGGATTGGAATCGAGCGGAATGGAAAGTAATGGAATGGATTAGAATGGAGTCGAATGGAATGGAGTTGAATGGAATGGACCCGAATGGAATGGAATCAAAGGAAATGGACTGGAGTGGAATAGACACGAAAGGAATGGAAACGAATGCAATGGAATGGAATGGAAGGGAATGCAATGGAAAGGAATGGAATGGAATGGAATGGAATGGAATGGAATGGAATAGATTGGAAAGGAATGCAATGGAATGGAATGGAATGGAATGGAATGGAATGGAATGGAATGGAATTGAATTGGATGGAACAAAATGGAATTGAATGGAGTCGAATAGAATATAATCCAAAGGAATGGCATCGAAAGGAATGGAATGGAAAGGAATGGATTCGAATGGAATACAATGGAATGGAATGGTATTGAAAGGAATGGAATGGAATGGAATGGAATGGAATGGAATGGAATGGAATGGAATGGAATGCAATGGAATGGAATGGAATGAAATGGAATGCAATGGAATGGAATGGAATGCAATGGAATGGAATGGAATGGAATGGAATGCAATGGAATGGAATGGAATGGAATGGAATGCAATGGAATGGAATGGAATGGAATGAAATAGAATGTACTCGAATGAAATGGACTCAAAAGGAATAGAATCGTATGGAATGGCATCGAATGGAATGGAATGGAATGGACCCACATATAATTGACTCGAAAAGAATAGACACAAATAGAATGGACTTGAAAGAATGGTTTC
The DNA here is from genome assembly GCF_000001405.40 of Homo sapiens. NCBI lineage: Eukaryota > Metazoa > Chordata > Mammalia > Primates > Hominidae > Homo > Homo sapiens. Next base: position 11,690,697 of record NC_000024.10, read on the forward strand.
GAATGGAATTTATTCAAATAGAATTGAATCAAATGGAATGTAATAGTATGGAATGAAATCAAATGGAATGGAATCGAAATGAATGGACCGGAATGCATTGGACTGGAATAGAAAGGACTCGAATGAAATGGGTTACAATGTAATTGATTCAAATGGAATGGAATCGAATAGAATGGAATCAAATGGGATGGAATGGAATGCAATGTAATGGAAGGTAATGCAATGTAATGGAACAGAATGGCATACAATGGAATGGAATGGAATGGAGTGGAATCGAGTGGAATGGAGTCGAATGGAATGGTATTGTGTGGAATGGATTGGAATTGAATGGACTCGAATGGAATGGAATGGAAAAAAATGGAATCAAATGGATAGGAATCGAACGGAACGGAATAGAATGGAATGGAATCGAATGGAATGGAGTCAAAAGGAATGGAATCGAATGGAATGGAATCGAATGTAATGGAATATAATGGAATGAAATTGAAAGGAATCGAAAGGAATAGAAGTGAATGGAGTGTAATGGAATGACATTGAATGGAATGGATTGGAATGGACTCGAATGGAACGGACTGGAGTGGAGTCGACTTGAATGGAATGGACTGGAGTGGAATGGATTCGAGTGGAATGGAAACAAATGGAATGGAATGCAATGGAAAGGAATGGAATGGAATAGAATTAAATGGATTTGGATGGAACGGAATGCAATGGAATGGAGTCGAATGGAATAGAATCGAAAGGAATGGCATCAAATGCATTTTACTGGAATGGAATGGGTTGGAATGGAATCGAAGGGAAAGGATTCAATTGGATTATAATTGAATGTAATGGAAGAGAATGGCATGGAATGTAATGGAATGGACCCAAATGTAATGGACTCGAATGGACTGGTCTCAAACAGAATGGAATAGAAAGAAACGGTCTCGAATGGAATCTATTTGAAGAGAATGGAATCGAATGGAATCCAATAGTGTGGAATTTAATCGAAGGGAATTGAATCGAACAGAATGGACAGAATGGAATGGAATGGAATACGACGGACTTGAATGTAAAGAATTGCAATGTAATTGATACAAATGGAACAGAATCAAATGGAATGTAATCAAATGGAATGGAATGGAATGCAATGGAGTGGAGCGGAATGGAATCGAGAGTAATGGAATCAAAAGGAATGGTATTCAACGGAAAGGACTGGAATGGCGTCGACTCAAATGGAATGGACTGAAACAAAATGGAATTGTACGGATTGCAATAGAATGGAACGGAATGGAATGGAATGGAATGGAATGGAATAGACTCGAATGTAATGGATTCGAATAGAATGGAATCAAATGGAATGCAATTGAACAGAAACGAAACGAAAATAATGGAATGGAGTGTAATGGAAAGATATCAAAAGTAATGGAATGGACTCGAATGGTTTGGACTGGAATGGAATGCAACGGAATGGAATGGAAAGGAATAGAATGGAATGGAATCAGATGGAATGGAATGGAAGGGAATGGAGTCAAATGGAAGACAATAGAATGGAATGGCATCGATTGGAGTGTAAAGGATTGTACTCGAATAGAATGGACAGAGGTGGCATGAAATCTAATAGAAAGGACTGGAGTGAAGTGGACTCGTATGGAATGGAAACAAATGGATTGGAATGGAACGGAATGGAATAGAACGGAATGGAAAGAAATTGAATGGAATGGAATTGGATGGAATGGAATGGAATGGACCCAAATATAATGGACTCGAATGCAATGGACTCAAATAGAATGGACTCGAAAGGAATGGTCTCGAATGGAATTTGCTCATATACAATGGAATCGAATGTATTGAAATAGTATCGAACGGAATTGAATGGAATGGAATTGAAAGGAATGTACCATAATGGAATGGACTGGAATAGAACGGACGTGAATGTAATGGATTGCAGTGTAAATGATTCGAATGGAATTGAATAGAGTGGAATGTAATCAAATGGAATGGAATACAAAGCAAGGGAATAGAATGAAATGCAATGGAATGGAACGAAGTGGAATCCAGTAGAATGGAATCGAATGGAATGGAATCGAATGGAATGGATTCGAATGGAATGGAATGGAACAAAATGGAATCATACGGATTGGAATAGAACAGAACAGAATGTAATGGAAATGAATGGAATGGACTCGAATGGAATGTATTCGAATGGAATGGAATGGAATGGAATGGAATGGAATGGAATGGAATGGAATCGAGTGGAATGGAATTCAGCAAAATAGAAGGGAATAGAATGGAATGGAGTGTTATGGAAAGATATCGAATGGAATGGAATGGAACAGAATGGAAAGGAATGGATTCGAAGGGAATGGAATCGAATGGAATGTAGTGGAATGAAATTGACTCTATTGCAATGGACTGGAGTGGAATGGACTCGAATGGAATGGAAACGAATGGAATGGAATTGAATAGAATAGAAGGAAAAGGAAAAGAATGGAATGGAATCGGATGGAATTGAATGGAATGGAATGGAGTTGAATGGAAGAGAATCGAATGGAATGTCATCGAATGGAAAGGAATGGAATTGAATGGACTCGAATGGAGTGGACTCGAATGGAACAGAATCGAATGATGTGTCATGGAATGGAATGGAATGGAATGGACCCAAATGTAATGGACTGGAATGGAATGCACTCAAATAGAATGGATTCAAAAGGAATGGTCTCGAATAGAATTTATTCAAATACAATGGAATCAAATGGAATGCAATGGCATGGAATGGAATCTAATGAAATGGAATCGAATGGAATGTAGCGGGATGGAGAGGACTGGAACATAATGGAATCGAACGGACTGGAATCCAATTTAAAGGAATGCAATGGAATTGAGTGGAAAGGAATGGAATGGAATGGACTCGAAAGTAATGTAGTTGAATGGAATGGAATCGAAAGGAATGGACTGAACTGGAATGAATTCGGGTGGAATGGACAACAGTGGAATGTACTCGAATTGAAAGGAAATAAAGGGAATGGAATGGAATGGAATGGAATGGAATGGAATGGAATGGAATGGAATATACTGAAACGGAATAAGATGGAACGGAATGGAATGTAATGGAGTTGAATGGAATAGAATCCAATGCAATGGCATCGAATGGAATGGAATGGAATGGACTCGAATAGAATGGATTTGAAAGGAATAGAATTGAATAAAATGGCAAGGAATGGAATGGAATGGAATGGAATGGAATGGAATGGAATGGAATGGAATGGACCGGAAAGCAATGGACTGAAATAGAAACGGACTCGAATGTATTGGATTGCAATGTAATTGATTCGAAGAAATTGGAATCAAATGGAATATAATCGTACGTAATGGAATGAAATGCAATGGAAATGAATAGAGTGGAATGCAATGGAAAGGAACGGAGTGGAATCGAATGGAATGGAATCGAATTGAATGGAATAGAATTGAATGGAATAGAATGGAATGAACTCGAATTGAATGGGGTCCAATGGAATTGAATCGAATGGATTGGAATCTAATGGAATGGAATTGAATGGTATGGATAGGAATAGAATGGAATGGAGTGTAATGGAAAGATATAGAATGGAATGGAATGGAGTCGAATGGAATGGAGAGGAATGGAATGGACTCGAACGGAATGGACTGGAGTGGAATGGAATATATTGGAATGGAAATAAAAGGAATGGAAGGGAATGGAAAGGTATAGAATGGAATGGAATAGGATGGAACAGAATGGAATTGAATGGAGTCGAATTGAATGGAATCAAACTGTATGGTAATGAACGGAATGGAATGGAATGGAATGGAATGGAATTGAAAGGAATGGACTCAAATGGAATAGAATCGAACTGAATGGCATCGAATGGAATTGAATGGAATGGAATGGCATGGAATGGAATCAAATGCAATGGACTCGAATAGAGTGGACTCAAATTTAATAGACTAGAAAGGAAGGGTCTCAAATGTATTTTATTCGAATAGAATGGAAAGGAATGGAATGCAATAGTATTAAATGGAATCGAATGGAATGGAATGGAGTGGAATAGAACAGACTAGAATATAATGGACTGCAATGTAATTGATTCAAATGGAATGGAATCGAATGGAATGTAATCAAATGGAATGGAATGGAATGCAATGAAATGAAATGGAATGGAATGGAATACAATGGAATGGAACGGAGTGGAATCGAGTGGAATGGAATAGAATGGAATGGAATCGAATTGAATGGAATCAAATGGAATGGACAGGAATGGAATGGACACGAATGGAGTGGACGGGAACAAAATCGAATTTAACGGATTGGAATGGAATGGAACGCAAAGGAATGGAATGGAATGGAATGGAAAAAGGAATGGACTCGAATGGAAATTAGTCAAATTGAATGGAACAACATGGAATGGAATTGAATGGAATCGAAATTAAAGGAATGGAATGGAGTGAAATGGAAAGATATCGTAAGCAATGGAATGGAATGGAATGGAATGGAATTGAATGGACTGAAATGGAATTGACTCGAATGGAATGGACTTGAGTGGAATGTACATGAGTGAAATAGAATAGAATGGCTTGGCTTTGAATGGAATGGAATGTAATGGAATGGAGGGTAAAGAAAAGATATCAAACAGAATGGATTGGAATGGAATAGACTAGAATGGAATGGACTGGAATGGGATGGAATTGAATGGAATGGACTCCAATGGAATAGAATAGAAAGGAATGGCAATGAATGGACTGGAATGGAAGGGAATGGAATGGAATTGAATGCAAAGGAATGGACCTAATGCAACGGAATCGAATGGAATGGACTCAAATAGCATGGACGTGAAAGGAATGGTGTCGAATGGAATTTAGTCGAATAGAATGGAATCCCATGGAATGTCATAGTATGGAATGGAAACGAATGGAATGGCATCGAATGGAATGGACTGAAATAGAATGGACTCTCAGGTAATGGATTGAAATGTAATAGATTTGAATGGAATGGAATTGTTTAGAATGTAATCAAATGGAATGGAATGGAATGCAATTTAAAGCAATATAATGGAAGGCTACGGAATGGAACATAGTGGAATCGATTGGATTGGAATTGAATGGAGTGGAATAGTTTGGAATGAAACTGAATGGAATGGAATGGAAAGGAATGGACTCGAATGAAGTGGACAGAAATGCAATGGACTTGAATTTATAGGGCTGGGATACAATGGATTGGAATGCAATGGAGGGGAATGGAATGGAATGGAATGGAATGGAATGGAATGGAATGGACTCGAATAAAACGGAGTCAAATGGAATGGAATCGAATGGAATGGACTGCAACGGAATGGATTAGAATAGAATGAACTGGAGAGGAATGGACTAGAAAGGAAAGGAAACCGATGGAATGGAATGGAATGGAATAGAATGGAATGGAATGGAATGGAAACGAATATAATGGAATGGAATCAGATGCAACGGAATGGAATGGAACGGAGTTGAATGGTTTAGTATCCAATGGAATGGCATGGCATGGAATGGAATGGAATGCAATGGAATGGAATGAAATATAATGGACTCTAATTGAATGGACTCGAATGAATAGAATCGAATGTAATGGCATCGAATTGAATGGAATGGAATAGAATGGAAAGGAATTGACCCAAATATAATGGACGCAAATAGAATTGACTCAAATAGAATGGATATGAAAGGAATGGTCTCGAATGTAATTTATTTGAATAGAATGGAATCGAAAAGAATGCAATAGTATGGAATGGAATCCAACGGAATGGAATAGAATGTAATGGAATGGAATAGAATGGACTGGAATAGAACAGACTCGAATGTAATGGATGGCAATGTAACTGATTTGAATGGAATGGAATCGAATGGAATATAATCTAATGGAATTGAATAGAATGCAATGGAATGGAATATAATGGAATGCAATGGAATGGAACGTAGTGTAATCGAGTGAAATGGAATAGAACAGAACGGAATCAGATGGAATCCCATCTAATCGAATGGACTGGAAAGGAGTGGACTAGAATGGAATGGACTGGAACAAAATGGAATCAAATGGATTGGAATGAAATGCAACAGAATGGAGTGGAATTGAATAGAACAGAATGGACTCGAATGGAATGGAGTCGAATGGAGTTGAATGGAACGGAATTGAATGGAATGGAATTGAATGGAACTGAAAGGAATAGAATCGAATGGAGTGTAATGGAAAGATATTGAATGGAATGGAATGGAATGAACTCGAATGGAATGGATTCGAAAGGGATGGAACTCAATGGAATGGATTCGAATTGAATGGAATCAAAAGGAATAGCATGGAATGGAGTGTAATGGAAAGATGTCGAATGGAATAGAACAGACTCGAATGGAATGGATTCGAGTGGAATGGAATCGAATGGAATGGAATCGAATGGAATGGAATCGAATGGATTCGAATTGAACAGAATCAAAAGGAATAGAATGTAATGGAATGGAATGGAAGGATGTCGAATGGAATGGAATGGAAAGGAATGGACTCGAATGGAATGGACTGGAATGGAGTGGACACGAATGGAATGGACTGGAGTGGAACGGACTAGAATGGAATGGCAATGAATAGACTGGAATGGAATGGAATTGAAAGGAAGAGAATGCATTGGAATCGGATGGAATGAAATGGAAAGGAATGTAGTCGAATGGAATAGAAACGAAAGGAATGGCATTGAATGGATTGGAATGGAATGGAATAAAATGGAATGGACTCAAATTGAATGTATTCGAATGGAATAGAATCAAAAGGAATAGCATTGAATGGAATGGAATGGAATGGAATGGAATGGAATGGAATGGAATGGAATGGACTCAAATGAAATGGACTTGAATGGAATGGACTCAACTACAATGGCATCGAAAGGAATGGCCCTGAATGCAATTTATTCTATAAGAATGAAATCAAATGGAATGCAATAGAATTGAATGGAATTGAAAGGAATGGAATCAAATGGAATGTACCAGAATGGAATGGACAGGAATAGAACGGACTCAAATGTAATTTTTTGCAATGTAACTGATTGGAAAGGAGTGGAATCAAATGGCCTGCAATCAAATGGAATGGAATGGAATGCAATTGAATGGAGCGGAGTGGAATCGAATGGAATGGACGCAAATGGAATGGAATCGAACAGAATGGACAGGAATGAAATGGACTCGAATGTAATGGACTGGAACAAAAAGGAATCGAGTGGATTGGAATCGAACGGAATTTAATGTAGTGGACTCCAATGGAATGGAGTCAAATGGAATGTAATCGAATAGAATGGATTCGAATGGAATAGAATGGAGTTGAAAGGAATAGAATGGAATGGAGTGTAATGGAAAGATATCGAATGGAATGGAATGGAACGGAATGGAAACGAATGGAATGGACTGGAATTGAAAGTTCTCGAATGGAATAAACTGAAGTGGTGTGGACTCGAATGGAATGGATATCAATGTAATGGAATGGAATGGATTGGAATGGAATTGAATGGAACAGAAAGGAAGAGAACAGAATGCAATTTGAAGGAACGGAATAGAATGGAATGGAGTCGAATGGAATAAAGTCGAATGGAATGGCATCCGATGGAATGGAATGGAATGGAATGGAATGGAATGGAATGGAATGGAATGGAATGGATTATAATGGAATGGATTCAAACGGAATGTACTCGAATGCAATAGAATCGAATGGAATGGCATTGAATGCAATGGAATGGAATGGAATGGACCCAAATGTTATGGACCCAAATGGAATGGACTCAAATAGAATGGAGTTAAAGGAATGGTTTCGAATGGAATTGATTTGAATGGACTGGAATCGAATGGAATGCAATACTATGGAATGGAATCGAATGGAATTCAATAGAATGGAATCGACCAGAATGGAATGGACTGTAGTAGAAACTGACTAGAATGTAATGGATTGCAATGTAATTGATTCAAATAGACTGGAATTGAATGGAATGAAATTGTATGTAAGGGAATGGAACACAATAGAAATGAAAGCAATGGAATGCAATGGAATGCAATGGAAAGGAAAGGAGTGTAATCAAGTGGAATGGAATCGAATTTAATGGAAATGAATGGAATGTAATCGAATGGAATGGACTGGAATGGAATAGAATCGAATGGAATAGACTGGAAAAAAATGGAATCGAATTGATTGGAATCGAACGGAAAGGAATTGAATGGAATGGAAAGGAATGGAATCGATAGGAATGGAATCAAATGGAAGGGAATCGAATGGAATGGAATCAAATAGAATGGAACTGAATGGTATCTAAAGGAATAGAATGGAATTGAGTGTAATGGAAAGATATCGATTTGAATTGAAAGAAATGGAATGGAGTCAAATGGAATGGATAGTAATGGAATTGACTTGAATGGAATGGACTGGAGTGGAATGGAATATAATGGAATGGAAATGAATGTAATATGGAATAGAAAGTTATAGAATGGAATGGAATTGGATGGAAAGGAATGAAATGGAATGGAGTCAAATTGAATGGAATTGAATGCAATTGCATCTAAAGGAATTGAATGGAATGGAATGGAATGGAATGGAATGGAATGGAATGGAATGGAATGGAATGGAATGGAATGGAATGGACCCAAATGTAATGGACTCCAGTGGAGTGGACTCAAATAGAACAGACTCGAAAGGAGTCGTTTTGAATGGAATTTCTTCGAATTGAATGTAATCGAAAAGACTGCAGTATTATAGAACAGAATCCAATGAAAAGGAATCGAATGGAATGGACCAAAATGGAATGGGCTGGAATAGAAAGGGCTTGAATGTAATGGATTGCAATTTAAATGATGTGAATGGAATGGAATCGAATGGAATGTAACCAAATGGAATGGAATGGAATGCAATTGAATGGAATGGAGTGGAATCGAGTGGAATGGAATCAAGTGGAGTAAACCGGAAGGGAATTGTCAGGAATTAAATGGACTCGAATATAATGGATTGCAATGTATTTGGTTTGAATGGAATGGTTACAAATAAAATGCAATCAAACGGAAAGGAATGGTATGCAATGGAATGGAATAGAATGGAATGCAATAAAATTTAATGGATTGGAATCGAGTGGAATGGAATCAAATGGAATAGAATCGAATCAGGTGGAATCAAATGGAATGGACTGGAATACAATGGACCCGAATGGAATTGACTGCAACCAAATGGAACCGAAAGATTGGAATCGAAAGGAACGGATTGGAATGGAATAAATTGGAATGTACTCAAATGGAAAGGACTTGAATGGAATGGAACCGAATGGAATGGAATCGAATGGAATGGAATTGAATGGAATCGAAAGAAATAGAATGGAATGGATTGTAATGAAAAGATATGGAATGGAATGGAATGGAATGGAATGGAATGGAATGGAATGGAATGGAATGGATTCTAATGGAATGGTGTCGAATGGAATGAAATTGAATGGAATGGAATCGAATGTAATGAAATTGAATAGAATCAAAAGGAATAGAATGGAAAGGAATGGAATGGAAAGATATCGAATGAAAAGGAATGGAATGAAATGGACTCGAATGGAATGGATTGGAATGGAATGCACTTGAATGGAGTGGACTGGAGAAGAATGGACTCAAATGGAAAACAAACGAATGGAATGGCATGGAATGGAATCGAATGGAATGCAATAGAACGGAATGGAATTGGATGGAATGGAAAGGAATGGAATGGAGTCGAATGGAATATAATCGAAAGGAATGGCAAAGAATGGAAAGGAAAGGAATGGAATGGAATGGAATGGAATGGAATGGAATGGAATGGAATGGAATGGACTCGAACGGAATGGACTAGAAAGGAATAGAATCGAATAGAATGGCAGCGAGTGGAATGGAACGGAATTGAACGGAATGGAAAGGAAGCAAACTTAATGGAATCCAAAGGAATGGACTCAAATAGAATGGACAAGAAGGCAAGGGTCTATACTGGAATTTATTCGAATAGAATGGTATCATATGGAATGCAATAGTATGGAATGGAATTGAATCAAATGGAATAGAATCGGATGGACCGGAATAAAATGTATTGGAATAGAATGGACTCGAATGTAATTGATTACAATTAAATTGATTCGAATGGAATGGAATCGAGTTTAATATAATCAAATGGAATGGGGTGGAATGCAATGGAATAGAATAGAATGGAATGCAATGAAATGGAATAGAATAGAATGCAACGGAAAGGGACAGAGTGGAATCGAGTGGAAACGAATCGAATGGGAAGGAATTGAATGGAATGGAATCGAATGAAATGGACTGGAATGTAATGGAATCAAGTGGAATGGACTCGAACAAAATGGAATCAAATGGATTTGAATCAAAAGGAACGGAATGGAATGGAATGGAATGCAATGGACTCGAATGGAATTGAGTCCAATGAAACGGAATTGAATAGAATGGAATGAAATGGAATGTATTTGAATGGAATCACGAGGAATAGAATGGAATGGAGTGAAATGGAATGATATCGAATGTAATGTAATGGAATGTAATGGAATGGACTCGAATGGAATTGAATGGAAAGGAATGGACCCGAATGAAACTGATTGGTGTGGAATGGAATCGAATGGAATGGAAAGGAAAGGAATGGAATGGAAAGGAATAGGATGGAATGGAATGGATGGAATGGAATGGAATGGAATGGAATGGAGTCGAATGGAATAGAATCAAAAGGTTTGGCCTTCACTGGAATGGAATGGAATTTAATGGAATGGAATGGACTCGAATGGAATGGACTCTAATGGGTTAGAATCGAATGGAATGGCATGGAATGGAAAGGAAATGAATGGAATGGAATGGAAAGGAATGTAAAGGACCCAAATGTAATGGACTCGAATAGAATGGACTCAAATAGAATGGACAGAAAAGGAAAGGTATCGAATATAATTTATTCAAATAGAAAGGAATAGAAAGTAATTCAATATTATGTAATGGAATCGAATGGAATGGAATCGAATGGAATGTACCAGAATGGAATGGACTGGGATAGAACGGACTCAAATGTGATGGATAGAAATGTATTTGATTCAAATGCCTTGCAATCGAATGAAATGAAATCAAATGGAATGGAAGGGAATTAAATGGAATGGAAGATTATAGAAATCAATAGAATGGAAGGTAGTGGAATTGAGTGGAATGGCATCGAATGGAATGTAATCGAATGGAATGGACTGGAAAGGAATGGATTCGAATGGAATGGAATGGAACAAAATGTAATAGAACGGATTGAAGTCGAACGGAAAGGAATGAAATGGAATGGAAAGGAATGGAATGAAATGCACTATAATGGAATGGAGTCGAATGTAATGGAATCGAATGTAATGGAATCAAATGGAATGGAATCTAGTGGAATGAAATTGAACAGAATCGAAAGGAAAATAATGGAATGGAGTACAATGGAAAGATATCGAATGGAATGGAATAGAATGGAATGGACTTGAAAGGAATGGAGGGCAATGGAGTGGAGTTTAGTGGAATGCACTCGAATGGAATGGAAACAAATGGAATCGAATGGAATGGAATGAAATGGAAAGGAATGGAATGGGATGGACAGGAAGAGAATGGAATGGTATCACATGGAACGGAATTGAATGGACTGGAGATGAAATTAATAGAACACAATGGAATGGCATTGAATGGAATGGAATGCAAAGAAATGGAATAGACTCGAATGGAATGGACTCAAAAGGAATAGAATGGAATGGAATGGCATCCATAGGAATGGAATGCAATGGAATGGAATGGAATGGAATGGAATGGAATGGAATGGGATGGGATGGGATGGGATGGGATGGGATGGGATGGGATGGGATGGAATGGAATGGGATGGGGTGGTTTAAAATGTAATGGACACGAATGGATTGGACTCAAATACAATGGACTCGAAAGGAATGGTTTTTAATGGAATTTATTCGAATGGAATGGAATTGAAAGGAAAGCAATAGTATGGAATGGAATCGAATGGAATGCACCGGAATGGAATGAAAGCTATAGAACGGATTCGAATGTAGTGGATTGCAACATAGTTGATTCTAATAAACAGGAATTGAATGGAATAGAATCAAATGGAATGGAATGGAATGGAATGGAATGGAACAGAGTGCAATTGAGTGGAATGAAATCGAATGGAGTGGAAAAGAATCGAATGAAATAATATGGAAAGGACCTTGATGGAATGGACTCGAATGGAATGGAATGGAAAAAAATAGAATCAAACGGATTGGAATCGAGCAGAAAGGAATGGAATGGAATAGACTGGAATAGAACAGACTCGAATGTAATATACTGCAATTTAATTGATTTGAATGGAAAGGAATTGTATGGAATGTATTCAAATGGATTGGAATCGAAAGCAGTGGAATGGAAGAGAGGGGAGTGCAATGGAATGAAACGGAGTAGAACTCAGTGGAATGGAATTGAATGGAATGCAATCGAATGGAATAGAATCAAATGGAATGGAATCGATTGGAAAGGACTGGTGTGGAATGGACTCGAAAGGAATGGAAACAATTGTAATGGAATGGAATGGAATGAAAAGGAATGAAATGGTGTGGAATCAGATGGAACAGAATGGAATGGAATGGATTCGAATGGAATAATATCCATTGGAATGACGTCGAATGGAATGGAATGGAATGGAGAGGAATGGAATGAAATGGTATATACTCGAATTGAATGAACTCCAATGGAATAGAATCGAATGGAATGGCATCGAATTGAATGGAATGGAATGGAATGGACCCAAAAATAGTGGACACAAAAGGAATGGACTCAAATAGAATGTATTCGAATGGAATGGTCTTGAATGGAATTTATTCGAATACAATGGAATCGAAAGGAATTCAGTGGATTGGAATGGAATCGAATGCAATGGAATCGAATGGAATGAATCGGAATGGAATGGAAGGGAATACAATGGAATCGAACATAATGGAGTTCAATGTAATTGATTAGAATGGAATGGTATCGAATGGAATGTAATCAAATGGAATGGAAAGGAATGCAATGGAATGGAAAAGAATGGAATGCAATGGAATAGAATGGAGTCAAATTGAGTGGAATGGAATCATATGGAATTGATTCAAATGGAATGGATTCGTTTGGAATGCACTGGAATGGAATGGATTAGAATGGAATGGACTGGAAAAAATTTGAATCAAAAGGTTTGGAATCGAATGGCACGGAATAAAATGGAATGGAATGGAATGGACACAAACGAAATGGAGTCGAATGGAATGGACTGGATTGGAATTGAATGGAATGGAAACGAGTGGTTTGGAATGGATTGGAATGGAATGGAATGCAGAATGGAATGGAATGGAATGGAATGGAAATTAAAAGAATGGAATGCAATCGGATGGAATGGAAAGGAATGGAATGGAGTCGAATGGAATAGAATAGAATGCAATGTCATCAAATGGAATGGAAAGGAATGGAATGGAATGGAATGGACTCGAATGGAATGGGTTCGAAGGGTATAGAGTCGAATGGAATGGCAATGAATGGAAAGGAGTGGAATGGAATAGAATGGACTCAAATGTAATGGACTCAAATGGAATGGACTCAAGTAGAATGGACTCAAAACAATGGTCTCGAATGGTATTTCTTCGAATGCAATGGAATCGAATGGAATGCAATAGTATGCAATGGAATCTAATGGAATGGAATCGAAGGGAATGGACCGGAATGCAATGAACTGGAATGGAACTGACTCAAATGTAATGGATTGCAAAGTAATTGATTCGAATGGAATGGAATCGAATGACATGGAATGGAAACGAATGGAATGGAAAGGAATGGAATGGAATGGAAAAGAATAGAATGGAATGGAATCAGAAGGAACAAAATGGAATGGAATGAGGTTGAATGGAATAGAAACGAAAGGAATGCCAACAAATGGAATGGACTCAAATGGAATGGACTCGAATGTAATGGAAGAGAATGGAATGTCATTGAATGAAATGGAATAGAACAGAAGGAAATGGACCCAAATGTAATGGACTCGAATGGAATGGACTCAAACAGAATGGACTTGAAAAAAATGGTCTCCAATGAAATTTATTCGTATAGAATGGAACTGAATGGAATGCCATTGTATGGAATGGAATTGAATGGAATGGAACTGAATGGAACGGACCGGAATGGAATGGACTGGAATAGAACGGATTTGAAAGTAATTGTTTGCAATTTAATAGATTCGAATGGAATGAAATCGAAAGGAATGTAATCAAATGGAATGGAATGGAATGCAATGGAAAGGAATAGAATGGAATGCAAGGAAATGGAATAAAATGGAATTCAACGGAAAGAACGCATTGGAATGGGGTGGAATGGAAATGCATTGAATGGAATCGAATGCAATGGAATGGAATGGAATAGAATAGACTGGAATGGAAAGGAAACGAATGGAATGGGCTGGAAGAATATTGAATAGAACTGATTGAAATCGAACCAAAAGGAATGGAATGGAATGGAGTTGAATGGAATGGAGTGGAATGGAATGCAACTGAAAGGAATGGAATTGAATGGAATCAAAAGGATTAGAACAGAATGGAGTGTAATGGAAAAATATCGAATGAAATAGAATGGACTCGATTGGAATGGACTATAATGGAAAGAACTCCAATGGAATGAACTGGAGTGGAATGGACTCGAATGGAATGGAAACGAAAGGAATGGAATGGAATGGAAAGGAATGGAATGGAATGGAATGGAATGGAATGGAATGGAATGGAATGGAATAAAATGGAACGGATTCAGGCGGAACAGAATGGAATGGAATGGAATCGAATGGAATAAAATCGAAGGCAATGGCATCAAATGGATGGAATGGAATAGAATGGAACGGACTTCAATGGAATAGAATCGAATGGAAGGGCATCAAATGGAATGGATTGGAATTGAAAGGAATGTAATGGAATGGACCCAAATGTAATGGACTCGAATAGAATGGATTCAAATAGAATGTACTCGAAAAGAATGATCTCGAATGGAATTTATTCCAAAAGATTGCAATCAAAAGGAATGCAATAGTATGGAATGGAATCGAATGAATTGAATTGAATGGAATGGACAGGAATGGAATGGACTGTAATAGAGTGGACATGAATGTAATGGATTGCAATGTAATTGATTCGAAAGGAATGCAATCAATTGGAATGGAATGGAATGCAATGGAATGGAATAGAATGGAATGGAAGGGAATATAATGAAATGGAATGGAAGGGAATATAATGAAATGCAATGGAATGGAATCGAATGAAATGGAATCCAATGGAATGGAATCGAACGGAATGGACTGAAATGGAAAGGAGTCGAAAATAATGGACTGGAAAAAAATGGAATCAAACGGATTGTAATCGAACGGAGCAGAATGGAATGGCACGGAAGAGAATGGAATCGAACAGAATGGAGTCGAATGGAATGGAATCCAATGGAATGGAATTGAATGGAGTTGAAAGGAATAGAATGGAATGGAGTGTCATGGAAAGGTATCAAATGGAATGGAAGAAATGGAATGGACAGAAATACAATGGACTGGAATGGACTGGACTTAAATGGAATGGGCTGTAGTGGAATGGACTCGAATGAAATGGTAACAAATGGAATGGAATGGAATGGAATGGAAAGTAATAGAATGGAATGGAATCAGATGGAAAGGAATGGAAAGGAATGGACTCGAAGGGAATAGAATAGAATGGAATGGCATCAAATGGAATGGAATGGAATAGAATGGAATGGAATGGACTCGATGGGAATGTAGTCGAATGGAATGGAATCGAATTGATTGGAATTGAATAGAATGGATTTGAATGGAATTGTAAGGAATAAAATGGAATGAAGTGTAATGGAAAGATATCGTATGGGACGGAATAGAATGGATTCCAAAGGAATGGACCGAAATGGAATGGACTCATATGGAATGGACTGCAGTGAAATGGACTCACATGGAATGGAAACAAATGGTATGGAATGGAATGGATTGGAATGGAATGGAATGGAATGGAATGGAATGGAATGGAATGGAATGGAATAGAACAGAATAGAATGGATTGGAATAGAATGGAATGGAGTCAGATGGAATGGAATGGATTGGAATGGAGACGAATTGAAGATAATCCAATGGAATTGCATCAAATGGAATGGAATGGACTCGAATTGAATAATCGAATGGAATAGAATTAACTGCAATGGCATGGCATCAAATGGAAAGGCATGGAATTGATTGGGATGTACCCGAATGAAATGGACTAGAAAGGAATGGACTCAAATAGAATGAAGTCAAAAGGAAGGGTCTCGAATGGAATTTATTCGAATAGACTGGAATTGAATGTAATGCAATAATATGGAATGGAATTGAATGATATGGAATCTAATGGAATGGACCCGAATGGAATGGACTGGAATACAATGGACTCGAATGTAATGGATTGCAATGAAATTGATTCGAATGGAATGGATTCGAAAGGAAAGTAATCAAATGGAATGGAATGGAATGCAATTTAATTGAATAGAATGGAATTCAATGGAATGGAATGGAGTGGAATCGAGTTGAATGGAATTGAATGGAATGGGATTGAATCGTATAGAATCGAATGGAATGGACTGGAATGGAATGGACTCTAATGGAATGGACTGGAACAAAATGGAATTGAACTGAATGGAACAGAATGGAATGAAATGGAATGGAATCGAATGGAATGGAATTGAAAGGAATTGAAAGGAATAGAATAGAAAGGAGTCTAACGAAAAGATATTGAATGGAATGGAAAGGAATGGAATGGTCTGGAATGGAATGGACTGGAGGGGAATGGACGTGAATCGAACGAAAATGAATGGAATGGGAAGAACAGGAAAGGAATGGAATGGAAAGGAATATAATGGAATGCTATTGTACAGAACAGAATGGAATGGAGTCGAATGGAATAGAATCAAAGGGAATGGCAGTGAATGGAATGGAATGAAATGGAATAGAATGTAATTAAATGAAATGGACTAGAATGGAAAGGATTTGAATGGAATCGAATGGAATGGAATCGCTTCAAATGGAACCGAGTGGAATGATATGGAATGGAATGGAAAGGAATAGGATGGAATGCAGTGGAATGGAATAGAGTTGAATGGAATAGAATCCATTGGAATGACATCGAATGGAATGGAATGGACTTGAATGGATGGACTCAAATGGAATAGAAACGAATGTAATGGCATCGAATGGAATGGAATGGAATGGATTGAAATGGAACGGACTTCAATGCAACACAATCGAATGGAATAGATTCGAATGGAATGGCATCGAATGGAATGGATATGAATGTTCTGGAATGGACCCAAAAGTAATTGACTCGAATGGAGTGGATTCAAACAGAATGGATTCGAATGGAATGGCCTCGATTGGAATTTATTCAAATAGAATGGAATCGAATGGAATGCAATACTACGAAATGGAATAGAATGAAATGGAATCGAATGGAATGGACCTGAATAGAATGGAATGGAATAGAACGGGCTCGAATATAATGGATTGCAATGTAACTGATTATAATGGAAAGGAATCGAATGGAAAGTAATCAAAGGGAATGGAAAGGAATGCAATGGAATGGAGTAGAATGGAATGCAATGGAATGGAACGGAATGGAATCGAGTGGAAAGGAATCGAATGGAACGGAATTGAATGGAATGAAATCTGCTGGAAAGAACTGGAATGCAATGGACTCGAATGGAATGAACTGGAACAAATGGAATCGAAGGGATTGGAATCAAACTAAATGGAATGTAATGGAATGGAATGTCCTCGAATGGAATGGAGTCGAATGGAATGCAAATGAGTGGAATCGAAAGCAATAGAATGAAATGGAGTGTAATGGAAAGATATCAAAAGTAATGGAATGAAACGGAATCGAACGGAATGGAGTGGAAAGGAATGGACTCAAATGTAATGAACAGGAGTGCAATGGACTCGAATGGATTGGAAAATAATGGAATGGAATGGAATGGAATGGAATGGAATGGAATGGAATGGAATGAAATGGAAAGGAATAGAATGGAACAGAAATGGATGGAACAGAATGGAAGGGAATGGAGTCGAATGGAATAGAATCGAATGGAATGACATCAAATGGAATGGAATGGGATGGACTAGAAAGGAATGGACTTGTAGGGAATTGAATACAATGGAACGGAATGGAATGGAATGGAAAGGAAGAGAATGGAATGGATTAGAATGGAATGGAATGGACCCAAATGTAATGGACTGGAATGAAATAGATTCAAATAGAATGTCCTCGAAAGTAAAGGTCTCGAATTTTATTCCACTTAAATGGAATCGAATGTAATGCAATAATAGGGTATGGAATTGAATGGAATGGAATTCAATACAATGGACAGAAATGGAATGGACTGCAATACAACAGACTCCAAGGTAATGGAATGATATGTAATTAATTCAAGTGGAATGGATCCAATGGAATGTAATCAAATGGAATTGAATTTCATGCAATGGAAAGGAATAGATTGGAAAGCAATGACATGGAACAGAATGGATTCGAGAGAAATGGAATCGAACGGAATGGAATTGAAAGGAATGGAATCAAATGGAATGGAATGGAATGGAATGGAATGGATTCGAATGAAATGGACTGGAATGAAATAGAATTGAACGGATTGGAATGGAATGGAATGCAATGGAATGGAATCGAATGGAATGGAGTCAAATGGAGTGGAATCGATTGGAATGGAATTGAATGGAATCAAAATGAATAGAATGGAATGGAAGGGAATGGAAAGATATCGAATGAAATGGAATGGAATGGACTCGAAAGGAATGGACTGGAATGGAATGGACTTGAATGGAATTTAATGGAGTGGAATGGCACTCCAATGGATTGGAAACGAATGGAATAGAATGGAAACAATAGAATGAAATGAAATCGGATGTAACGGAATGGAATGGAATAGAGTAGAATGGAATAGATTCAAATAGAATGTCTTTGAATGGAATGGAATGGAATCAAACGGAATGGAATCAAATGGAATGCAAAGGAATGAAATGAGAAGGAATACAATGAAATGGAATGGCATGGAATGGTATGGAATGGAATGGTGTCGAAAGAAATAGAATCGAATGGAATGACATCGTTTCGAAAGGAAAGGAATGGAATGGAATGGAATAGAATGGAATTGACGCAAGTGGAATAGAATAGAATGGAATGGTTTAGAATGGAATGGAATGGAATGGAATGGAAAGGAATGGACCCAAATGTAATGGACCCGAATGGAATGAAATCAAATACAATGCCCTAGAAAGGAATGGTCTCGAATGGAATTTATTTGAATAGAATGGAATCGAATTTAATATAATTTTATGGTATGGAATCGAATGGAATGGAATCGAACGGAATGGATCGGAATGAAATGGAATGAAATAGAACAGACTCGAATGTAATGGTCTGCAATGTAATTTATTCGAATGGAATGGAATCAAATGGAATGTAATCAAATGGAGTTGAACGGAATGCAACAGAATGGAATAGAATGGAATGCAGTATAAAGGAACGGAGTTCAATAGAGTGAAATGGAATCGAATGAAATGGAGTCGAATGGAATGAAATTGAATGGAATGTACAGGAATGGAATGGACTCGAATGGAACGGACTGGAACAAAATGGAATCGAATGGATTGATATAGAACTGTACAGAATGGAATGGAATGGAAGACAATGGATCCGAAAGGAATGGAGTTGAATCGAATGGAACTGAATCTAATGGAATTGAATGCTGTCGAAAGGAATAGAATGGAATGGAGTGTAATGGAAACGTATCGAATGGAATGGAATGGAATGGACTCGAATGGAATGGGCTGGAGTGGATAGGGCTGGAATAGAATGGACCTGAGAGGTATGGACTCGAATAGAATGGAAACAAACGGAATTTAATAGAAAGGAATAGAATGGAATGCAAACGGATGGAACGGAACGGAATGGAATATATCCCAATGGAATAAAATTGAATGGAATTGCATCGAATTTAATGCAATGGAATGGAATGGACTTGAAAGGGATTGACTAGAATGGAATAGATAGACTGGAATGGCACTCAATGGAATGGAATGGAATGGACAAAATGTAATGGACTAGAATGGAATTGACTCAAATAGAATGGACTCGAAAGAATGGTCTGGAATTGAATATATTCAAATGGAATGGAATTGAATATGAAGCAATAGTATGGAATGGAATCGAATGGAATGGAATCAAACGGAATGGACCAGAATGCAATGGATTGCAATAGAATGGACTCGAATGTAATGGATTGCACTGTAATAGATTCAAAGAGAATGGAACCGAATGAAATGCAATCAAAGGTAATAGAATGGAAGGACATGGAATAGAATAGGATGTGACACAATGGAATGGAATAGAATGGAATGCATTGGAATGGAACGGAGAGGAATCGAGCAGAATGGAATCCAACGGAAAGGAATTGAAGGGAATGGAATCGAATGGAATGGACTGGAATGGAATGGACTGAAATGCAAATGACTGGAACAAACTAGAATCGAACGGAATGGAATCAAACGGCATGGAATGGAATGGATTGGAGTGGAATGGAACGGAATGGAAGGAAAGGACTCGACTGAAATGGAACCGAATGGAATGGAATTGAAAAGAATGGAATTGAAGGAATTTAAAAAAAGAGAATAGAATGGAATGGAATGGAAAGAAATCGAATCTAATGGAATGGTCTCGAATGGAATGGACTAGAATGTAATGGACCTGAATGGAAGGGACTGGAGTGGAATGGACACAAATGGAATGGAATGGTATGGAATAGATTGGAATGGAACAGAATGGAATGGAATTGGAAAGAATGAATGGAATGGAATGGAGTCAAATGGAGTAGAATCGAGTGGAATGGCATCGAAAGGAATGGAATAGAAATGATTCAAGTGGAAGGGACTCGAATGCAATGGACTTGAATGGAATAGAATGGAATTGAATGACTTGGAATGGAATGGACTCGAATGGAATGATCATGAATGGAAAAGATTGGAAGGAATGGAATGGAATGGAATGGAATGGAATGGAATGGAATGGAATGGAATGGAATGGAATGGAGTGGAGTGGAGTGGAGTGGAATAGAATGGACCTAAATTTTCTGGAATCGAATGGAATGGACTCAAACAGAATGGACTCGAAAAAATGGTTTCGCTTTGAATTTATTTGTATTGAAGGTAATCGAATGGAAGGTAACAGAATGGAATGGATTTGAATGCAATGAAGTCAAATGGAATGGACTCGAATGGAATTGACAGGAATGGAATGTACTTCAAAGGAATGGACTGGAGTGGATTGGACTCGCATGCAATGGAAACGATTGGAATGGAATGGAATGCAATGGAATGGAATTGAAAGTAATAGAATGTAATGGAATTGGATGAAAAGAAAGGGAAGAGAATGGAATCGAATGCAATATAATCGAATTGAATGGCATCGAATGTTATGAAATCGAAAGGACTCGAATGGCATGGACTCAATTGGAATGGCATCGAATTGAATGGAATGGAATGGAATGGACCCAAATGTAATGGACTTGAAACGAATGGACTGAAATAGAATAGACTCAAAAGCAATGGTCTTGAATGGCATTTATTCGAATAGAACGGATTCGAATGGAATGCAAAAGTATGAAATGGAATCGAGTGGAATCGAAAGGAATTGAATGGAATGGATTAGTATGAACTCGAATGTAATGGATTGCATTGTAATTGATTTGACTGGAATGGAATCACATGGAATGTAATCAAATGGAATGGAATTGAATGCAATAGAATGGAGTAGAATGGAATGCAATGGAATGGAATGGAGTGGAATCGAGTGGAATGGAATCGAATGGAATGAACTGGAATGGAATGGACACTAATGGAATGGACTGGAAGAAAATGGAATCGAATTGATTAGAATCGAACGGAATGGAATGGAATGGATTGGATTGGACTCGAATGCAGTGGAGTCGAATGGAATGGAACTGAAAGGAATGGAATCTAATGGAATGTAATTGAATGGAATGGAAAGGAATAGAATGGAAAAGACTGTAATGGAAAGATATGGAATGGAATGGAATGGAATGGAATGGAATAGAATGGAATGGACTGGAAAGGAATAGACTGGAAAGGAATGGACTGGAGTGGAATGGACTCGAATCAAAAGGAATGGAATGGAAAGGAATAGAACAGAATGGAATTGGATGGAACGGAATGGAATGGAGTGGAGTCGAATGGAATAGAATCCAATGGAATGGCATTGAATGAAATGGAATGCAATTGAATGGAGTTGAATGGACTCGAATGGAATGGACTCAAGTGGAATAGAACAGAAGGGAATGTCATCGAAAGGAATGGAATGGAATGGAATGGAATGCAATGGAATGCAATGGAATGCAATGGAATGGAATGGATTGGAATGGACACAAATGTAATGTACTCGAATGGAATTTACTCAAATAGAAAGGACTTGAAAGGAATGGTGTTGATTGCAGTTTATTCGAATAGAATGTATTTGAATGGAATGCAATAGTATGGAATGGAATGGAATGGAATGGAATGGAATGGAATGAAATGGAAATTACTGGAATGGAATGGAGTGGAATAGAATGGACTCGAATATAATGGTTTACAATGTAACTGTTTTGAACGTATTGGATTCAAAAGTAATGAAATCAAATGGAAAAGAATGGTAGGAAATGTAATGTAATAGAATGGAATGCAATACAATGGAACGGAATGGAATCGAGTGGAATGTAATCAAATGCAATGGAATCGAAAGGAATGTAATCCTATGGAATGGACTGAAATGGAATGGACTCGAATAGACAGGACTGGAAAAAAATATAATCAAACAGATTCGAATCTAACGGAATATAATGGAATGGAATTGAATAGAAGGGACTCAAAAGGAATGGAGTCAAATGGAATGGAACCGAATGTAATGCAATCGAATGAAATTGGATTGAAGGGAATCAAAAGGAATAGAATGCTATGCAGTGTAATGGAAAGATATTGAATAGAATGGAATGGAATGGACTCGAATGTAATGGAGTCGAATGGAATGGAATACAAGTAAATGGAATCGAATGGAATGGAATTGAATAGAATGGAAAGGAATAGAATAGAATAGAGTAGAATGGAAAGATATTGAATGGAAAGGAATGCAATGCAATGGACTCGAATGGAATGGAATGGAGTGGAATGGACCTGAATGGAATGAAACGAATGGAATGGAATGGAATGGAATACAATAGAATAGAGTAGAATGGAATGGAATCAGATGGAATGGAATGGAATGGAATGAACGGGGAGGAATGGCATAGAATCGAATGGAATGGCATTATATGGAAAGGAATAGAATGGAATGGTTTCGAATGGAATGGACTCGAATGGAATAGAATCGAATAGAATGGCATCGAATGGCATGGAATGAAATGGAGCGGAATGGATTATAATGGACCAAAATGTAACGGACTCGAAAGGAATGGACTCCAAAGAAGTGGTCTGAAATGTAATCTATTCGTATGGAATGGAATCGAATGGAATGCAATAGTATGGAATGTAATCGAATGGAATGGAATAGAGTCGAATGGACTGGCATGGAATTTAATGGAATAGAACGGACTCGAATGTTGTGGATTGCAATGTAATTGATTCAAATGGAATGGAATCAAATAGAATGGAATCGAAGGTAATGGACTGGAGTGGGATGGACTCGAAAGGAATGGAATGGAGTGGAATGGAATCGAATGTAATGTATTGGAATGGAATGGAATGGAAAGGAATAGAATGGAATGGAATTGGATGGAATGGAATGGAGTCGAATGGAATAGAATCGAATGGAAAGGAATCAAACGGAAGGGAATGGACTCGAATGGAATAGAATAGAATGGAATCGCATCGAATGGAATGAAATGGAACCCAATGGAATGGAATGGACCCAAATCTGATGGACTGGAATGGAATGGACTCAAATAGAATGGGCTCAAAACCAATGGTCTGAAAGGGTACCTATTCGAATAGAAAGGAGTTGAATGGAATTTAATATTATGCAAAGGAATCGAATTGAATGGAAACGATTGGAATGCACCGGAATGGAATGGAGTGGAATAGAACGGACTCGAATGTAGTGAATTACAAAGTAGTTGACTCCAATGGAATGGAATAGAATAGAATGTAATCGAATGGACTGGAGGGGATGGAATGGACTTAAATAGAACGGAATCAAAGGTAATGTATGGCAGTGTAATTGATTTGAATTGAGTTGATTCAAATGGAACTTAATCAAGTAGAATGGAATGGGATGCAATGGACTGGAATAGAATGGAATGCAAAGGAATTAAACGGAGTGGATTCAAGTGGAATGGAATCGAATGAAATGGAAGCGATTGGAAGGGATTCGAATGGAATGGGCTGGAATGGAATGTACTGGAAAGGAATGGACTAGAACAAAATGGAATCGAATGGATTGGAAACGAACTGAACGAAATGGAATGGAATCGAACGGAATTGAATGGAATGGAGTCTAATGGAATTGAATAGAATGCAATGGAATCAAATGGAATGGAGTTGAATGGAAACCAAAGGAATAGTATGGAATGGAGTGTAATGAAAAGATATCATGAGGAATGGAATGTAATGGACTCGTATGGAATTGGCTGGAATGGAACGGTCTCGAATGGAATGGACAGGAGTAAAATGGACTCCAATGGAATATAAACGAATGAAATGGAATGGAATAGAAAGGAATGGAAAGGAACGGAATGGAAAGGAATAGAATGGAATGGAATCGGACAGAATGTTATGGAATGGAAAGGAGTCAAACGGAATAGAATCGAATGGAATGGCATCAAATGGAATGGAATGGAATGGACTCCAATGGAATGGAAACGAATGGAATACAATCGAATGGAATGGCATTGAAAGGAATAGAATGGAAAGGAATGGCATGGACTAAAATGAAATGGACTCAAATGGAATGGACTCAATAGATAGGACCCGAAAGAAATGGTCTTGAATGGTATTTATTCAAATAGAATTGAATCGAATGTAATGAAATAGTATGGAATGTAATAGAATGTAATGGAATTGAACGGAAAGAACCGGAATGGAATGGAAAGGAATAGAACTGACTCGAATGTAAGGGATTGCAATGTAATTCATTCGAACGGAATGGAATTGAATGGAATGTTAACCAATGGAATGGAATGCAATTGAATGGAATGGAATGGAATGTGATGGAATGGAATGGATTGGAATCGAGTGGAATGGAATCGAATGGAACGGAATCAAATGGAATGGTATCAAACAGAACGGACTGATATTTAATGCACTCGAATGGAATGGACTGGAAAAAAATGGAATCAAACAGTTTGGAATCGAATGGAAAGGAATGGAATGGAAGGACTCAAATGGAAAGGAGTCGAGTGTAATGGAATCAAATGGAATGGAATCAAATGTAATGGAATTGAAGGGAATCGAAAGGTATAGAAAGGAATGGAGTGTAATTGAAAGATAACGAATGGAATGCAGTTAAATGGAATGGAGTGGAATGGAATGGAATGGAATGTACTCAAATCGAATGGACTGGACTGGAAAGGATTCAAATGGAATGGAAACGAATGTAAAGCAATGAATTGGAATGGAATGGAATGGATGAGAAGGGAAAGGAACCGGTAGGAACGGAATGTTATTGAATGGAATCAAAAGGAATAAAATCGAATGGAATGGCATCGAATGCAATGCAATGGAGTGGAATGGACTCTAAAGGAATGGACTCGAACGGAATAGAATAGAATGGAATGGAATTGAATGTAATGTAGTGGAACGGTACGCAATGGAATGGAATGGACCCAAATGTAATGGATTCAAATGAAATGGACCCAAATAGAATGGACTCGAAAGAAATGGCCTTGAATGGAATCTATTCGAATAGAATGTAATCAAATGGAATGCAATAGTATGGAATGGAAACAAATGGAATGGAATCAAATGGAATGGACAAGAATGGAAATAATTGGAATAGAACGGACTCGAATGCAGTGGATTGCAATTTAATTGATTCAAATGGAAAGGAATTGAATGGAATTTAATTAAATGGAATGGAATGGAATGCAATGGAAATGAATAGAATGGAATTCAATGGAATGGAAAGGAGTGGAATGGAATAGAATGGAATGGAATCTAATGGAATGGACTGGAATGGAATGGACTCAAATGGATTGGACTCGAATGAAATAGAATCGAATGAAATGGAGTCAAGTGGAATTTAATAGAATCGAAACGAACTGAATAGATTGGAATGCAGAGAAATGAAAAGATATCAAATTTAATGGAAAGGAAGGAACTCGAATGGAATGGACTGGAATGAAGTGAACTCCAACAGAATGGACTTGAGTGGAATATATTCGAATTGAATGGAAATGAATGGAATGGAATGGAATGCAAAGGAATGGAATGGAAAGGAATAGAAGAGAATGGAATCAGATGGAAGGGAATGGAAGGGAATGGAGTCGAATGGAATAGAACTGAATGGAATGGCATCGAATGGAATGGAATGGAATGGACTCAAATGGAATGGCATCACATGGAATAGACTGGAGTGAAATGGACACGAATGGCATTGACCAGAGTGTAGTGGACTCGAATTGAATGGAAAAGAATGGAATGGAATGGAATGGAATGGAATGGAATGGAATGGAATGGAATGGAATGGAGTGGAATGGAATCAGATGGAATGGAGTGGGATGGAATGGAATCGAATGGCATAGAATCAAATGGAATGGCATCAAATGGAGTGGATTGGAATGGAAAGGACTCGAATGGAATGGAATCAAATGGAATGGCATCAGATGGAATGGACTGGAGTGAAATTGACTCGAAGGGAATGGACTGGAGTGTAGTGGATTCTAATTGAATGGAAAAGAATGGAATGGAATGGAATGGAATGGAATGGAATGGAATGGAATGGATTGGAATGGAATGGAAAGGAATGGAATGGAATGGAATGGAATGGAATGGAATGGAATGGAATAGAATGAAATGGAATCACATGGAACGGAATGGGATGGAATGGAGTTGAGTGGAACAGAAGCGAATGGAATGGCATCAAATGGAATGGATGGGAATGGAATGGATCCGAATGGAGTAGAAAAGAAAGGAATTTCATTGAATGGAATGGACTGGACAGGAATGGAATGGACTCGTATGGAATGTACTGGATTAGAATGGACTCAAATGAGTGGAAAAGAATGGAATGGAATGGAAAGGAATAGAATGGAATGGAATCACATGGAACGGAAATGAATGGAATTGAATGGAGTCAAAAGCAATAGAATCAAATGGAATGGCATCGAATGGAATGGAATGGAATGGAAACTAATGGAATAGAATCGAAAGGAATGGCATCGAATGGAGTGGAATGGAATGGAATGGACTCGAATGGAATGGAATCTAATGGAATAGAATCGAATGGAATGGCAACAAATGGAATGGAATGGAATGGAATGGACTCGAATGGAGTGGAGTCTAATGGAATAGAATCGAATGGAATGGCATCGAATGGAGTGGAATGGAATGGAGTGGAAGGGATCCAAATGTTATGGACACGAATGTAAAGGAGTCAAATATAATGGACTTGAAATGAATGGTCTCGAATGGAATTTATTTGAATAGAATGGAATCAAATGGAATGCAACAGAATGGAATGGAATCAAATGGAATGGACTGGAATGGAATGGACTGGAAAAGAACGGACTCCAATATAATGGATTGCAATGCAATTGATTTCAATCTAATGGAATTGAATGGAATGTAATCAAATGGAATGGAATGGAATGCAATAGAATGTAATAGAATGGGATGCAATGGAATGGAACAGAGTGGAATGGAGTGGAATGGAATCAAGAGGAATGGACTGGGATGGAGTGGAGTCCAATGGAATGGACTGCAACAAAATGGAATTGAAAAGTTTTGAATCGAACGGAATATAATTGAATGGAATATAATTGAATGGAATGGAATGGAATGGACTCGAATGAAATGGAATCAAATGGAATAGAATTGAAAGAAATCGAAACGAATAGAATGGAATGGAGTGTAATGGAAAGATATCGAATGGAAAGGAATGGAATGCATTGGAATGGAATGGATTCGACGGGAATGGACTGGAGTGGAATGGACTCGAATGGAATGTACTGGAGTGGAAAGAAGTCGAATGGAATGCAGTGGAGTGGAATGGTCTCAAATGAAATGGAAACTAATGGAATGGAATGGAATGGAATGGAATGGAATGGAATGGAATGGAATGGAATGGAATGAAATGGAATGGAATGGAATCGGGTGGAACGTAATGGAATAGAATGGAGCCGAATGGAATAGAATCGAATGGAATGGCACCAAACGGAATGGAATAGAATAGAATGCAATGGAATGGACTTGAAAGGAATGGACTCGAATTGAATACAATCAAATGGAATGGCATCGAATGGAATGGAATGGAATGAACCCAAATGTAAGGGATTAGAATTGAATGGACTCAAATAGAATGGACTGGGAAGAAATGGTCTTGAATGGAATCTCTTCGAGTAGAACGGAATCGAATGGAATGCAATAGCATGGAATAGAATCGAATGTGTTGTAATCGATTGGAATGGACCAGATTGGAATGGGCTGGAATAGAACGGACTCGAATGTAATGGATTGAAATGCAATTGATTCGAAAGAAATAGAATCAAATGAAATTCAATCGAATGGAATGGACCGAAATGGAATGGACTTAAACAGAAAGGAGTAGATTGTAATGGATTTCAATATAACTGATTCGAATGGAATGGAAACGAATGGAATGTATTCAAATGGAATGGATTGGAATGCAATGGACTGGAATATCAAGTAATGCAATGGAATGCAACTGAGTGGAATCGAATGGATTAGAATCGAATGGAATGGAAGCGAATTGAATGAAATCGAATGGAATAGACTGGAATGGAAAAGATTCGAATGGAATGGAATAGAACAAAATGGAATCGATCGGATTGGAATCGAACAGAATGGAATGGAATGGACACGAATGGAATGAAGTTGAAAGGAATTGAGAAGAATGTAATAGAATCAAATGGAATGGAAATGAATGGAAACCAAAGGAATAGAATGGACTCGAGTGAAATGGAAATATACCAAATGGAGTGGAATGGAATGCAATGGACTCGAATGGAATAGACTCGAATGTAATGGAGTAGAATGGAACGCAACCGAATGGAAAGGAATGGAATGGAATCAAAAGTAGTAGAATGGAATGAAGGGAAATGGAAACACATCGAATGGAATGGAATGGAATGGAATGGAATGGAATGGAATGGAATGGACTCGAATTTAATGGACACGAATGGAATGGATTTGAAGGGAATGGAACCGAATGTAATGGAATCAAATAGAATGGAATGGAATGGAATCACAAGGATTAGAATGGAATAGAGTGTATTGGAAACATATCGAATAGAATGGAATGGAATGGACTCAAATGGACTGGACCGGAATGGTAAGGACTCGAATAGGATGGAAAGTAGTAGAATGGACTCGAATGTAATGGAAACGAATGGAATGGAATGGAATGGAAAGGAAGAGAATGGAATGGAATCTGATGGAATGGAATGCAAGGGAATGGAGTCGAATGAAATAGAATCGAATGGAATGGCATCAAATGGAATGGAATGCAAGGGAATGGAATGGGATGGACTCGAATGGAATGGACTCGAATGGGATAGAATCGAATGGAATGGCAACGAATGGAATGGAATGGATCAAACGTAATGGAGATGAATGGAATGGACTAAAATAGAATAGACTCGAAAGTAATGATCTCGAATGTAATTAATTCAAATACAATGGAATCAAATGGAATGCAGTAGTATGGAATGGAATCAAACGGAATGGAATTGAATGGAATGGACCGGAATGGAATGGAATGGAATAGAACGGACTCGAATGTAAAGAAATGTAATGTAATTGATTCGAGTGGAATGGAATGGAATGGAATTCAATGGATTGGAATATAACGGAATGCAATGGAATGCAACGCAGTGAAATCGAGTGGAATGGAATCGAATGGATTGGAATCGAATGGAATGCAATCGAATGTAATTAACTGTAATGGAATGGACTCGAATGGAATGGAGTGGAGCAAAATTGAATCGTACGGATTGGAATTCAATACAACAGATTGGAACGGAATGGATTGGACTCTTGGAATGGAGTCGAATGGATTGGAATCCAATGTAATGGAAACCAATGGAATGGAATTGTTTTGAATCAAAATGAATATGATGGAATGGAGGGTAAAGGAATATAGTCGAATGGAATGGAATGGAATGGAATGGAATGGAATAGAATGGAAGGCAATGGAATGGAAAAGAATAGAATGGAATGGAATCAGAACGAACGGAGTGGAATGGAATGGATTTGATTGGAATAGAATCGAATGGAATGGCATCAAATTAAATGGAATGGAATGGAATGGAGTGGAATGGACTCCAATGGAATGGAAACGAAAGGAATGGAATGGAAAGGAATATAATGGAAAGCAATCGGTTGGAACGGAACAGAATGGAATGGAGTCGAGTGGTATAAAATCTAATGGGATCTCATCGAATGCAATGGAATGGAATGGACTCGAATGGAATAGAATCGAATGGAATGGCATCGAATGGAAGGGAATGGAATGGAATAGACGAGAATGGAATAGAAACAAACTTCTTGGACTCGAATGGAAAGGATTCAAATAGAATGGACTCGAAAGGAATGGTCTTGAAAGGCATTTATTTGAATAGAATGGCATCGAATGGAATGCAAGAGTACCGAATGGAATAGAATACAATGGAATCGAATGGAAAGGACCAGAATGGAATGGACTGGAATAGAAAAGACTCGAATGTAAAGTATTGCAATGTAATTGACTCAAAAGGAAGGGAATTGAATAGAATGTAATCAAATGGAATGGAATGGACTGCAGTGGATTGGAATAGAATGGAATTCAATGAAATGGAAGAGAATGGAATGCCATGGAATGCAACAGAGTGGAATTGAGTGGAATGGAATCGAATGGAATGGACTGGAACAAAATGGAAAGGAATGGACCGGAATGGAAAGGAACGGAATGGAATGGAATGGAATGGAATGGAATGGAATGGAATGGAATGGAATGGAATGGAATCAACCCGAGTGGAATGGAATGGAGTGGAATGGAATGGAATGGAATGGAATGGAATGGAATGGAATGGAATGGAATGGAATGGAATCAACCTGAGTGGAATGGAATGGAATGCAATGGAATGGAATGGAATGGAATGGGATAAAATGGAACGGAATGCAGTGGACTTGAATGGAACAGACACGAATGGAATGGACTGGAGAGGATTGGAGACAAATCAAAGGAAAAGAATGCAACGGAATGGTATGTAATAGGAAGGAATGTAATAGGGTGAATCAAAATGGAACGAAATGGAATGGAATGGAGTCAAATGGAATAGAATCAAATGGAATGGCATCGAATGAGTGGAATGGAATGGAATGGATACAAATGTTATGGACTGGAATGGAATGGACTCAAATATAATGGACTCAAAAGGAATGGTCTCGAATGGAATTTATTCGAATTGAATGGAATCGAATGGAATGGAATCCAATGGAATGGACTGTAATGGAGTGGTATCGAATGAATGCACTGCAATAAAATGGAATTGAACAGATAGGAATCGAATTGAACGGAATGGAATGGAATGGACTCGAACAGAATGGAGTCAAATGAAATGTAATCAAGTGGAATGGAATCAAATGGAATGGAAATGAAAGGAATAGACTGGAATGAAGGGTAATGGAAAGATATGGAATAGAATGGAATGGAATGGATTGGACTCGAAAGGAATGGACTGGAAAGTAATGGACTCGAATGGAATGGACTGGAGTGGAATTGAATAGAATGAAATGGTAAAGAACTGAATGGAATGGAATGGAATGGAATGGAATGGAATGGAATGGAATGGAATGGAATGGAATCAGATGTAACGGAATGGAAGGGAATGGAGTTGAATGGAATAGAACCAACAGTAATGGCTTCGAATGGAATTGAATGGAATGGAATCGAATGGAATGAAATCTACTGGAATGGCAACTAATGGAATGAAAAGGAATGGAATAGAAAGGAATGGAATGGAATGGAAAGGAATGGAATGGAATGGAATGGAATGGAATGGAATGGAATGGAATGGAATGGAGTGGAAAGGAATGGAATGGAATGGAATCAGATGTAACGGAATGGAAGGGAATGGAGTTGAATGGAATAGAACCAACAGTAATGACTTCGAATGGAATTGAATGGAATGGAATCGAATGGAATGAAATCTACTGGAATGGCAACTAATGGAATGAAAAGGAATGGAATGGAATGGAATGGAATGGAATGGAATGGAATGGAATGGAATGGAATGGAATGGAATGGAATAGACTGGAATGGAATGGAATGGAAAGGAATGGAATGGAATGGAATGGAATGGAATGGAATGGAATGGAATGGAATGGAATGGAAAGGTATGGAATGGAATAGAAAGGAAAGGAATGGAATGCAATGGAATCAGATGGAACTGAATGGAAGGGAAAGGAGTTGAATGGAATAGAATCAACAGTAATGGCTTCGAATGGAATTGAATGGAATGGAATCGAATGGAATGCAATCTACTGGAATGGCAACGAATGGAATGGAATGGTCCCAAATATAATTGAGTCGAGTGTAATGGACTTTAATGGAATGGACTCTAATGCAATTATATCGAATGAAATTCATTCTAATGGAATGGAATCTAATATAACACAATAGTATTTAATGGAACTGAATGCAACTAAATCGAATGGAATGGACTGGAATGGAATGGACTGGAATGGAAGGGACTCGAATGCAATGGATTTCAATGTAATTGACTCAAACGGAATGGAATCGGATGAGAGGTAATCAAATGGAATGGAAGGCATTTCAATGGAATGGAATAGGTTGGAATGCAATGAAATGGAACAGAGTGGAATCGAGTGGAACGGAATAGAATGGAATGGAATCGAATGGAATGGAATCAAACGGAATGGACAGGAATGGAATGGAATCGAAGGGAATGGATTGGAACAAAATTAAATGCAATAGATTGGAATCCGATGGAACGGAATGTAATGGAAGGGAATTTAATGGACTCGAAAGGAATGTAGGCAAACGGAATGGAATCGAATGGAATGGAATAGAATGGCATGGCATTGAATGGAATCGCAAGGAATAGAATGGAATGGAGTGTAATGGAAAGATACTGAATGGCATGGAATGGTATGGAAAGTAATGGACTAGAATGGAATGGAATGGAAAGGAATGGAATCGAAAGGAATGGACTAAAATTGAGTGGAAAGGAACGAAATTGAATGGAAGGAAATGCAAAGGAATAGAAAGGAATGGAAGGGAATGGAGTTGGATAGAACGGAATGGAATGGAATTGAGTCGAGTGGAATAGAATCAAATGGAATAGATACGAATGGTATGGCATCGAAAGGAATGGAATGGAATGGCCCCAAATGCAATGGACTCGAATGGCTTGGAGTCAAATAGAATGGACTAGAAAGGAATGATCTAGAATGGAATTGACTCGAATAGAATGGAATCGAATGTAATGCAATAGTATGGAATGGAATCAAATGAAATGGAATTGAATGGAATGGACTCGAATGTAATGGATTGTAATGTAATTGAGTTGAATGGAATAGAATCGCATGGATTGTAATAAATTGAATGGAATGGAATGGAATGGAATGCAATGGAATGGAATAGATTGGAATGCAATAGAACGGAATGGAGTGGAATCGAGTTAAATGGAATCGAATGGAATGGAATCGAATGTAATGAACTGGAAGGAAATGGACTCGAATGGAATGGACTGGAAAAAAAAATGGAATTGAACGGGTTGGAATGGAATGGAACGGAATGGAATGGAATGCAATGCTCTCGATTGGAATGGAGTCAAATGGAATGGAATGGAATGGAATGGAATGGAATGGAATGGAATCAAATGGAATAGAATAGAATGGAGTGTAATGGAAAGATATCGAATGGAATGGAATAGACTCGAATGGAATGAACACAAATGGAATGTACTCAAATGGAATGTACTGGAGTGGAATGGACTCGAATGTCATGGAAACAAATGGAGTGCAATGGAAAGAAATGGAATGGAAAGGTATAGAATGGAAGGGAATCAGATGAAATGGAATGGAATGGAATTGATTTTAATGGAATAATGTCGAATGGAATGGCATCAAAAGGAAAGGAAAGGAACAAAACGGAATGGACACAAATGTAATGGACTCGAATGGAATGGACTCAAATATAATGGATTCATTAAATATGGTCTCGAATGGAATTTATTCGAACAGAATGGAATTGAATGATATGGACTGGAATGGAATGTATTGTAATGGAATGGACAGGAGAGGAATGGAATAAAATTGAATGGAAAACAATAGAATGGAATGGAATGGAATGGAAATAAATAAAATGGAATGGAATTGGATGGAACGGAATGGAATGGAATGGAATAGAATCGAATGGAATGGAATCAAAAGGAATGGAATGCAATGGAATTGGATTGAACAGAATGGTGTGGAAAAGAATCGAATGGAATATATTTGAATAAAAGTGAATGGAATGAATGGAATGGAATGGAATGGAATGGAATGGAATGGAATGGAATGGAATGGAATGGACTCGAATGGAATGGATTAAAATGGAATAGAACAGAATGGAATGGCATCGAATGGAATGGAATGAAATGGAATGGAATGGAATGGACCCAAAAGTAATGGAATCGAATATAAATGAATCAAATAGAATGGACTCGAAAGGAATGTTCTCGAATGGAATTTGTTCGAATAGAATGGAATCGAATGGAATGCAATAGTATGGAATGGAATCGAATGGAATGGAATCGAATGGAATGGACCAGAATGGATTCCAATGGAATAGAACGGACTCGAATGTAATGGATTGCAATGCAGTTGATTTGAATGGAATGGAATTGAATGGAATGTAATCAAATGGAATGGAACGATATGCAATTGAATGGAATAGAATGGAAGGCAATGGAATGGAACGGAGTGGAATTGAGTGGAATCAAATCGAATGGAATGGAATGGAAGGGAATGGACCCAAATGTAATAGACTAGAATGGAATGGAGTCAAATGGAATGGAATCGAAAGGAATGTTCTCGAATGGAATTTGTTCGAACAGAATGGAATCGACTGAAATGTAATAGTATGGAATTCAACCGAATGAAATGTAAACGAATGGAATGGACTGGAATAGAACGGACGCCAATGTAATGGATTGCAATGTTATTTATTCGAATGGAATGGATTCGAATGTATTATAGTCTAATGGAATGGAATGGAATGCAATGGAATGGAATAGAATGGAATGGACTGGAATAAAATGCAATAGAACAGATTGGAATCGAAAAGAACGGGATAGAATGGAATGGAATGAACTCGAATTGAATACAGTCGAATGGAATGGAATTGATTGGAATGGAATCATTTGGAAAGGATTTGAATGGAATCAAAAGAATAGAATGGAATGGAGTATAATGGAAAGATATCAAATGGAATGGAATGGAATGGAATGGAATGGACTCAAATGGAATGGAATGGAATGGACTCAAATGGAATGGAATGGAATGGCAAGGACTCGAATGGAATGTACTAGAGAGGAGTGTAATGGAAAAGAATGGCATGGAATGGAATGGAATGGATTAGAATGGAATGGAATCGGATGGAACAGAATGGAATGGAATGGATTGGAATGGAATCGAATGAAATGGACTCAAATGGAAGAGAATCAAATGTAATGGCAACCAGTGGAATGGAATGGAATGGACCCAAATGTAATGGACTCGAATGGAATAGACTCAAATAGCATTGATTCTAAAGGAATGGTCTCCAATGGAATGTATTCGAATAGAATGGAATCGAATAGAATGCAATATTATGGAATGGAATCGAATAGAACGGAATCGAATGGAATGGATTGGAATAGATGGACTCGAACGTAATGGATAGCAATGCTATTGATTTGTAAGGAATGGAATCAAATGGAGTGGTATGCTATTTAATGGAATCGAATGGAATGCAATGGAATGGAATGGAGTGGAATCGAGTTGAATGGAATCGAATGTAAGGGAATTGAATGGATTGGAATGGAATGGCCTGGAACAAAAGGGAATTGAACGGATTGGAGTCGAACTGAACGTAATGGAATTTAATGGAGTGGAATGGAATGGACTCGAATGGAATGGAGTCAAAGGGAATGGAACCGAATGGAATCAAATGGAATGTAAACAAATGGAAAGTAATGGAAGGCAATGGAATGGAATAGAATGGAATGCAATGGAAAGGAACGGAGTGGAATCGAGTGGAATTGAATCGAAAGGAATAGAATTGAATGTAATGGCCAAGAATGGAATGGACTTGGGACAAAATGGAATTCAACGGATTGGAATCAAACAGAACGGAATGAAATGGAATGGAACGGAAAGGACTCGAATAGAATGGAATCAAATGGAAAGCAATTGAATGGTATGGAATCAAATGCAATGGAACTGAGTGGAATAGAATTGAAAGCAATGGAAGGCAATGGAAAGATATCGAATGGAATGTAATGGAATGGACTCGAATACAATGGACTGGAATGGAATGGACTCGAATTGAATTGACTGGAGTGGAATGGACTCAAATGGAATGAAATGGACAGGAATATAATGGAATGGATCGGATGGAAGGGATTGGAATATAATGGAGTCAAATGGAATAGAATCGAATGGAATGGCATGAAATGGAACGGAACGGAATGGAATGGAATGGACTTGAAAGGAATGGATTCTCATGGAATACAGTCGAATGGAATGGCATCGAATGGAATGGATTGTAATTTCTTGAAATGGAATGCACCTAAATGTAGTGGACACAAATGGAATGGACTCAAATAGAATGGATTCGCAAGGAATGGGCTCGAATGGAATTCGTTCGAGTAGAATCAAATCGAAGGCAATGCAATAGTATTGAATGGAATCGAATGGAATTCAATAGAATGGAATGGACAGGAATGGAATGGATTGGAATAGAGTGGATACGAATGTAATTAATTGCAATATAATAGATTCGAATGGAATGCAATAGAATGGATTCTAATCAAATAGAATGGAATATAATGCAATGGAATAGAATAGAATTGAATGCAAAGGAATGTAACAGTGCAGAATCAAGAGGATTGGAATCCTATGGAATAGAATCAATTAGAATGGAATAGAATTGAATGGACTGGAATGGAATGGACTGGAAAAAATGGAATTGAATGGATTGGAATAGAAAGGAACGGAATGGAATGGAATGGAATGGAATGGAATGGAATGGAATGGACTCGAAGGGAACGGATTGCAATCGAGTGGAATGGAATCCAATGGAATAGAATCCAATGGAATGGAATCCAATGGAATGGACTGGAATGGCATAGACTCGAATGGAACGGAAAGGAACAAAATGGAATTGAATGGATTGGAATAGAAAGGAATGGAATGGAATGCAAAGGAATGGAATGGAATGGAGCAGAATGGAATGAAATGGAATGGAATGGAATGGAATGGAATGGAATGGAATGGAATGGAATGGATCCAAATGTAATGGAGTCGAATGGAATGGACTCAAATAGAATGGACTCAAAAGAATTGGTCTCCAATGCAATTTATTTGAATACAACGGAATCGAATTCAATGCAATAGTATGGAAAGGAATCAAATGTAATGGAATCAAATGGAATGGATCTGAATGAAATGGACTGGAATCAAACGGTCATGAATGTAATGGATTGCAAAGTAATTGTTACGAATGGAATGGAACCTTATGTTATGGACTAGAATAGAATAGACTGGAATAGAACGGACTCGAATATAATGGATTGTAATGTAATTGATTCAAAAGTAATGTAATAAAATGGAATGAAATGGAAATCAATGGAATGGAAAAGAATGGAATGAAATGGAATGGAATGGATTGGAATTCAGTGGAATGGAATCGAATGGAATGGAATTGAATGGATTTCACTGGAATGGAATGGACTCGAATAGAATTTACGGGAACAAAAAGGAATCGAACGGATTGGAATCAAATGGAACGGAATAGAATGGAATGGGATGGAATCTAATGGAATGGAGTCGAATAGAATGGAAAGAAATGGAAGGGAATAAAATGGAATCTAATTGAATGGAATCAAAAAGAATAGAATGGAATGGAGTGTGAAGGAGAGATATTGAATGGAATGAAACGTAACAAAATGGAATCGAATTGAATGGAATCAAATGGAATGAAGTCGAATGAAATGGACTGGAAAGGAATGTATTCGAATGGAATGGAATGGAAAAAAATGAAATCGAACGAATTGGTGTCGAACTGAATGGAATGGAAAGGAAAGGGGTGGAATGGAATGGATTCGCATTGAATGGATTCAAATGGAATGGATTCAAATGGAATGGAATTGAATAGAATTGAATTGAAAGAAATAGAGTGGAATGGAGTGGAATGGAAAGATATCAAATGGAAATGGATGGAAGAGAATGGACTCAAATGGAATGGATTGGAATGGAATGGACCATAATGTCATGGACTGGAGTGGAATGGACTCGAATGGAATGGAAACGAAAGGAATGGAATGGAATGGAATGGAATGGAATGGAATGGAATGGAATGGAATGGAATGGAATGGAATGGAATGGAATTGGATGGAATGGTGTTGCACGGAATGGAATCGAATGGAATGCCATCGAATGGAATGGAAAGGAATGGACTCGAATGCAATGGAAATGAATTGAATGGAATGGAATGGAAAGGAATGGAATGGAAAGGAAAGAATAGAATGGAATGGAATGGAATCGGATGGAATGGAATGGAATGGAGTCAAAAGGAATAAAATCGCATGGAATGGCATGGAATGGAATGGAATGGAATGGAATGGAATGGAATAGAAATGACTCAAATGGAATGGACTCGAATGGAATAGAATCAAATGGAATGGACTGGCATGGAATGGACTGAAAAAATAATGGAATTGAATGCAATGGATTGCAAAGTAATTGATTCAAATGGAATGGAATCAAATGGAATGTAATCAACTGGAATGGAATGCAATGCAATGGAATGGAATGGAATGCAATGTAATGGAATTGAATGGAATAGAATTTAATGGAATGGTTTTGAATGGAATGGAGTGGAATGAAATGGAATAGAATGCACACAAATGTAATGGACTCTAATGAAATTGAATCAAATACAATGAACTGGAAAGGAATGGTATCGAATGGAATTTATTTGAATAGAAAGCAATCAAAAGGAAGGCAATAGTATGGAATGGAATAGAATGGAATGGAATGGAATGGAATGTACCTGAATGGAATGGACTGGAATAGAATGGACTCGAATGTAATGGGTTGCAATGTAATTGATTCGAATGGAATGGAATCAAATGGAATGTAAACAAATGGAATTGAATGGAATCCAGTGGAATGGAATAGAATGAAATTCAATGGAATGGAACAGAGAGGAATCGAGTGGAATGGATTCGAATGGAATGGAATCAAATGGAATGGACTTCAATGTAATGCAGACGAATGGAATGGAATCAAATGGAATGCAATCCAATAGAATGGAATTGAATGTAATCAAAAGGAATAGAATGGAATAGAGTGTAATGGAAAGATATCGAATGGAATGTAATGGAATGGAATCAAATGGAATGGACTGGAATGGAATGGACAAGAATGGAATGGACTGGAATGGAATGGACGGAAATGGAATCGAAACGAATGGTGTGGAATGGAACTGAAAGTAATAGAATATAATGGAATCGGATGTAACAGAATGGAATTGAATGGAGTCGAATGGAATACAATATAATGGAATGGCTTTGAATGGAATGGAAAGGAATGGAATGGAAGGGACTCAAATGGAATGGACTCGAATGGATTAGAATAGACTGGAATGGTATTGAATGGAATCGAATGGAATGGAATTGACCCAAATGTAATAGACTTGAAAGGAATGGAATCAAATAGAATGGACTCAAAAGCAATGGTCACAAATGGAATTTATTTGAATAGAATGGAATCGAATGGAATGCAAGAGTTTTTAATGGAAACGAATGGAATATACTGCAATGGAATGCACTGGAATATAAAGGACTAGAATGTAATGGACTGCAATGTATTTGATTCGAAAGGAATGGAATAGAAAGGAATGTAATCAAATGGAATTTAATGGAATGCAATTGAATGGAATAGAGAGGAATGTAATGGAATGGAACAGCATGGAATCGAGTTTAAGGGAATCGAATGGAATGGAATCGAATGGAATGGAATCAAATGGAATGGAATGGAATGGAATGGAATCAATTCGAATGGAATGGAATGGAATGGAATGGAATGGAATGGAATGGAATGGAATGGAATGGAATCAACTGGAATGGAATAGAATGGAATGGAACGGAAAGGACCCAAACGTAATGGACTCGAATGGAATAGACGTAAATATAATTGACTCGAAATGAATGTTCTCCAAAGTAATTTATTCAAATAGTATGGAATCGAATGGAATGCAATAGTATGGAATGGAATCAAATGGAATGGACAGGAATGGAATGGATTGGAATAGAATGGACTCGAAAGTAATGGATTGCAATGGTGTTGAATTGAATGGAATGGAATCAAATGGAATGGTATGCAATTTAATGTAATAGAATGGGATTCAATGGAATGAAGTGGAATCGAGTTGAATGGAATCCAGTAGAAGGGAATCGAATGGATTGGACTGGAATGGAATGGTCTCGAATGAAATGTACTGGAACAAAACGGAATCGAACGGATTGGGGTCGAACTGAATGGAATGGAATTTAATAGAATGGAATGGAATGGACTGGAATAGAATGGAATTACCTGGAATGGAACCGAATGGAATCGAATGGAATGTAATGAAATGGAAAATAGTGAAAGGCAATGGAATGGAAAGGAATAGAATGGAATGCAATGGAATGAAATGGAGTGGAATCGAGTGGAATAGAATCGAATGGAATGGAATCGAATGTATTGGAATCGAATGGAATGGACTTGGGAAAAAATGGAAGCGAACGGATTAGAATCAAACAGAATGGAATGAAATTGAATGGAATGGAAAGGACTCGAATGGAATGGAGTCAAATGTAATGAAAATGAATGGTATGGAATTGATTGCAATGGAATTGAGTGGAATGGATTTGAATGCAATGGAGTTTAATGGAAAGATATCAAATGGAATGAAATGGAATGGACTCTCATTTAATTGACTGGAGTGGAATGGAATCGAATGGAATGGACTGGGGAGGAATGGACTCCAATGGAATGGAAATGAATGGAATGGAATGGACAGGAATATAGTGGAATAGAATCGGATGGAACAGAATGGAATGTAAGGGAGTCGAATGCAATAGAATCGAATACAATGGCATCAAATGGAATGGAATGGAATGGAATGGAATGAAATGGAATGGAATGGAATGGAATGGAATGGAATGGTTTGGACTTGAAAGGAATGCATTCTCATGGAATATATTCGAATGGAATGGCCTCGAACGGAATGGAATGGCATGGAATGGAATGGACCCAAATGTAGTGGAAACAAAAGGAATGGACTCAAATAGAATGGACTCGAAAGGAATGGGCTGGAATGGAATTCATTCGAGTAGAATGGAATCGAAGGGAATGCAATAGTATTGAATGGAATCGAATGGAATGGACCGGAATGGAATGGACTGGAATAGATCGGATAAGAATGTAATGGATTGCAATGTAATAGATTTGAATGGAATGGAAAAGAATGGATTCTAATCAAAAGGAATGGAATATGATGAACTGGAATGGAATAGAGTGGAATGCAATGGAATGGAACAGAGTAGAATCGAGAGGATTGGAATCCAATGGAATGAAATCAAATGGAATGGAATCGAATGGAATGGACTGGAACAAAATGGAATTGAATTGACTGGAATTGAAAGGAACGGAATGGAATGCAATGGAATTTAATGGATTGCACTCGAATGGAATGAAGTGGAATCGAGTGGAATGGAATCCAATGGAATGGAATTGAATGGAATGGACTGGAATGGAATAGACTCGAATGGAATGGAATGGAACAAAATCGAATTGAAAGGATTGGAATTGAAAGGAATGGAATGCAATGGAATGGAATGGACTCCAATCGAATGGAGTCAAATAGAATGGAATCGAATGGAAAGGAATTGAATAGAATGGAATTGAATGGAATCAAAAGGTATAGAATGGAATGGAGCGTAATGGAAAGAGATCGTCTGGATTGGAATGGAATAGAACGGACATGAGAGGAATGGACTGGAATGGAATGGACTCGAATGGAATGCACTGGAGTGGAATGGACACGAATGTAACGGAAACGAATAGAATGTAATTTAATGGAAAGTAACAGAATGGAAACAAATCAGATGGAACGAAATGGAATGGAATGGAGTAGAATGGAATACAATCGATTGGAATGGCTTCGAATGAGATGTAATCTAATGGAATGGACTCGAATGGTGTGTACTCAAATGGAATAGAATGGAATGGAATGACATTGAATGGAATGGAATGGACCCAAATGTAATGGAAATGAATGGAATGGAATAAAATAGAATGGACTCAAAAGAATTGGTCTCCAATGGAATTTATTTGAATAGAATGTAATCGAATGGAATGCAATAGTATGGAATGGAATCGAATGTAATGGAATCAAATGGAATTGACTGGAATGTAATGGACTGGAATAAAACTCACTCGAATTTAATGGATTGCAAAGTAATTGCTACAAATGGAATAGAATCGAAT
Organism: Homo sapiens; assembly: GCF_000001405.40. Lineage (NCBI taxonomy): Eukaryota > Metazoa > Chordata > Mammalia > Primates > Hominidae > Homo > Homo sapiens. Next base: position 11,733,781 of record NC_000024.10, read on the forward strand.
GGAATGGACGAAAATAGAATGGACTGGAATACAACGGACTCGAATCTAATAGATTGTAATGTAAGTGATTCGAATGGAATGGAATAGAATGGAATGTAATCAAATGGAATGAAATGGAATTCAATGGAATGGAACAGAATGGAATGAAATGGAATGGAATGGAGTGCAATTGAGTGGAATGCAATAGAATGGAATGGAATCAAATGGATTTGACTGGAATGGAATGGAGTCGAATGGAGTGGACTGGAACAAAATGGAATCGAAAGGATTGTAAATCAATGGTATGGAATGGAATGGAAAGAATTGGACTCTAACGGAATGGAGTCAAATGGAATGAAATGAAATGGAAGGGAAAAAAATGAAATGGAATTGAATGGAATCGAAAAGAATAGTGGAATGGAGAGCAATGGAAAGATATCGAATGGAATGAAATGGAAAAAAAATGGAATCAAATGGAATGGAATCGAGAGGAATGGATTCGAATGAAATGGACTGGAAAGGGAGGTACTCGAATGGAATGGAATGGAACAAAATGGAATGGAACGAATTGGAGTTGAACTGAATTGAATGGAATGGAAAAGAGTGGAATGTAAGGGATTCGAATTGAATGGATTCGAATGGAATGGAATCAAAAGGAATGGAATCGAATAGAATGGAAATGAATGGAATCAAAAGAAATAGAATGGAATGGAGTGTAATGGAAAGATATCGAAAGGAATCATATAAAACGGAATGGACTCGAATGGAACAGATTGGAATGGAATGGATTCTAATGGCATGGATTGGAGCGGATTGGACTTGAATGGAATGGAAGGGAAAGGAATGGAATGGAATGGCATGAAATGGAATAGAATGGAATGGAATTGGATGGAACGGAATAGAATGGAATAGAGTTGAATTTAATACAATCGAATGGAAAGGCCTCGAATGGAATAGAATGGACTCGAATGCAATGGAAACAAATTGAATGGAATGGAATGGAATTGAAAGGAATGGAATGGAAAGGAAAGAGTAGAATGGAATGGAATGCAAACGGATGGAATGGAATGGAATGGAATGGAATGGAATGGAATGGAATGGAATGGAATGGAATGCAATGGAATGGAATCTAAAGGAAAGAACCGCCTAGAATGGCATGGAATGGAATGCAATGAAATCTAATAGAAATAACTCGAATGGAATAGAATTAAATGGAATGGAATGGAATGGAATGCATTGGAAAAGAATGGAATCAAATTTAATGGATTGAAATGTAATTGATTCGAATAGAATGGAATGTAACCAAAGGGAATGGAATAGAATGTAACCAAATGGAATGGAATGGAATGCAATGGAATGGAATAGAATGAAATGCAATGGAATGGAACGGAGTTGAATAGGGTGAAATGGAATTGAATGGAATGGAATCGAAGGGAAAGAAATTGAATTGAATGGAATGGAATCTAAAGGAAAGAAATTGAATGGAATGGACTGGAATGGAATGGACTCGAATGGAATGGCCTGGAACTAAATAAAATCGAACGGATTGGAATCGAATGGAATGCAATGGAATGGAATGGACTCTATTGGAATGGAGTCAAAAGGAATGGAAACCAATTGAATGGAATTGAATGGGATTAAAAGGGGTAGAATTGAATGGAGTGTAATCAAAGTTATTGATGGAATGGAATGGCATGGAATGGACTCGAATGGAATAGTTTGGAATGTAGTGGACTCAGATGGAATAGACTGAAGTGAAATGAACTCGAATGGAATGGAAACTAGCGGAAGGGAATGGAAGGGAATGGAAAGGAATAGAATGAAATGGAATCAAATGAAATGGAATGGAATGGAATGGAATGGAATGGAATGGAATGGAATGGAATGGAATGGAATGGAATGGAATGGAATGGACTCTAATGGAATGGACCCGAAATGAATAGTATAGAATCGAATGGCATCAAATCGAATGTAATGGAATGGAATGGAAGGGAATGGAATGGACCCTAATGTATTGCACTGGAATGGAGTGGACTCAAATATAATGGACTCAAAAGGAATGGTCTCGAATGGAATTTATTCAAATAGAATGGAATCAAACGGAATGCAATAGTATGGAATGGAATTGAATGCAATGGGATCGAATGTAATGGACTGGAATTAAATGGACTCGAATAAAATGGAATCGAACGGATTGGAATGGAATGGAATGGAATGGAATGCACTCGATTGGAATGGAGTCAAATGGAATGGAATGGAATGGAATGGAATCGAAAGGAATAGAATGGAATGGAGTGTAAGGAATGATATCAAATGGAAAGGAATGGAATAGACTCGAATGGAATGAACTGGAACGGAATGGACTCGAAAGGAATAGACTGGAGTGGAATGGACTCGAATGTCATGTAAGCGAATGGATTGCAATGGAACGGAAAGGTATAGAATGGAATGGAGTCGGATGGAATGGAATGAAATGGAATAGAGTCGAATGGAATGACATCGAATGGAAAGGAAAGGAACGGAATGGAATAGACCCAAATGTAATGGAATCGAATGGAATGGACTCAAATACAGTGGACTCGTTAGGAATGGTCTCGAATTGAATTAATTTGAATAGAATGGAATTGAATGGAATGTACTGGAATGGAATGCACTTGAATGGAAAGGACTGGAGTGGAATGGAATAAAATGGGATGGAAAATAATCGAATGGAATGGAAGGGAAAGGAAATTAATAAAATGGAACGGAATCGGATGGAATGGAAAGGAATGGAATGGAATAGAATCGAATGGAATGGCATCGGAAGGAATGGAATGCAATGGAATCTGATGGAACGGAATGGTGTGAAATACAAACGAATGGAATACCTTTTAATGAAATGGAATGGAATGAATGGAAAGGAATGGAATGGACTAGAATGGAATGGAATGGACTGCAACTGATTTGACTCGAATGGAAAGGAAATGAATGGAATGGAATGGAAGGGAATGGAATGGAATAGAATGGAATGGAATCGGATGGAACGGAATGGATTGGAATGGAGTCGACCGGAATAGAATCGAATGGAATGGAATCAGATGGAATGGAATGGAATGGAATGGAATGGAATGGAATGGAATGGAATGGGCTCGAATGGAATGGACTTGAATGGAGTAGAATCGAATGGAATGGCATCAAATGGATTGGAATGGAATTTCATGGAACCAAATGTATTGGACTCGAATGGAATGCACTCAAATAGAATAGACTCGAAAGGAATGGTCTCGAATGGAATTTATTTGAATCAAATGAAATGCAATAATATGGAATGGAATTGAAAGAACTGGAATGGAATGGAATGGACCAGAATGGATTGGAGTGGAATAGAATGGGCTCGAATGTAATAGAATTTAATGTAAACTAATTGAAAGGAATGGAATCGAATGTAATGTAATCAAATGGAATGGAATGGAATGCAATGGAATGGAATAGAATGGAATGCAATGGAATGGAATGGAGTGGAACCTAGTGGAAAGGAATTGAATGGAATGAAATCAAATGGAACGGAATCGAATGGAATGGATTGGAATGGAATGGAATCGAATGGATTGGACTGGAATAAAATGGAATTGATTGGATTGGAATCAAACGGAATGGAATGGAATGGAATGGAATCGATTTGAATGGAATATAATGGAACAAAACCGAATTGAACTGAATCGAAAGAAAGTAAGTGAATGAAATAGAAATGGATAGAATGGAATGGAGTGTAATGAAAAGATATCGAATAGAAAGGAATGGAATCGGATGGACGCGAATGGAAAAGAATGGATTGGAATGGATTGGAGTTAAATGGACTCGAATGGAATGGAAAGCAGTGCAATGGAATGGAATGAAATGGAATGGGAAGGAATAGAATGGAATGGAATCACATAGAACGGATTGGAATGGAATGGATTCGAATGGAATGGATTCGAATGGAATGGCATCAAATATAATGCAATGGAACGGAATTTAATCGAATGGAATGGACTCAAACGGAATAGAATTGAATAGTATGGCATCAAATGGAATGGAATGGAATGGAATGGAATGGAATGGAATGGAATGGAATGGAATGGAATGGAATGGAATGGAATGGAATGCAAGTGACCCTAATGTAATGGACTTGAACGGAATATACACAAATAGAATGGAGTAGAATGGAATGGTCTCGAATGGAATTTATTCGAATAGAATGGAATTGAATGGAATGCAATAGAATGGAATGGAATCGAATGGAATCGACTGGAATGGAATGGAATGGAATGGAATACAATGGACACGAATGTAATGGATTGCAATGCAATTGATTTGAATGGAATGGAATCCAATGGAATGTAATCAAATGGAATGGAAAGGTATATAGTGGAAGGGAATAGAATGGAATGGAATGGAACGTAGTGGAATCGAGTGGAATGGAATAGAATAAAATGGAATTGAATGGAGTGCAATGGAATGCAAAGAAGGGGAATAGAGTGGAATGGAATCGAATATAATGGAATCTAATGCAATGAAATCAAATGGAATCGACTGGAATGGAATGGACTCGAAACTAATGGACTGTAACAAAATGGAATCGAATGGATTGGACTCGAATGGAACATAATGGAATGGATTGGACTCGAATGGAATGCAGTGGAATGGAATGGACTCGAATGGAACAGAAACGATTATAAAGGAATGGAAGGGAAAGGAAAGGAATAGATTTTAATGGAATAGGATGGAACGGAACGGAACGGAATGCTGTCAAATGGAATAGAATCGAATGGATTGGCATCGATTGGAATGGAATGCAATGGACTCGAATGAAATGGACACTGATGGAATAGAATTGAACAGAATGGCATCCAAAGGAATGGAAAGGAATGGAATGGAGTGGAATGGAATGGAATGACATGGAGTGGAATGGAATGGAATGGAATGGAATGGAATGGAATGGAATGGAATGGAATGGAATGGACACAAAATTAATGGAATAGAATGGAATGGACTCGAAAGGAATGGTCTCGAATGGAATTTATTCAGAAAGAATGGAATAGAAAGCAATGCAATACTATGGAATGGAATCGAATGGAATGGACCAGAATGAAATGGACAGGAATAGAACAGATTCGAATGTAATGGATTGCAATGTAATTGATTCGAGTGACTTGGAATCGAATGGAATGTAATCAAATGGAATGGAAAGGAATGCAATTGAATGGAATAGAATGGAATGCGATGGAATGGAAAGGAATGGAATGGAATCGAGTGGAATGGAATTGAATGGAAGGTTATCGAATGAAATATATTCAAATGGAATGGATTCGAATGGAATAGACTGGAGCAAAATGGAATCGAACGGATTAGAATCGAAAGGAATGGAATGGAATGGAATGGAATGGAGTCGAATGGAATGGAATCGAATGGAATGGAGTCGAATGGAATGGAATGGAATGGAATAGAATGGAATGGAATGGAATGGAATCGAAAGGAATAGAATGGAATGGAGTGTAATAGAAAGATATTGAATGGGATGGAATGGAATGGACTAGAATGGAATGGACTGGAATGGAATGGACTCGAATGGAATGGACTGGAGTGGAATGGACTAGAATGGAACGGAAATGAATGCAATGGAATGGAAAGGAATTAAATGGAATGGAATTCGTTGGAACTTAATGGAATGGAATGGAGTCGAATGGAATAGAATCGAATGGAATGGCATCGAATGGAATTGAATGGAATGGGAAGGACTCGAACAGAATGCACTCGAATGGAATAGAATCTAATGGAATGGCATCAAATGGAATAGAATGGAATGGAATGGAATGGACTCGAATGGATTGGAAAGGAATGGAATGGAATGAAATGGAATTGAAAGGAATAGAATGGAATAGATTTGGATGGAATGGAATGGAATGGAATGGAATGGAATGGAATGGCATCGAAAGGAATGGAATGGCATCGAAAGGAATGGCATCGAATGGAGTGGAATGGAATGGAATCGAATCGAATGGAATGGATTTGAATGGAATAGAATAGAATGGAAAGGGATCGAAACGAATGGAATGGAATGCAATGGAATCGAATAGAATGGAATGGTCCCAAATGTAATGGACTCGAACGGAAAGGACTCAAATAGAATGGATTCGAAAGTAATGGTCTCGAATGGAATTTACTCGAGTAGAATGGAATCGAAAGGAATGCAATAGCATGTAATGGAATCAAACGGATTGGAATGGAATGGAATGGACGGGAATGTAATGGACTGGAATAGAATGGACTCAAATGTAATGGATTGCAATGTGACTGATTTGAATGGAATGGAATCAAATGGAATGTAATCAAATGTAATCAAATTGAATTCAATTGAATGGAAAAGAATGGAATGCAATATAATGGAATGGAGTGGAATTGAATGGAATGGAATGGAATCGAATAGATTGGACTGGAATGGAATGGACTCGAATATAATGGCCTGGAATAAAATGGAAACAAACGGATTGGAATCAATCGGAATGGAATGGAGTGGAATGGAAGAGAATGGATTCGAATGGAATGCAGTCAAAAGGAATGGAAACTAATGGAATGGAATTGAATGGAATCAAAAAGAATAGAATGGAATGGAGTGACTCGGGAATACATCAAATGGAATGGAATGGACTAGAAATGAATGTACTGGAATGGATTCGACTCAAGTGGAATGAATTGGAGTGGAATGGACTCAAACGGAATGGAAACGAATGGAATGGAATGGAAAGGAATAAAATGGAATGGAATGGGATGGAATGGAATGGCATGGAATGGAGTCGAATGATATACAATCGAATGGAATGGCATATAATTGAATGAAATTAAATGGACTCGAATGGAACAGAATAGAATGGAAAGGCATCGGAGGGAATGGAACGGAATGGAATGGAATGGAATTTAATGGAATGGAATGGAAAGAAACAAATGTAATTGACTAAAAAGGAATGGACTCAAATAGAATGGACTCGAAAGAAATGGTCTCAAGTGGAATTTATTCGAATAGAATGGAATCCAATGGAATGCAATAGTATGGAATGCAATAGTATGGAATGGAATCGAATGGAATGTACCAGAATGGATTGGAGTGGAATAGAACAGACTCGAATGTAATGGATTGCAATGTAATTGATTTGAAAGGAATGGAGTCAAAAGGAATGTAATCAAATGGATGCAATGGAATGCAAAGAATCCAATAGAATGGAATGCAATGGAATTCAATGGACTGGAATCGAGTGCAATGGAATTGAATGGAAGGGAATCGAATGGAATGGAACTGAATGAAATGGACTGGATTGGAATGTACTTGAATGGAATTGACTGAAAAATATTTAATTGATCGGACTGAAATCAAATGGAACAGAATGGAATGGAATGGAATGGACACTATTTGAATAGAGTAGAATGGAATGTAACCAAATGGAATGGAATCAAATGGAATGGAATTGAATGGAATCGAAAGGAATAGTATGGAATGAACTCTAATGGAAAGTTATCGAATGGAAAATAATGGAATACAATGGACTCATATGGAATGCACTGGAATGGAATGTACTGGATTGGAATGGACTCAAATGGAATGGAATGGAATGGAATGGAATGGAATGGAATGGAATGGAATGGAATGGAGTGGAATGGAATGGAATAGAATGGAATGGAATCAGATGGAACTTAATGGAATGGAATGGAGTCGAATGGAATAGAATCGAATGGAATAACATCAAATGGAATGGAATAGAATGGAATGGAATGGAATAGAATGGAGTGGAATGGAAAACACTCAAATGGATTGGACTCAAATGGAATAGAATCGAATGGAATGGCTCGAATGGAAGAGAATGGAATGGAATGGAATGGACTTGAATGGAATGGAAGTGAATGCATTAGAATGAAATGGAATGGAAAGGAATAGAATGGAATGGAATCGGATGACACGGAAAGGATTGGAATGGATTCGAATGAAATAGAAATAAATGGAATGGCATCGAATGGAATGGAATGTAATATACTCGAATGGAATGGACTCAAATGGAGTAGAATACAATAGAATGGCATCAAAAGGAAAGGAATGGAATGGAATGAAATAGAATGGAACCAAATGTAATGGAATCAAATGGAATGGACTCAAATAGAATTGACTCGAAAGGTATGGTTTAGAATGGAATTTATTTGAATAGAATGGAATCGAATGGAATGCAACAGTAAAGAATGGTATCAAATGGAATGGAATCAAATGGAATGGACTGGAATGGAACGGACTGAAATAGAACAGACTCGAACATAATGGATGGCAATTTAATTGATTTGAATGGAATGGAATTGAATGGAATGTAACCAAATTGAATGGAATGGAATGCATTTGAATGGAATAGAATGGAATGGATCGGAGTGGAATCGAATGGAATGGAATCGAATGAAACGTAATTGAATGGAATGGAATTGAATCGAATGGACTGGAATGGAATGAACTCGAATGTAATGAACTGGATAAAGTGGAAACGAACGGATTGGAATCGTACAGAATGGAATGGAATGGAATGGAAGAGACTGTTCTCGAATGGAATGGAGTCGAAAGGAATGGAACTGAATGGAATGTAATTGAATGGAATCGAAAAGAATAGAATGGAATGGAACGTTATGGAAAGATATTGAATGGAATGGCATGGACGCGAATGGAATGGACTGGAATGGAGTGAACTCGAATGGAATGGACTGGAATGGATTAGACTCGAATGGAATGGAAACGAATGAAATGGAATGGAAAGGAGTAGAATAGAATGGAATTGGATGGAATGGAATGGAATGGAATAGAGTCAAATGGAATAGAATCGAATGGAATGGCATCGAATGGAATGGAACGGAATGTAACGGACTCGAGTGGAATGGACTCTAATGGAATAGAGTAGAATGAAATGGCATTGAATGGAATGCAAAGGAATGCAATGGATTGCAATGGAATGGACCCAAATGTATAGGAATCCAATGGAATGGACTCAAATATAATGGATTCAAAAGGAATGGTCCCAAATATAATTTATTCAAATAGAATGGAATCAAAAGGAATGCAATAGTATGGTATGGAATCAAATGGAAAGGAATCGAATGGAATTGACCAGAATGGAATGGACTGAAATAGAAAGGACTCGAATGTAATGGATTGAAATGTAATTGATTCGAACTCCTTGGAATCGAATGGAATATAATCAAATGGAATGGAATGGAATGCAATGGGAAGGAATAGAATGGAATGCAATGGAATGGAACTGTGTACAATTGAGTGGAATGCAATCGAATGGAATGGAATCGATGGAATGAACTGGCATGGAAAGAACTCGAAAGGAAAGGACTGAAAAAAATGGAATCGAACAGATTGGAATTGAATGGAACAGAATGGAAAAAATGGAACGGAATGGAATGGAATGGATTCTAATGGAATGCAGTCAAATTGAATGAAATCAAATGGAATGGAATCGTACAGAATGGAATTGAATGGAATCAAAAGGAAAACAATGGAATGGAGTATAACAGAAAGATATTGAATGTAATGGAATGGAATAGAATGGAGTCGAATGGAATGGCACGGAGTGGAATTCACTCGAATGGAATGGACTGGAATGGAATCGAATCCAATGGAATGAACTGGAGAGGAATGAAATCTAATGGAAAGGAAATGAATGGAATGGAATGGAATGGAAAGGAATGGAGTGGAAAGGATTATAATGGAAACGAATCGGATGGAACAGAATCGAATGGAGTCGAATTTAATAGAATCAATTGGAATGACATCGAATATAATGGAATGGAATGGAATGGAATTCATTGGAGTGGAGTTGACTCTAATGTAATGGAAACGAATGGAATGGAATGGAATGGAATGGAAGGGAAAAGAATACAATGGAATGGAATCGGATGGAAGATAATGGAAAGGCGTCAAATTAAATAGAATCAATTGGAATGGCATCGAATGGAATGGAATGGAATGGAATGGAATGGAATGGAATGGAATGGAATTAAATGGACTCGCATGGAATAGAATTGAATGGTATGTCATTGAATGGAATGGAACGGAATGGAATGGAATGGAATGGAATGGAATGGAATGGAATGGAATGGAATGGAATGGAATAGAATGGAATGGAATGGTACCAAAAGTAATGGACTCAAATGGAATGGACTCAAATAGAAAGGACGCGAAAGCAATGGTCTCGAATGGAATATATTCAAATAGAATGGAATTGAACGAAATGCAATAGTGTGGTATGGAATCTAATGGAATGGACAAACATGGAATGGACGGGAATAGAACGGACTCAAATGCCATGGATAGCATGGTAATTGATTCGAATGGAATGGAATTGAATGGAATGGAATCAAATGGAAAGGAATGGAATACAATGGAATGGAATAGAATGGAATGCAATGGAATGGAACGAGGTGAAATTGATTGGAATGGAATCGAAAGGAATGGAATCGAATGGATTGGGATTGATTGGAATAGACAGGAATGGAATGGACTCGAATGTAATTTAATGGAACAAAATGAAATCAAACGGATTGGAACCGAACAAAACGGAATGGAAGGTAATGCAATGTCCTCGAATGGAATGGAGTCGAATGGAAGGGAATCAAATGGAATGGAATTGAATGGAATGGTACTGAATGGAATCGAACGGAATTTAATTTAATGGAGTGTAAAGCAAAGATATCGAATCCAATGGAACAGAATGGAATTGACTTGAATGGAATGGAATGGAAAGGAATGGAAAGGAATGGAATGGAGTCGAATGGAATGGACTGCAGTGCAATGGACTCGAATGGAATGGAAACGAATGGAATGGAATGTAACGGAATGGAATTGAATACAATGGAAACGAATAGATAGAATGGAAAGTAAAGGAAATATATCGAATCTAATAGAAAGGAATGGAATGGACTCGAATGGAAAGGAATGGAATAGAATGGAATCGAATGTCATGGACTGGAGTGGAACGGTCTCGATTGGAATGGAAAATAATGGAATGGAATGGATTGGAATGGAAAGGAATAGAATGGAATGGAATCGTATTGAATGGAATGGAAAGGAATGGAGTCAAATGAAATAGAATCTAATGGAATGCAATCAAATGTAATGGAATGCAATGGATTCTAATGGAATGGACTCAAGTGCAATACAATAGAATCGAATGGCATGGAATGGGATGAAATAGAATGGAATACAATAAAATGGAAAGGAGTGGAACCGAGGGGAATGGAATCGAACAGAATGGAATGGAATGGAATCGAATGGAATGGAATGGAATGGAATGGAATGGAATGGAATGGAATGGAATGGGTTAGAATGCAATGGAATCGGATCGAATGGAATGGAATGGAATGGAGTTGAATGGAATAGATTCGAATGAAATGCCAACGAATGGTATGGAATGGAATGGATTGGACTCAAATGGAATAGAATTGAACTGAGTGGCATCGAATGGAATGGAATGGAATGGAATGGAATGGAATGGAATGGAATGGAATGGAATGGAATGGACCAAAACGTAATGGACTCTAATGCAATGGACTCAAATAGAATGGACACAAAAGGAAGGGTCTCGAATGGAATTTATTGAAAAAGAATGGAATCAAATTGCATGCGATAGTATGGAATGGAATCAAATGGAATGGAATTAATTGGAATGGACCAGAATGGAATGGACTGGAATATAACGGACTCGAATGTAATGGATTGCAGTGTATTTGATTCAAAAGGAATGGAATTGAACGGTATGTAATTAAATGGAAAGAAATGGAATGCAATCGAATGGAATAGAATGGAATGCAATGGAATGGAACCTAGTGTAATCGAGTTGAATGGAATTGAATGGAATGGAATCAAATGGAATGGAGTGGAATTCAATGGACTCGATTGGAATGGACTGGAACAAAATAGAATCGAACGCATTGGAATCGAACTGAATGGAATGGAATGGAAAAGAATGGACGTCAATGCAATGGAGTCGAATGGAATGGAACCGAATGCAATGGAATTGAAGGGAATTGAAAGGAATAGAATAGAATGGAGTGTAATGGAAAGATATCGAATGGAATGGAAAGAAGTGGAATCGACTCAAATGAAATCGTGTGGAACGAAATGGACTCGAATGGAATTGAATGGAACAAAGTGGACTCGAAGGGAATGGACTGGAATGGAATGGATTAGAAAGGAATGGAAACGAACGGAATGGAATGGAATAGAATGGAATGGAATCAGATGGAATGAAATGGAATGAAATGGAGTAGAATGGAATAGAATCGAATGCAATGGCATCGGATAGAATGGAATGGAATGGAATCTAATGTACTTAAATGGAATGGACTCGAATGAAATAGAATAGAATGGAATGGCATCGAATGGAATTTACTGGAAGAGAGATTAATGGAAAGATATTGAATAGAAAGGAATGGAATGAACTCAAATGGAATGGACTGGAATGGAATGGACTCGAATGGAATGGACTGGAATGGAATGGTCTGGAATGGAATGGACTGCAGAGGAATGGTCTCGAATGGAATGGAAACGAATGGAATGGAATTGAATGGAATGGACATTAAAGGAATAAAATGGAAGGTATCAATGGAACATAATGCAATGGAATAGATTTGAATGGAATACTTTCAAAAGGAATGGCATTGAATGGAATGGAATGGAAAGGACTCGAACGGAAAGGACTCGAATGGAATTGAATAGAATGGAATGGCATCGAATGGAATGGAATGGAAGAGAGTGTAATTGAAAGATATCGAATGGAATGGAATGGACTCGAATGGAATGGCCTGGAATGGAATGAACTCGAATGGAATGGACTGGAGTGGGATGGACTCGAATGGAAAGGAAACGAATTGAATAGAATGGAATGGAATGGAAACAATACAATGAAATTGAATCGAATGGAACTGAATGTAATGGAATGGAGTCGAATAGAATAGAATCGAATTGAATGACATCGAATGGAATGGAATGAAATGGAATGGAATGGAATGGAATGGAATGGAATGGAATGGAATGGAATGGAAAGGACTTCAAAGGTGTGGACTCTAATGGAATAGAATATAATGGAATGGCATCGAATGCAAGGGAATGGAATGGAACCCAATGTATTGGACTCGAATGGAATGGACTCCAATAGAATGGATTCGAATGGAGTGGTCTCAAATTGAATTTATTCAAATAGAATGGAATCGAATGGAATTCAATAGAATGGAACGGAATCGAACGGATTTGATTCAAACGGAATGGAATGCAATGGAATGGAGTCGAATGGAATGGAATTGAATTGAATGGAATCGAATAGAATGGAACTCAATGGAATCGAAAGGAATACAATGGAATGGAGTGTAATGGAAAGATATCAAATGGAATTGAATGGACTCGGTGGAATGGACTGGAACAGAACTGACTCGAATGGAATGGAGTGGAGTGGAATGGACTCTAATGTAATGGAAACTAATGGAATGGAATGGAATGGAATGGAATGGAATGGAATGGAATGGAATGGAAAAGAATAGAATGGAATGGAATCGGATGGAACAGAATGGAATGGAGTTGAATTTAATAGAATCAATTGGAATGACATCGAATATAATGGAATGGAATGGAATGGAATGGACTTGACTGGAGTGGAATGGACTCTAATGTAATGGAAACGAATGGAATGGAATGGAATGGAAGGGAAAAGAATAGAATGGAATGGAATCGGATGGAATGGAATGGAATGGAGTCGAATTGAATAGAATCAATAGGAATGGCATCGAATGGAATGGAATGGAATGAAATTAAATGGACACGAATGCAATGGCCTCAAATGGAATAGAATCGAATTGTATGGCATCGAATGGAATGGAATGGAATGGAACGGAACGGAACGGAACGGAATGGAATGGAATGGAATGGAATGGAATGGAATGGAATGGAATGGAATCGACCCAAAAGTAATGGACTCAAATGGAATGGACTCAAATAGAAAGGACTCGAAAGCAATGGTCTCGAATGGAATTTATTCGAATAGAATGGAATCGAATGGAATGCAATAGTATGGAATGGAATGAAATGGAATGGACACGAATGGAATTGACTGGAATAGAACGGACTTGAATGCCATGGATAGCAATGTAATCGATTCGAATTGAATGGAATCAAATGGAATGTAATCAAATGGAATGGAATGGAATGCAATGGAATGGAATAGAATGGAATGCAATGGAATGGAACGGAGTGAAATCGAGTGGAACAGAATTGAATGGAATAGAATCGAATGGATTGGAATTGATTGGAATAGACAGGAATGCAATGGACTTGAATGGAATTTACTGGAACAAAATGGAATCAAACGGATTGGAACTGAACGAAACAGAATGGAATGTAATGGAATGGCCTCGAATGGAATGGAGTTGAATGGAAGGGAATCGATGGAATGGAATCGAATGGAATGGAATGGAATGGAATCGAAAGGAATTGAATTTAATGGAGTGTAAAGCAAATATATCGAATCCAATGGAATGGAATGGAATGGACTCGAATGGAATGGAATGGAATGGACTCGAATGGAATGGAATGGAATGGACTTGAATGGAATGGACTGGAGTGGAATGGACTCGAATGGAATGGAAAAGAATGGAATGGAATGGAATGGAATGGAATGGAATGGAATGGAATGGAATGGAATGGAATGGAAATGAATGGAATGGAATGGAATAGGATGGAACTAAATGGAATGGAATGGAGTCGAATGGAGAGGAGTTGAATGGAATGGCATTGAATGGAGTGGAATGGAATGGACTCAAAAGGAATGAACTCGAATGGAATAGAATAGAATGGAATGGCATCAAATGGAATGGAACAGAAGGGAGTGTAAAGGCAAGATATCGAATGGAATGGAATGGAATGGAATGGAATGGAATGGAATGGAATGGAATTGACTCGAATGGAATGGACTGGAATGGAATGGACTATAATGGAATGGCCCGGAGTGGAATGGACTCGAGTGGAATTGACTGGAATGGAATTGACTTGAATGGTATGGACTGGAGTGGAATGGTCTCGAATGGAATGGAAACAAATGGAACGAAATGGATTGGAATGGAAAGGAAAGGAATCGGAAGGAACAGAATGGAGTGGAATGGAGTCGAAAGAAATAGAATTGAATGGAATGCAATCGAATGGAATGGAATGCAATGGACTCGAATGGAATGGACTCGCATGGAATAGAATTGAATGGAATGGCATGGAATGGAATGGAATAGAATGGAATGCAATAAATGCAAAGGAGTGGAATCAAGTGGAATGGAATGGAATGGAATGGAATGGAATGGAATGGAATGGAATGGAAGGGAATGGACCCAAATGGAATGGATTCGAGTGGAATGTAACCGACGAATGGAATGGAATTGAATGCAATCGAAACGAATAGATAGAATGGAAAGTAATGGAAATATATCGAATCTAATAGAATGGAATGGAATGGACTCGAATGGAATGGACTGGAGTGGAACGGTCTCGAATGGAATGGAATGGATTGGAATGGAAAGGAATAGAATGGAATGGAATCATATGGAATGGAATGGAACAGAATGAGTCAAAACGGAATAGAATCAAGTGGAATGCAATCGAATGGAATGGAATACAATGGACTCGAATGGAATGGATTCTAATGGAATAGAATATAATGGAATGGCATGGAATGGAATGAAATAGCCAGCTCCCTGTGCAGGTGAAAATCCATGTATAACTTTTGACTCCCCAAAAGCTTAGTTACTTATCACCTACTGTTGACTAGAAGCCTGACTCGTAACATAGTCAAGTAATACACATTTTATATGTTATGTGTATTATATACTGTACTCTAACAAAAAGTAAGCTGAAGAAAGGAATATGTTATTAAGAAAATCGGAGGGAAGTGAAAATATATTTACTGGTTATTAAGAGGAAGTGGATCATCATAAAATTCTTCATCTTCATTATCTTCACGTTGAGTAGGCTGAAGAGAAAGAGATAGGGTTGGTCTTGCTGTCTCAGGGATGGCAGAGGCAGAACAAAATCTACGTGCTAGTGGACCCACACAGTTCTAGTCCACGTTGTTCAAGGATCAACTGTAATTACAAGAGTAGACCTTTGAGTTACATGCTCATTTCATCTGTCTGCATCAGCTAGGTTTTGCCGTGGTGACTAACAACCCCAAACCTCAGTGGCTTAAAGCAACAAAGATTTCCCATTCATTTTGCATGGCTCATGCGGGTGGATAAGGGAGCTCTGTTTATCAGAGTCACTCTGGGACTCAGTCTGATGAAGGCTTTATCTTAAAAAGTGTTTTCATGATGGCTGGAAAGTCGTGGACCAATGATTTCCACCGAAACCCATTTGCTAGAACCAATTCCGTGACTATGACTCACTTCAAAGAGACATGAAAAACTATCCTAATGCACTGAAAGGAAAGGGAAGCTGGATAGCAGTGAAGCGGTCATGTCTACCACATTCCACCCCACGGGTCACTACATACTCAATTCTTTTTTCCCCGTGCAGAGCCCACTTGCCCTGTCAAGTCTCTGCTCCAGCACTGCACAGTGGGTAAATGTGTGTTGGTGGTAGGGGAGGGAGTGAGAGCCTATCTTTTCAGCTCATACGTTTCTAGTTCAAGACGAATTACATCTGACCTGACGTAGAAATAAATGTTTATTACCCACTTGTGTTAGTTTCTTAAGGCTGCTGTGACAAATCACCACAAACTGAGTGGCTCCAAACAACAGATATGTATTGTCTCACTGTTCTGGACACCAGACAGCTGAAATCAAAGGTCAGCAGGGCCACATGCTCTCTGAAGCTTAGAGGGAGAATCCTCCTTTCTCCCTCGCTGGCTCTGATGGTTTTCCAGTGAGCCTCAGCATTCCTTGGCTTGCAGCCCCAGCACTTTAATCTCTGCTTTTATTGTCACATGACATTCTTCCCTTGCATCTATCTCTTCTACTCTTCTTATAAGGACACCAGTCATTGGAGTAAGACCACCCGAATTCAGTATGGCCTCATCACAACTTAATTACATCTGCACAGACCTTATTTCCAAACAAGGTCACATTCACAGGCACCAGGGATTAGGATTTCAACATATCTTTTTACGGGACACAATTCAACTGATAACACCTTCCACCTTCCACTCCCTAATATAACCCTTCATATAGGCACTGTTGCCTCTCACCCAGAAATCATGAATTTTGAGCTCTGTGCCATGACCGGACAAGACTTTTGTGTTGATTCCCTTAGGAAGGATATTTATGTATTCTGTATGACTGAAGGAGATTGAGCCAAATATTTGGTGTCTAGAATGGTGGGCTACAGTAGATATTAGAGATCCCCACCAATATTTCCAGTTGTCTTCCATCCAGTCAAACAATAAGAATAGAACTCCCTGCTCCCATGAAACTAGATGTGACTATGAAACTTGCTTTAAGCCAATGTAATGTGAACAGAAGTGATACATTTTATTTCTGGATACTAAAATTTAAGAAGCAAGGTATAATTTTCCACTTTTTCTTTATCTTCCATGTTGGCAAGTAACTTTCCAGATTGTGAAAATTATGTAATAAAAGTCCTTATGTGAAGACAGCATTAAGAATCCTGCCAAACTGACTTGTACTGAATATGTAGCATGAGTAATAAATGAATCCTGATAACAGTAAGACATTGAGTTGTACATGTATACACCCTATAACACAGCAGTTTCATGCATACATCAGAAAGATTCTTTCACATGTTCATTAAGGAAACATGCACAAGTATTTTAGTTAATAATATTATTTGCAGCAATAAATGGCAATCAGCTCAAATGCTCACCAATTGTAGGTTGAAATAAATAAATAACTTTTATATACATGAACTGAACAACATACAGCAATGAAAATGAATGGATTATAAACACAAATATCAATATGGATAATTTTTAAAACATCATATTAAGCAGTTATAGAAAAACTACACACGTTTGATTGAAATTTTATAATTCAGTCTGAATTAATGGACATATTGCATAAGGATATAAAAATCTATAGTAATAACAGTGGAAAACACCAGGGAACAAAATTCAGCTAATTACTACCTCTGGTGGATATGAAGTATAATGCAATTGAAGAATGCACACAGAGAGCTCCTACAGTATGATAATTCATTTTCTAACATTGTTTGCAGGCACATGATATTTGTTTTATTATTGGTCTTCAAACCCCACATATATGCTTTTATGTACTTTTTGCAATCTATACTTCACAACTGTTAAAAATAAAGCAAATCTTAGGTAAAATATGTTTTATATATATATAAATATATATTATATATATTTTTATATATAAATATATATTATATATATTTTTATATATAATATATATTATATATATTTTTATATATAATTATATAATATATATTTAAGTATAAATATATAATAAATATAAATATATTTTTATATAATATATTTTATGTATTTATATATAATATATTCTATATAATATATATTTTATATTATATTCTATATAATATATATTTTATATTATATTCTATATAATATATATTTTATATTATATTATATACTATATATTTTATATTATATTATATAAGATATATTTTATATTATATAATATAATATATATTTAATATTATATTATATAAGATATATTTTATATTATATTATATATAATATATATTTTATATTATGTTATATGTAATATATATTTTATAATATATTATATGTAAGATATATTTTATATTATATATTATATATATTTTTATATTATATTATATATATTATATTATATATATTTTATATATTATATATAAATTTTATATATAATATATAAAGCACATTATAGAATGCCCTTGTAGAAGTTGATCTATAGAAGTTAATTTATACAAGTTAACTTCTAGCAATGTTAATTCGTGGTTAAGAAAGTAATTCCAAGGCTATTTTTTCTGTAAAATGAAGTATAAATTTTTTGCATAAGTAATTATTTTCTCACATCTAACTCTCTGCATCTCTTAGCTTTATTAAAGCAGGGCTGGCCTTTCACTTTTTAAATTTTTGTCCCTTTCCCTTTATGGGATTAAAGAGGAAAAATAGAAAATCACAAATATATGAAGGCCTCTTTTGGGAAAGGGGGATTTTCTTCCCATGCTAGTGAAGCAGCTACTCGATCAGTATATTTCCATTTTGTATCTTTATATGTTTTTACTATTTTAATGGTTTTTCCTTAAAATGTTTACCATAAATACTTCCTTGTAGCAAGATAAAAATTAATATCTAACCACCTTCCACAATGTTTTAGAACTTTTTAACTCTCATATCTTTCTTGTTGAATTTTAATTATCATATCCTCCCCTGCTCGTTTTAAGAATATTGGTTCATTCCATTTTTAAACTCTATAAATTATATTAACAATACTAGTATAAATTTACTTACAGGTTTGACAATTCCTTTGCACCCATACTCCTTGGATCTCATAAAATTCTTCCTCAGATGCTTTGATTTCTTCCTAAAGCATCATTTGGAATTTCCTTTAGTGAGAATCTGTCGGTGGTAAACTCATATTTTTCTATTTTTGAAAATGTTTTCATTTTGCACTAGGTCCTAAAAGAGATTTCCCGGGCGTGTAATTCGAGATTAGTAGTTATTTTCACTTAGCACACTGAAGATATTAATCCATTCTTTTCAAGATTCCATTGTTACTGTGCAGAACACCTCTAGCAATCTATTTCCATCATCTGTCTTGTCTCCCCATCTGCTTTTATGCTCTTCCGTTTGTCTTTGGTGTTTCATTATAAATCATGAGTTTTTCTTTATTTATTCTCCTGTGAGCATATTGTTGTGGAAATTTTTCAGCTATTGACGTTTAAGATTTTGCCCTTCTATCATTCTCCCTATGTCCTCCTTTGATGAGAGGCCTGTTAGATATTCCCACTCTGTCCTCCATAGCTCTTAACCTCTTTTTTTAGACAGTGCCTCCCTCTGTTGCTTAGGCTGGAGTGCACTGACATGATCTCAGCTCACTGCAGCCTCCACCTCCTAGGTTCAAGTGATTCCTGTGCCTCGGCCTCCTGAGGAGTTGGGACTACAGGCACGTGCCACCATGCCTGGCTAATTTGTGTATGTGTGTGTATTTTTAGTAGAGACGGGGTTTCACCATATTGGCCAGGCTGGTCTCAAAATCCTGACCTCAAGTGATCCACCAGCCTTGGCCTCCCAAAGTGCTGGAATTACAGGCATGAGCCATGTACTTGGCCAACCTCTGTTTCATATTTGTATTTCTTTTTCTCTCCCTGCTGCATTCTGGGTAAGTCCTTCAGAGCTGTCTTTTATTTCACTGATCCTTTTTTGGCTGTATCTAATCTAATAATTGAATGTCTTACTTCAACAATTGTATTTTTATTTAAAAACTTTTACATTTTATTTTTCCAATCCACCTCCTCATTTTGTAAAGCCTTTTGTTTCTTGCTTATTTTCATAATGCAATCTTGTATTTCTTTAGATATTTTATACATAATTAACTTATATTCTGTATTTGTTAGTCCAATATCCAAAGTCTTTGAGACCTAAATGTTTTATGTTTTTTCTTACACTGTTTCCCTGTTTGTTTGTTGATGAATGACTGTGAGGTAGTATTTGGTTGATTTTGTCCATGGAAACCTTAGAGGCCTTATCTCCAAAAGGATCTGTGTTTTCTTCTGCCCAGGCTCTAGGAGAGCATCACTGAGTTATACTCATTTCAGCTTCCTTCTAAGGTTTCAGGGTTAATGTGGAATTCTCTATCTTAGCTCCCCTGTTTTGCTGCTGGCCCAAAGATTAGACTCCTAGTCACAGGGATAACATTGAAATTATCCCTAAAATAATTCATCATTTAAGCCGGGCATGGTGACATGCACCTGTGATCTCAGCTACCCCAGAGGCGGAGGCAGGAGGACCACTTGAGCTCAGGAGCTTGAAGCTTATAATATGCTATGATTCTTCCTGTGAATAGTGACTGTATTCCAGCCTGGGCAATATAGTGAGATCCCATATCTTTCTAAAAAAATTCATTTTTGTTTATTGTTTATATCTTCTTTCTTTTTTTTTTGTTTTTTTTGTTTTTTTTAAATTATACTTTAAGTTTTAGGGTACATGTGCACATTGTGCAGGTTAGTTATATATGTATACATGTGCCATGCTGGTGCGCTGCACCCACTAACGTGTCATCTAGCATTAGGTATATCTCACAATGCTATCCCTCCCCGCTCCCCCGACCCCACCACAGTCCCCAGAGTGTGATATTCCCCTTCCTGTGTCCATGTGATCTCATTGTTCAATTCCCACCTATTAGTGAGAATATGCGGTGTTTGGTTTTTTGTTCTTGCGATAGTTTACTGAGAATGATGGTTTCCAATTTCATCCATGTCCCTACAAAGGACATGAACTCATCATTTTTTATGGCTGCATAGTATTCCATGGTGTACATGTGCCACATTTTCTTAATCCAGTCTATCATTGTTGGACATTTGGGTTGGTTCCAAGTCTTTGCTATTGTGAATAGTGCCGCAATAAACATACGTGTGCATGTGTCTTTATAGCAGCATGATTTATAGTCATTTGGGTATATACCCAGTATTGGGATGGCTGGGTCAAATGGTATTTCTAGTTCTAGATCCCTGAGGAATCGCCACACTGACTTCCACAATGGTTGAACAGTTTACAGTCCCACCAACAGTGTAAAAGTGTTCCTATTTCTCCACATCCTCTCCAGCACCTGTTGTTTCCTGACTTTTTAATGATTGCCATTCTAACTGGTGTGAGATGATATCTCATAGTGGTTTTGATTTGCATTTCTCTGATGGCCAGTGATGATAAGCATTTTTTCATGTGTTTTTTGGCTGCATAAATGTCTTCTTTTGAGAAGTGTCTGTTCATGTCCTTCGCCCACTTTTTGATGGGGTTGTTTGTTTTTTTCTTCTAAATTTGTTTGAGTTCATTGTAGATTCTGGATATTAGCCCTTTGTCAGATGAGTAGGTTGCGAAAATTTTCTCCCATGTTGTAAGTTGCCTGTTCACTCTGATGGTAGTTTCTTTTGCTGTGCAGAAGCTCTTTAGTTTAATTAGATCCCATTTGTCAATTTTGGCTTTTGTTGCCATTGCTTTTGGTGTTTTGGACATGAAGTCCTTGCCCACGCCTATGTCCTCAATGGTAATGCCTAGGTTTTCTTCTAGGGTTTTTATGGTTTTAGGTCTAACATTTAAATCTTTAATCCATCTTGAATTGATTTTTGTATAAGTTGTAAGGAAGGGATCCAGTTTCAGCTTTCTACATATGGCTAGCCAGTTTTCCCAGCACCATTTATTAAATAGGGAATCCTTTCCCCATTGCTTGTTTTTCTCAGGTTTCTCAAAGATCAGATAGTTGTAGATATGCGACATTATTTCTGAGGGCTCTGTTCTGTTCCATTGATCTATATCTCTGTTTTGGTACCAGTACCATGCTGTTTTGGTTACTGTAGCCTTGTAGTATAGTTTGAAGTCAGGTAGTGTGATGCCTCCAGCTTTGTTCTTTTGGCTTAGGATTGACTTGGCGATGCGGGCTCTTTTTTGGTTCCATATGAACTTTAAAGTAGTTTTTTCCAATTCTGTGAAGAAAGTCATTGGTAGCTTGATGGGGATGGCATTGAATCTGTAAATTACCTTGGGCAGTATGGCCATTTTCACGATATTGATTCTTCCTACCCCTGAGCATGGAATGTTCTTCCATTTGTTTGTGTCCTCTTTTATTTCCTTGAGCAGTGGTTTGTAGTTCTCCTTGAAGAGGTCCTTCACATCCCTTGTAAGTTGGATTCCCAGGTATTTTATTCTCTTTGAAGCAATTGTGAATGGGAGTTCACTCATGATTTGGCTCTCTGTTTGTCTGTTGTTGGTGTATAAGAATGCTTGTGATTTTTGTACATTGATTTTGTATCCTGAGACTTTGCTGAAGTTGCTTATCAGCTTAAGGAGATTTTGGGCTGAGACGATGGGGTTTTCTAGATAAACAATCATGTCGTCTGCAAACAGGGACAATTTGACTTCCTCTTTTCCTAATTGAATACCCTTTATTTCCTTCTCCTGCCTGATTGCCCTGGCCAGAACTTCCAACACTATGTTGAATAGGAGTGGTGAGAGAGGGCACAAGAAAAAAACAAACAACCCCATCAAAAAGTGGGCGAAGGACATGAACAGACACTTCTCAAAAGAAGACATTTATGCAGCCAAAAAACACACGAAGAAATGCTCATCATCACTGGCCATCAGAGAAATGCAAATCAAAACCACTATGAGATATCATCTCACACCAGTTAGAATGACAATCATTAAAAAGTCAGGAAACAACAGGTGCTGGAGAGGATGTGGAGAAATAGGAACACTTTTACACTGTTGGTGGGACTGTAAACTGTTCAACCATTGTGGAAGTCAGTGTGGCGATTCCTCAGGGATCTAGAACTAGAAATACCATTTGACCCAGCCATCCCATTACTGGGTATATACCCAAAGGACTATAAATCATGCTGCTATAAAGACACATGCACAAGTATGTTTATTGCGGCATTATTCACAATAACAAAGACTTGGAACCAACCCAAATGTCCAACAATGATAGACTGGATTAAGAAAATGTGGCACATATACACCATGGAATACTATGCAGCCATAAAAAATGATGAGTTCATGTCCTTTGTAGGGACATGGATGAAATTGGAAACCATCATTCTTAGTAAACTATCGCAAGAACAAAAAACCAAACACCGCATATTCTCACTCATAGGTGGGAATTGAACAATGAGATCACATGGACACAGGAAGGGGAATATCACACTCTGGGGACTGTGGTGGGGTCGGGGGAGGGGGGAGGGATAGCATTGGGAGATATACCTAATGCTAGATGACACGTTAGTGGTTGCAGTGCACCAGCATGGCACATGTATACATATGTAACTAACCTGCACAATGTGCACATGTACCCTAAAACTTAGAGTATAATAAAAAATAAATAAATAAATAAATAAAAAATAAAATGTAAAAGAAAAAAAAAAAGAAATGTCCCAATTCTTTAGTGACAGCAAGCTATTCAAATTTCTTTTTTAATAATATGATATAACTCAACAAAATGCATCTTAGGGACAGCTAGGCCCTATACGCCATGAATTCACAACAACCTCTACTTGGTTTTGTGCTCTTTCATCAAAGAACTTGATATGTCTCTCTGGGTTAAAATTTGAATAATCTCTCCAAAGTAAATCCAGATGAGCTCCCAGGACTTTGGGCTCCCAGATAGTTTCCAGAGGCAACAGATAAATGCTGTTACCTCCTCCTCATTTCAAAGTGTGAGATGCACACACGTACAGTTCTTTGCTTGTTGACAAGAGCCTGCATAATCCAGACATCTCACTGACCTTGACTTTTCACACTTTCCCTATTTACACTTCACCTTCCAGCAAAGAAGCCATTCTCAGCTCATGGTCTTTGGAAAAAATCATCTTCTGCCTGGAATATTTCCTCTCCCCTGAACCTGATTAAGCCCTACCCATGCCTTAGATCACAGCTCAAATATCTATTCTTTAAGAAAGGCTGATCACAGCTCAAATGTCTATTCTTTATGAAAGCTTTTCCCAGCTCCCCAGGATAGATGATGTTGCCCTATAACACAAACCCTGGTAGCAGGGTATAGGGTTCAAGGGATTTCCTGACTGATCAAGGAGAAGGATATGAGAGCAATGCATGACAAGCTTTATTGGGCAGAATTGAATGAGAGTGAAAGTCTCCTACGGCATAAGACTGTCCTGAGGCTCACAGCAAAGGGGCCACCAATCAAGAAGGAGGGCAAGTGAATTCCCAGGGGAAAGGGAATGGGAGAGGGGACTTACTAGATGATGTTGCTCAGCAGTGCAGCAGGGTGTCTCTGAGTCAGAGAGCTCGTAAGGGCAGTAGCAGCTTGGGATCTTATGGCCTAGGCCCTAGTTTATCAATGGCAAGCAGAAGATAGGTTTCACGGGGTATGCAAAAGAGGCAAAGTGTACCTGGCTAAAAATCTGCTTGTTGTGTGCTATGTTTAAAACAATTTGATGTATTAAAATTTGAGTTTGGCACCAGAAAGATTTTGAGGTAATTGGTCTCAACCTCCAGTGAAGAAACAAACAACCTAGGGGCCGATTCGCAGAAGGCATCCTTGGCTCATTGATTAACAGTGGGTAGGGCCATTCATCCACTGATAGGCGAGGTAATGCTTGTGGCTAAAGGGTTTAAGTGTATTTCTATATAAATGATACTCAGAGAGTCCAGATTCCTGGAAGTCTCTATGTTGAATCACTCATTCTGTGACAACCTAAGGCAGTCGCATGGATAGGATCATGGAATGACATGAAACTCCAAAGTCAAAGGCCTTTCAGAAGTTCAGACAGGGTGACAACTTCACAAAATAGTTTGTCTCCTCTAGTCCAGACTCGTCATTGCACAGCTGATTCCAGGCAGATAACCATAGAAGAGAAGTCTCTACTAAACACAGAAAGTTGCTCCAGAGAGAAGGGCTGTACTTCTGTCTGTTCCAGACAGTCATTTTACATAGATCAGGGAGGAGAGAGCTACTCTTCTTAGGTCTTAAGATGAAGCAGACTAGAACAATTCTAGTCCTAAGGCTACAGAGAGAAAGTGAAGAGAATCATAAAACACTGATTTTTTACGTAATTCCAGACTTCCATGTATAAACATATACAATTTAAGATTTAAGCTGCCTTAAAATCTAAAGCTAACCCGAACAGCTTGGTTTTCAGAGTTATGAGGAAAAGACAGCTATCTATCTAAAAATATTAGAAAGGCATACATAGATGATTGATTGATAGATAATAGATCGATAGGTGATAGATGATATAACAATAGATTGATTAATTTATCTGAATCTATACACTGATACATACCAAAGACTTTTTTTCCTTTTGTGGTTTTGTTGTTTACATACTGTTTTAGTCAGCTCAGTCTGCTATAACAGAATACCATAGACTGATGGCTTAAACAGCAGAAATTTATTTCTCACAGGTCTGGAGGACGCAAGTCTGAGATCAGGGTGCCAGAATGATCAGATTCTAGCAAGGGCCCTCTTCCTGGTTTACAGAGGCTGTCTTCCCATAGTGTCTTCATGTGACAGTGAAAGTGATCATCTCTCTCATGTCTCTTCTAATAAGTGCACTAATCCCATCCATGAGGGTCCACCCTCTGACCTAATTGCCTCCCAAAGGTTCCACCTACACATACTATCCTATTGCGGATTAGAGCTTCAACATACAAATTTTGGGGGGATACAAACATTCAGGCCATAGAACTTGCCAAATATCCAAGCCCCAAAAACCGCACCTGCTGCAATCCCCAAAAGAATAGCATGGGATCATCAGGAGGCAGTGACCAGAATCCAGAGTCCATCAGATGAACAGCTAATGCCCATAAGTTTCATACATCCTCGGTGGGGGTAGCCATCTCTCCTGGGCCATTGATGATCTCTGACTATTCACTTTATTCCTGAAGCAACGCTTCTCAAAATTTAACGTGCATTAGGGTCCAATGGGGAGCTTTTTAGACTTGCCATTCTCAAAGTTCTGTGGACTCTGAGGCAGGAGGTTTGAGAACCCTACCTTGGAGATATTGTCCTAAAACATAACTAGGTCAACCCTTGCCCCTCACTGTCACATGATTAGACTCAGGAGTTTGTCTGGGTTAATCTCTAAATTAAGAGTCTCTTAGAAGAGAAACCAAGGTTCCAACCTCAAGTGTAGCCATGAGAGAATGTTGCACCAAACCCAAAAGCCATGTGGCAGCAGGCGCAAAAACCTGGTGCTGTTTTACTCTATGGCACCAGAGTGCCATTAAGTGGCCTTATCACTGGCTATATATCATATAGGCAGGCCAAAGGCTAAGCTTCTCTATTCAGTCATAATCTGTGTTGCTATGGGATGCTTATGAATAATTGCTGATCCAGAGGAGTCTAAATTCTCTCTTTCAGGATGAGATATAAGGGTTGCAAAAACTATTTTACTTTTTTGTTTGTTTGTTTTGTTTTGTTTGTTTGTTTGAGACAGAGTCTCGTTCTGTAGCCCAAGCTGGAGTTGCAGTGGCATGATCTTGGCTCACTGCAACCTCTGCCACCCAGGTTCAAGACGTTCTCTTGCCTCGGCCTCCCAAGTAGCTGAGATTACAGGCACCTGCCACCGTGCCTGGCTAATTTTTGTATTTTTAGTAGAGACGGGGTTTCACCATATTGGTCAGGCTGATCTTCAACTCCTGACCTCATGATCCACCCGCCTCGGCCTTCCGGAGTGCTGGGATTACAGGTGTGAGCCACCGCGTCCGGCCAGGACTATTTTACTTTTTACCTTATAAGCTTTATCTTCAAACACTTTAAATTGAGGAATGAAAAATAATCCAGTAAAAGATAAGTCAGGAGGTTATGGCCACACTTTACCCAATATATCCCACACATGAAAGTATTGATTTTTTCCTGTCTTATTACACTGTCCGAGGTGATAGAGAATAAGATCATTTTAGGGCAATTATAATAAGAAGAATGCATTACTAATCATGAAGCATCATATCTCTTATTCATCAAATTAAGTAATGCATTCAGCCACTTCATTTCCTAGACATTTACATAAACAGTAAAGGAGGAAGGTGCTTTTCATGCAGCCAAGGCATACCTCAATTCATAACAATATTTTTGAACTCTTCTTGTGTTTTTCTGCCTGAGCTAGGCCTATAGACTCATGACCTCAAGAAGCTATGTCTTTGTTTTAAAACTATAAATGTGGCATTTATTTCTCTCCACTGTCAAAAACAAAGAAGATGCACAGGCTCTAAAAATGGTAACATTGAATAATTGATTTCTTGCTTAATTGATGAAAACATTTTCTTTAAACTTGGAGAAGAAATTAAATGGTTGTAGTAGATAAGAGAAACTAGGCATACACTTAATAAATGTGCTAATGAACGCTTTAGATACAGGGATAAAGGCCCAAATTCAGAGTTGGTTAGACAATCATAAAAACAGAAATAAGAATAGAGTTGGTTCTTTAATTACCTAACATTGGCTTTTGCATTTCACTACAAGTTTTCATTCAGCATTTCTTTTCTAAGGTGCAATTCGCTAAATAATGTGATATTAATTAGTCACAGTGATAGCCCAGGGAGTGAATTTCCATTTCCTCATTATCAAGCTAGTGCTATCTCCTATGGGCAGTAAGTCATCAACCCCAACATATCATTAGCTTCATCATTTTAGCAAATCAGTTCTGGCTAATAGCTTAAAATTGGTTAAATGGGATGTTCTTTGACATGCAGCCCTGGGAGTGATGAGAAAATAATGGGTCTCTTCTTTAGGCAGAAGAATAATTAGTAATAAGGAGGTGCCCAAGTTCAATTAATTAATGATTTTCCAACACAGTGAATGATGCTTTAGAATAGAGAGTCTAGTTCAGGATTGATCTGTAGCAAAATGAATAAGCAAACCAAAGCAGAAGGATACTCATTAGCTGTTTGTTTTTTTCTGTTTAGTCCAACCCCAAGGCATTTGTCAATCAAAAATCTTCCCTACCAGAGAAAGCAAGAATTAAAATGCTCTCTGGCTAAAGAGATGGGTCTTTAGACCTTTATAGAGTTTGCAAATTACACAGATTTATTACTACAAATATTTTATCAATAAAATCCACCCTATAAATACTGTATCAAGAGGCATCCTAACCAATTTGAAACACTTGGTTGGGGATTTTTGTGTGTGGGTTAGCTGGCAAAGAAGTTGACTTCCATATATACTTCCCCAGTTAAGGGTATTCCCATCACCAAGACCATGACAGCTGACTTAGTAAAAGGCAAGAGTTGACCATAGAAACCGGATCACTCTTCATCTGAGCATCTCAGCGTCACCAGTTTCTTTGTGTGTGTGTAGATATGGCCTCCTTATTTTCTACAAAGGAGAAAAGTAGGCAGAAGGAGCTGTTTTGAAGATAAAGATTAATGGTATTTATGGCAAATATTGGGACTTCTTGGAAGAAAGATGCTATGGGCCAGTTGTCCTGAAGCCTGGCTCATTGTTAAGAGCATCTGAGAGCTTCTTACAAATAAATTCTCTAGCCCATAGCTTCTCAGACTTTAATGTGTATAACAACCCCAGGGGACTTTTATTAAGCTTCAGATTCTGCTTATTTAGGTTTCGGTTGGAGCTTTTGATTCTGCATTTCTGACAAGCTCCCAAGTGATGCTGATGCACTGGCCCCATGGTTTAGGAATCACTATGGTAAGCCTTGTTTTGAAATACAATCATTCTTGTGAAAGTGCTTTGTAAATGGTAATGCATTACCTTAATTGAAGTATTATAATAAACAGGGATTGTGTTACTAAGATAACCATATTACAGTTCATTTTAGATATGATGTAATATGCGTAATATGGCCCTCAAAATGTTTTCTGTTTTCTCTTAATTTGTTAGTTTTTTAAAATCCAATCTATTAGCAAATTCTGTCAAGGTTACTTTCTGTGACCTACTCCTTTGATTCAGCATCAACTTTGTAAGATTCATTCCTGTTGTGCAGAGCTACAGTTCATTCACAGAAAAATTACATTTTGATATAAAAACATTAATTTAAATCTCATAATATCACACCCTACACAAACATAAACTCTAGATTGATTTTTTGAAACAAAACGTGGGGCCAGGCGCGGTGGCTCACGCCTGTAATCCCAGCACTTTGGGAGGCTGAGGCAAGCGGATCACAAGGTCAGGAGTTCAAGACTAGCTTGGCCAAGATAGTGAAACCCCGTCTCTACTTAAAATACAAAAAATTAGCTGGGCATGGTGGTGGGTGCCTGTAATCCCAGCTACTCAGGAGGCTGAGGCAGGAGAATCGCTTGAATCCGGGAGGTGGAGGTTGCAGTGAGCCGAGATCATGCCACTGCACTCCAGCCTGAACAACAGTGCAAGACTCCAACTCAAAAAAAAAAAAAAAAAGGAAAAGAAACAAAACATGGAAAAAAATTGTCAGTCAAAAATATAGAAGAATGTATTTATAGCTCCAAAATAGGGAAGGATTTCTTAACAAGCCCAGAAAGCACAAATTACAAGGATACCACTGTTGGAATTGATCGTACAGCAATTTAAATTGTCAGCTATGATTTAAGAAAAATAAAGTTGAGACAAGTGACAATAGTTGCAGTATATATGGCAAAGATTAGTAACTAAAATTCACAAAGAACTCTTAAAACTTATAAGAAAATGATGAATGATACAATAGAAAAATGGTTTTGAAGAACAGGTAAGTCACATAGGAAAAAAAAAAACAAATTGCTAATCAACAGCCAAAGGAGCTCAACCACACTTGGGTAATCAGGAAAAAAAAAAGTGAGAACATTAAGCTACCATTTCATACTCATTTGATTGGCAACAATTTTAGTCTAATGATACAAAGTGTTGGTAACAACATCCTTGTTAATGGTGTGGCTGTAAATTAGGAATATTATTTTGGAGATCAATCTTGCAATGTCTAGTAAAGTTATGTTACTTTCTACTCCGCTGTTCTACTTCTAGATAGGAAGACTTGTAAATGATTGTTCATTGCAATATTATTTGTATTTAAAAAAAAGGTAAGGACCACTATAGTGACCAAAAAAGAACTTATTTACTTGCAAAATAAGAGAAGACAGGTAAATCAAGAAACTGAGTATTTCTCTGGTGGGGGTAGGGAGGCTAATTACAAACTGAAGCTTGCACCCTGGATAAGGTACAATGACTACATATCTATGCAGAGTTGATTAAAATAAATTAGTAGTAAATGTTGAAAGAGAAAAACATCGTTCAGTATCTGAAACCAAGAAGCAGACAGCTAGGCTGGTCAAATAGCTCATTAAACAAACTTCTCATCTCATAGGGAAAGTTCTTTGGGAAGAGTTCACGTTGAGTAGTAATGGTTACAGAAGCAGGACTGGGTTGGTGGTAGTCTAAGAAGCATGGATTGTGTTGGCTACAGAAGCATGCCTTTTGTTAGTTACAGATATGGGAGTATACGTCGGCCTTAGCAGCATATTAACTGGAGTGAATCTGATGCCGATTCGTAGACTTTCAAAGCATGAGGCTGTCACTGATTGGCAGCTTTCAGAGGCTGTATTCACTGAAGTGAGTTGCCATTGATTTAATAAAGATATTTAAAAACAATGCTGCTGTTTATTTAATATCATAGCTACAGACCTATCACTGATTAAATAGATTTAAAACCAGTGCCAATGTTTATTTATTACTTCTTTTCTTTTCTTTTCTTTTCTTTTCTTTTTTTTTTTTTTTTTTTGAGATGGAGTCTTGCTCAGGCTGGAGTGCAGTGGCACAATCTCGGCTCACTACAACCTCCGCCTCCCAGGTTCAAGCGATTCTCCTGCCTCAGCCTCTAGAGTAGCTAGGGCTACAGGCTGGTGCCATCATACCTGGCTAATTTTCGTATTTTTAGTAGAGGTGGGGTTTCACCATGTTGGCCAGGCTGGTCTCAAACTCCTGACCCCAAATGATCCACCCACCTTGGCCTCCCAAAGTACTGGGATTACAGGCGTGAGCCACCATGCACAGCCAGTGAAACAGCATTTGGTTTGAGATAACCTAAGAAAGGATTGCTGCAGGTACAAATTTCTTCTTTTATACTTGCAATGGGAAAAAATTGGAGATCAAATATATGCTCATCAACAGAAGAATAAACTGTAATACATGCATATGCAGTATTCTATAGTTGCTAAACAAAACTGGATCCAAATATGTCAACAGAAACAAATATCTAAAACAGAATCTTTAGTGAGGAATGAAAACTGGAGAATATAAAATGTGGTATAATATTTGTGTAATTTTTTAAAAAACATTAATGTGTTTATGTGTGTGTGTTTCTAGATCATCAAATGAGAAAAACATGGACCAGATACAAACTAAATTCACAATTATGTCTAACTTGGTCAGGTGTGAAATATACAGAATCAGGAAAAGAAAAAGAACTTTGAGGCAAATATTAATTTTGGGGTGATTCATTTTTCTGTGTTTCTGTATGTTGCACATTTCTCTAAAATAAAATAAACCCTAAGCTTTGAGTAATTGTTATACTTTTTTCATTAACAACTAATTATCTTTTAAAAAACCTTTCTAAAACCGTGGATTGTCCTGCCCGTAACACAAACATAAAACAGATTAAGTCTGTACTACTGATCTAAAGCCACAGATAAAGGATTTTTGTTTGTTTGTTTTTTTGAGAAGGAGTCTCGCTCTGTCGCCCAGGCTGGAGGGCAGTGGCGGGATCTCGGCTCACTGCAACCTCCGCCTCCCGGGTTCACGCCATTCTCCTGCCTCAGCCTCCTGAGTAGCTGGGACTACAGGCGCCCGCCACCACGCCCGGCTAATTTTTTGTATTTTTAGTAGAGATGGGTTTTCACCGTGTTAGCCAGGATGGTCTCAATCTCCTGACCTCGTGATCTGCCCATTTCGGCCTCCCAAAGTGCTAGAATTACAGGCGTGAGCAACAGCACCCGGCCGGATAAAGGATGTTTTAACAAGAAAGATGACCTCACTCCCTTAGTACTGTATTTTAGTTCAGTCAAATTTTGACTGGTGCCATTCTCCTCAGCTGCCGTGATTTCCAATTTAGTTGTGATAAACAGTCTTCTCTGAAAGTTTCCTTGACAGGATTTCTCTTTGAAAAAACAGAAGTTGCTGAAGGGAAAAGACCAGGAGTATAAATAAGCCCCTGCCTTCTTGACTGAAATTTTTACTGAGATAATTATAGAATAGATCTGCATACAGTTAGAAGAAATAATACATAGAGATCCCATATGCACTTTATTTATTTATTTAAAGGGTTTTTTTTTTCTTTTGAGACAGAGTCTCACTCTGTCACCCAGGCTGGAGTGCAGTGGTGGGATCTCGGCTCACTGCAACCTCCGCCTCCTGGGTTCAAGCTATTCTTATGCTTCAGCCTCCAGAGTAGCTGGGATTACAGGTGCCTGCCACCACGCCTGGCTAATTTTTGTATTTTTAGTAGAGATGGGGTTTCACCATGTTGGCCAGGCTAATCTCAAACTCCTGACCTCAAGTGATCCACCCACTTCGGCCTCCCAAAATGCTGGGATTACAGGCATGAGCCACCGCACCTGGCCCCAATATACACTTTAACCAGTTTCCCCCAAGGGTAAAATTTTGCAGAGCTATAGTATAACATCACAACCATATTGGCATTGATACAACCCACAGACCTTCTTCCAGCTTTCCCAGTTTTACTTGTACAATAATTCCTCGCTTAACGTGGCATATAGTTTCTTGAAAACTGCAACTTTAAGTGAAACCAAGTATAATAAAACCAATTTTACCATAGGCTAATTGATACAAGCAGGAGTTAAATTCCTAGGTACATTTCTGGTCCCAAAAATATGACCAAACTTCTAAATAAAGACGTAAAACACTCCTGATTAGTATTAAGCCCTGGAATAAATGTGAACTATACACACATTTAGGACAGATTAATAAAAACAGGTAAGATAATTGTTTACTCAATTTTGGGTGAATTTGTGAATGGTGGTGGTTGTCTGGTGGTGAGTTCAAAGAATAAATGTAAAGCAAACATTGTCTGGGGCACCTCCCACCACCTTGCAGGCCAAAAACAATTACCAACATGGCGGCTTTTGTCAGGCATCATTTATTGTCATGCATTTGGATGATTATCATAGACTTTGTGAAATTTTATTTTATGATCATTTGTATGCATTCATTCATTTTCCAACCTGCTTATTTCAGTTAAGGGTTATTGGTGGCTGGAGCCCATCCAGGCAGCTCAGGTCACAAGGCAGAAACCAACCCTGGATGGGATGCCCTCTTATCCCAGGGTGCATTCACATACACCCACGCTGACTCACACCACTGGAACCATGTAGACATACCAATGAACCTAAAAGGCACAGCTTTGGAATGTAGGAGGAAACCAAGGCACACAGAGAAAACCCACACAGTCATGCAGAGAACCCACAAACTCAACACAGACAGGCCCTGGCCAGGACTCTTTTTTTTCATCAGTGTTGTAACAAAATGACATTGAATGAAATGATGTTACTGGAGAACCTGCTGTACTCATGACTCTGTGTTTGTGTGTGTGTGTGTGTGAATCAGGTACTATCTACTTTTATCACATGTATGCTCAGACATCCACCAGCACAGTCAAGATACTGAGAAGTTCCAACATGACAAGTATCCCTTGTGCTGCACTTTTATAACACAACCCAAGTCCCTCCTAACTCCCCTCCCCACCCCTAACCTCTGGCAACCACTTATCTGTTCTCCATTTCTAAGGTTTGTTATTTCAGGACTGCTTTACGTAAATGTAATTACACAGTATGAAACATTTGCAGAATCACTTTTTTCATTCAGCATAATTCTCTGAAGATTCATCCATCAGTGTGTGTATCAAAAATTTGTTCCTTTTTATTACTGGGTTATTCCATGTATATACCACAGTTTGTTTAACCATTTACCCATAGAAGGACCTCTGAGCTATTTCCAGCTTTTAGATATTATGAATAAAGCTGCTATGAACATTTGTGTACAGGTTTTTGTATGAACATAAATTTTTATTTCTCTGAGTTAAATGCTTAAGAATACAATTGCTGGGCCATATGGTAATTGCATCTTTAGCCGGATAAGAGCTGTGAAACTATTTTCCAAAGTGGCTGTATCATTCCTCCCAGGAATGTAAAAGCTCCATTTTTTTTCTGCATCCCTGCTAGGTTTGGTTTCGTCACTATTTTTTATCTTAGCCATTCCAATAGCTGTGTATTGACAATTCATTGTGGTTTCATTTGCATTATCATGATGTCCAATGAGGTTGAACTTCTTTTTATGTGCTTATTTTCTAACTGTATAGTCTCCTTGGTGAAATAGCTGTTTATGTGTTTTGCCCACTTTCTAACTGGATTTTTTTTAATGTTGAGTTTTCAGAGTCCTTTATATATTCTAAATACTAGTCTTTTGATGGATATGTGATTTGCAAGTATTTTCTCTTGGTCTGCAACCTGTCTTTTCATCTTTTTCACATATGTTCCACAGATAACAAGCTTTCAGTTTTAATGAGACCCGATTTATCTACTTTTCCTTTTATGGATTGTGCTTTTGTTGTCAAGTCTAAGATCTCTTTGCTTAGCCCTAGATCCTGACGATTTTTCTCCTTTTTTCAAAAAGTTTCATAGTTTTACATTTAAGTCCATGATCCATTTTGAGTAAATGTAAAAGTGTTTAGATTGAGATTCCATTTTTTTTTTTGAAACAGTATTTCCTCTACATACATACACCCTAAATCCATAAATCTAAATAGAGGCTATAACTCAATCAAAGAAGCAAAGAGTCAAATAGTTTCTTTTCATTGTAGAGATTAAATTATCAGATGATGAATACTATTTTTTACCTTTCCTCTAGTTCTGACATCTTTTCTTTTTCTTTTGTTTTTGATGGAATCTTGCTCTGTCACCCAGGCTGGAGTGCAGTGGTGCAATATCGGCTCACTACAAGCTCTGCCTCCTGGGTTCATGCCATTCTCCTGCCTCAGCCTTCTGAGTAGCTGGGACTACAGGCGCCTACCACCAAGCCCGGCTAATTTTTTTGTATTTTTAGAAGAGATGGGGTTTCACCATGTTACCCAGGATGGTCTCGATCTCCTGACCTGGTGATCCACCTGCCTTGGCCTCCCAAAATGCTGGGATTACAGGCGTGAGCCACCGTGACTGGCCTAGTTCTGACATCTTAAAAATCCTCCAAAGGGTGAAACAGGAAATATAATAGCAGCCCTCTTGCTTTCAATTTCCATTTTATACTGAATTAGGACCTGAACACTCCTTGCATTAGGCACTATACATCTACACTCTAGAGAAAGCCCAGTGGCCATTTATTCCTTCCATAGACACCTTGTAGTCTCTGACAGGGAACAGTCAGGGCCCTCACATGATTAAAATACAGGGAGCTCCCTGACAAAAGAGAAGTTGAGAAATCTTCAAGACAGGAGTGCCCAGCTCTTTGGTGGGGAGCAGGAGAAGTTTCCCCAGCAGGGAGGAGGGGATGAGATGAAAGATTAAATCAGCTTGAATGTGGAATGAAAGGCAACGGGAAAAAAGGCAAAAATTCAAAATATCTGGAAAAACTTGGCATGGCTGGAAGAATGGCTGCAAAATGGAAAGAAATGGTGTCGCAGAGGCTCTGGGTGGGGAGTGATATCCATGGGGGTAGGTTGGAGCAGATGATTCTGAGTCTCTGTCTCTCCCTCTGTCTCTCATTAACAGAAAGTTTCAGTTCCACTTTTTTTTTTTAAAGGTGTTAGGTCAGTGCAAAATTAACTGTGGTTTTAAAAGTAATGGCCAAAACTGCAATTACTTTTGCACCCACAGAAAACCTTAGTCATACTAATTATACTAAGGAACTTATTTGGATTTAATAGAAGAGAGCAAGGCTAATTGAGACTGTGTAATTGTATTCAGAGCACATCAGAAGCACTATACTGGAGTCAGGAAACCAGGGCTAGACTTCCAGGCTGGCTACTAATCTGAAGAAATCACTGTTTGATCACAGCTTCAGGGTTTACAGATGGGGTTAAAATGCCTCTATAGTGAGTCTTCATCCGTCATTAAAAATGGAGTGAGTGGATGGTACTCTTCTAGTCACCCAGTTATCGAAAATAAATACAATATCATTATCAATAATATGATCATTAAATTTATGTGATATTTACCATATAAAGTGTATATCAAACACGTAAAAATATTATTTTACTCTTTTTAATCCAATAAACAAATTTGCTTTCTTGGACTAAAAAATAAGTACAATAATTGGAGTCTAAAATTTTGCTGGTGGTTAGCCAATACTGCTTCACTCAGGTACACATTTCCTCTGATGATTTTTTAAAATTCTGATTAAATATTATGGAAGTTTGTTTACCTTGAACTTATACTGGTGCCTTTTTGAATTTATTGGTTGATTCTGTATAAAAGAAACAAACAAACAGTTTCCACCTCTGAGGAAAAAGACACATAGAAAGTGTGATTTGAGGCCAGGTAAGGTGGCTCACGCCCATAATCTCAGCACCTTTGGAAGCTGAGGCAAGTGGATGACTTGAGTTCAGGAGTTCAAGACCAGCCTGGCCAAAATGGTGAAACCCCACCTCTACTAAAAATACAAGAAAAAAAATCAACCAGACACGGTGGCATGCCCCTTTAATCCCAGCTACTCAGGAGGCTGAGGTAGGAGAATCGCTTGAACCTGGGAGGTGAAGGTTGCAGTGAGCCAAGATCACGCCACTGCACTCCAGCCTGAGGGATAGAGTGATACTCTGTCAAAAAAAAAAAGAAAAGAAAAGAAAAAGAAAGGAAAGTGTGATGTGAGTCTTTCTAGAAGGTTTCATCTCTCCCAAATCTTTTCACAAACCTTGCTTATACCCCTGTCTTCAACTTGCCCCAGCGTAAGGTATTGGATCCCAGGGCAACGTGCTTCCAGAGACCCCTCAGTCAGTGTTACACCCGATTTAAGCCAGAAAGCATGAGCACGTAAAAATTCACCAGTTCCCACTAAACCTGAAGTAATTATTCTCATATGAATTGAGGGGGTTGAGACATTGTAGGGAAATTAGAGTTCTGGGAAGAAGGCTAAATAACCCCAACATGTATTTTTTAAATTCCAAAATATATTTTCTTACTTCAGATTGAGTCTAACACCAAACCTGAGAATTAATTCAATTCACAAGCCAGAGTTAGCTAAACACTAATACTCATACACAAGCCCTGCCCTCCACAGACATCTGGATTCAAATCTCCACTCTGTCATTTACTAGTAGATGCAAATAACTTTATCTCTTGGTACTCTTTCCTCTTTAGTAAAATAAGGACAATATAAGAACCTGCCTCATAGGAGTTTGATGAGAACTAAAAAATTTAAATAAAATTTCTGATACACAGTGAGGGATCAATAATGGTCAGACACAGATTAGAAGAATCAGGAAAGACTCCCCAGAAGAAGTGATGCCTGAATCAAATCTTGAACTCTGAAGCAGATTATGCATATGAAGGTCAAAGAACAACGATGTTCAAGCATGAGCTTTGCTTTGGATCAGAGGGAAGCATGGGAAGCTGTGGGAAGTAAAGGAGAAGGAAAATGGGAGGCTAGACCAGGGGAAGGGAAAGCTGGAGATGGGAATGTTTAACACATTTGGAACAGAAAGCTCATCTCTGGTAGGACCATGAAGTTAGGGCTTTCTTACTAAATCTCTGTGGGGTGTCACTAAAGGATTTTAAGTAAGGATGAAAAATCATCTAATTTGCTTTTGGAACTGTAGTTGGGCAGCCAGATGGGGAATGAATAAGAAGAACAAGTGGAGTCCAAGTTCTTACTCAGGAGATTGATGGGGCACTTCAGGTGAAGGAACATGTTCCCAGCTAAAGCACTGAATGAGTAAGACTCGGGGACTGGTTGAAGGTGGGGAGTGAGGCAGATGACAGAAGTTAAGAAGATTCTGGATCGCTGGTTTGGATGACTGAGGTGGGTGATGGCATGATCAACTGAAACTGGAAACACAAAATAGGTTTGAGTCAGGGAAAGGGAGAGGTAACAAATCTAGTTTGGTACATGCCTGGTTGTGGAAGCTGTGAAACATACTAATGAAGCTGTTCAGCTGGAAGTTGAATATAAGGGTCTGAAGCTTAGGATACTGATGCAAAAATGTAGAAGTCTGACACCATGCAAGGTCACACCAGGAGTGTACATAACATGACAATACTACACAGGAATACCAACACAGAAAAAGACAAGCAGAGAAATTGGAGTACAAGGAAAATGAGCATGAATTCATCGAGGTGGAGATGTTAATTTATTTGAGATGTTTGTAATCATAAATCAAAGTACTAGACATTGATATAGATTTATAGATGTATAAGTATCTCTACATGCATATCTGCAGCAAATTTTAACATCACCTCAGGTCAGTGATGAATGAAGAACAACTTAAAGTTGGAAAACTAAGATAATCATATGAATAAATGTGGTAAACTAAATATGGTATAAAAAACTTATTTTTCTGGGATTTGTAGGAAGTGATGGTCAATGGATATGCAGTTTAGGAGGTTATCAATGATCAATGATTTAGGAGATTCTGTGATCTTATACACTAAGATCACCTAAGGTTTTAGGTTTAAGGTTTTAGGTTTTAGCACTGTGTATAATTCTCGCTTTCTGATACCTAAGACAGCATTGCATGTAAAGAAGCCATTAGTGCCTACTCATGCCCCATGGTAGTAATATCTGCAAGATCATGTCTAGTTCAAACTCTACTGCATTTTCTAAGGGGAGACACCATCTCCAAATGCAATGGATGCTTTTACAAAGAGGATCCTCAGAACGGAGAACACTCCATACAGCTACCAGTGGAAGACACGCATTCGCCTTTCTCATGTAAGTGTGTGGCAGGCTGAGAGGCTGTGGGATAACTGAATGAATTGATCCAGGATTTTTTACTCCTTAGCTCAGCTAGATCTGGGTTCTTGTCTCATGACCAGGAAAAATTAGACACACGGACATCAAAGAGTGAGTGAAGTAGAATTTATTAAGTGAAAAGGAAAGCCCTCAGCAAAAAGAGGGGTCCTGAAAGCAGGTTTGGTTGTCCCCCTTCACAGTTGAATACAAAGGCTTCTGTATTCCACTGATGGGGCTGGGTTCCCTACTTGTGTAAGGCATGAATTCCTGGAAGCCCTACTCCATCTTTCCAGTGCACATGCAGGCCCTTAGTCTGAGCCACTCTATATTGATTTATTTCTCTGACTGTGCATGAGTTAATGGATGGAATTTTTCACCACAGGCAGGTTTAGGCAAGCCCCCTGTGCAGGTTCCCTTACCTGCACAAAGCATCTGGTGCAGATATGTGTGGGGCACGTCAGAAATTCTCTGGGGACCCTCCCCTATCTGCCTAGGAGAGTTCTCTGCTTCCTGCGTCTATCAAAATGACACAGTGATGAATGGCCTTGGGCTCCACTATTCCTCTAAAAAGCCCCCTAAGCCCAAGTGTTTCCATTTTTCAAAAAACATTTAGAGGGGAGGCAAAGTGAATAATGACTAGGAACATGAGTTTTGAAATCAAACAGACTTGGATTTGAAATCCTTGCTCCACCTCATAATATTTGCTACTGTTGATTGAGTGACTACTAGGCTGGGTACTAGTCAGAAAGCGTCATATTCACTAATTAATTTTTTTTTGTTTTTGAGACAGGGTCTCATTCTGTTGCCCAGGTTGGAGTGCACTAGCATGATCACAGTCACTACAGCCTCAACCTCCCAGTCTCAATTGATCTCCCTGCCTCAGCTTCTTGAGTACCTGGGACTACAGATGTGTGCCTGGATACTTTTGTTTTTGTAGGGATGGAGTCTACCTATATTGCCCAGGCTTATCTAGAACTCCTGGGATCAAGCAATCCTCCTGCCCCAGCCTCCCAAAGTGTGGGGATTACAGCCGTGAGCCACCATGCCTGGTTTCACTTATTAAATCTTTACAATAAACCTGGGGGCAAGAATGGGACATGGATGGTTAAGTTGATTACTCATAGTCACAAACTGAGTGCCTGAGCAGAGATTGAAACCCAGATAGTTCAATTCCGGAACCAGCAGTCTTAATCGTGACATTTTTCTGCCAGGCTATCCATGAGACTGGTGAAAGCACACACTCTTTGAGATTCCATTTTCTCATACCTAGTGAGCCTATCTGATACAGTTATGTTGAGCATAAACAAAATAGTCTATGTAAAACACATAGTACAGTGCCTAGAATATAGTAAGAACTCAATAGATCATAGCCATATTTTATTTTATTATTTCCTTTTTAAAAGGTATATTCAGTATTAAGAGGGAAAGGCTAAATTGAGCAATGGAAAAATAGGTCAGATTCAGCCCTTTGTCCCAACCCTAGTAAGAACAAGTACACTTGGTTTTGATGTCTCGATATCTCAAGGTTTTAAATTTATAGATGTTCATGTTCCTGTCTCAAGAGCACCTTGCTGTATCCATCAAAACCTGGTGGCAGATTAACTGAGTGTGAATGATCTATCTCAAATAGAATTTGACCTTCAAACTAGAAGCAAAAGCAAGAAATAAATTGCTAAACTGTGAAAAGCATTCGGATGATCTAATATGCTATTCAACGCAGTGCTTGAGAGAAGATG
This sequence comes from Homo sapiens, assembly GCF_000001405.40. Lineage (NCBI taxonomy): Eukaryota > Metazoa > Chordata > Mammalia > Primates > Hominidae > Homo > Homo sapiens. The sequence continues at coordinate 11,775,078 of NC_000024.10, forward strand.
TCTCACTGTTGGCTAATCTCTTCTTGTTTTTGAGACAGAATACATTGCATTTAATACCTTGCATTTGCAAATATACATCTGCATTGATATACTCATCACAGGTCAGTGTATGCAAACCTAAATTTTAGATACAACAACAACCATATGCAAGTCTATAAACCGAGACCCAAAACCATGTTTCCTCCTGACACGTAAAGTGGTTTTGATGTATTTTCCTGTTTATGAATGTATTAGAGCCAATCATGTCTCACCATGAAAACTATATTTTTTTTTGCTGTATTTCAGATTACCTTTCCCAAGTGGCAGTGAGAATTTGTATTCATTTAATTCAACACAACAAGTATTATAATTTAAAAGTCTGCTACAGGCCAGCAATGTGCTACACATTCCCCAGACAGATAAAAGGAAAACCCTGCAGATTACCGGTAAGCCCCGTTTCTGAACCATGGATGTGAGGGCGAAGAGGCTCGATGCAATTGTTACAGAGGGGCTGAGGCTGCATTGGTTTGGATGAGAGTAACACGGAGGAAGAGAATACCCACCAGTGTGCACTGCCTCTTCATCAAATGTGTTGTCATTTGACTCCGAAAGCTCAATTTCCCCAGGTAAGGTGAGGCAGTCATGTGCCTGGAAAGCCTGGATTCTGGGGCTCAATGCTGCCTCATGTAAAGACGCCACTGTAAGCCCTGCGTGGTGCTGAGCCTGGCAGAGCAGGCCCTCAGACATCATGAACCTGTATTCAAATGGCCATCTCTAAAGGTTAGTCAATCATGGCATTTTTTCCATGAACTATGATTTGAAATGTTCCATCTACAGGACAGTAACAAGAAAGACAGTCAGTGGGAAACAATAATAAAATCAGGTCTGAACTTGCATAGGTGAATAGTTAACTGGGAGACACCAAAGTGGGAACATTCAGTAAGCAGCGGGGTATATAGTCAAGAGCTAGGTCTTGACTAGAAATCCTAACTTGGGAATTATCAATTTAGTTGAAGTCGTAGACATAGATAAGAAGAGAAGAGAACCGAAGTGAAACCCAGGGAACCACGCACATCTGAGGGTCAGGAGAAACAAGAGAAGCTCCTGAAGGAGAGTGGGAAGTAGGAAGTAGGCATTTAAATGTGGAAAAGTCTCGAGATAGTTCCATTCTGAAAATATAGCAAAGTAGATCACTTGAAAGCTTTCTGTTACAAAACACTTGTATATGCGATATAAAATATATCAAAAAATATTTCTAATGCATAGCTGAGCCTCTAATAAATTAAGGAAAATTCAAATACAGAAATAGAAGCCGGGTGTGGTGGCACACACCTTTAATCCCAGCAACTTGGGAGCCTGAGACAGGAAGATCACTTGAGGCCAGGAGTTGGAGATCAGCCTAGGCAACTTAGCAAGACCTCGTCTCCCAAATATTTTTTAATTAGCCAGGCATGGTGGCATGGTCCTGTAGTTCCAACTATTTGGGAGGCTGAGGCAGGAGGATCACTGGAGCCAAGGAGGTCGACGTTGCAGTGAGCTTTGATCACATCACTGCACTCCAGCCTGAGTGACAGAGTAGGACTCTGCCCTAAATTAAAATAAAATAAAGTAATAGAAATAAAAAACATAAAAATGAGCAGAGGGAACAAGTGGCAATGGTTCTCTGCTGTGAAGCCATTTTGATTGGTCTCAGGAACTGAGCAGTTTGGATATTAACTGCCCCATGGAGATTGGAGAGGCGGCTTTGGACTTCTGCAAGGCATAGAGTTGAAACAGAGACTCTTGCATGAAGCTGTAACATTTTTTTCCATGTGTTTGAAGTTTTCCACAATAAAAAGCTCTTTTTAAATAAGAAATGGGCACCAAAAGTGAACCATAATGTAAAGTATGGATTTTGAGTGATGATGATGTACTGATGTAGGTTCAATTGTAAGAAATGTAGCATTCTCTTTGGATGGCAGGGGTGGATGCTAACAGTGGAGAAGTCTGTGTATGTGTGGGGACAAGGGTTATGAGGAAACTCTGTACTTTTTGCTCAGTTTTGCTGTGAACCTAAAGTTGATCTAAAAATATGAAGTCTATAGAACAAAAAGAGAAAAAAAGAAATGAACTTCTGGGGTTCCTGGCAGAAGCAGATGCAAATGTCTCCAGAAGACAGATACAGGCAGTACAGAATTCCCACAAATATGGTGTACTCACAATCATGAAATCGTGGATATGAACAAGCAAGCTGCATGAAAATCACACGCAACAACCGGTGAAATTAGAGCCTCAGGACTTGCAAAAATGAAGCACTTACGAAAATCATAGAAAAGAAATAAGTTTCATATTATTAAAAAATAAATCAAATCATAAGTAAGGAACTATTGGCTTTTTAAGGGAAAAAAAGCATATTTTAAAGGAAATGACCAAAACTTCCAGAAATGAAAAACTTAGGGGGATAAAACAAAAATAAACAAATAAATCAAAAACCAATCACAATAAGGCTGGGCATGGTGGCTCACACTTATAATTCCAGCACTTTGGGAGGCCAGGGTGGGAGGATCACTAAAGCCCAGAAGTTTGAGACCACCCTGGGCAACATAGTGAGGCCCATCTCGCTACAAAAAAAAAAAAAAATTAAATTAGCCTGCATAGTGGCATGTGCCTGTAGTCCCAGCTACTCAGGAGGCTGAGATGGGAGGATTTCTTGAGCCCAGGAGATTGAGGCTGCAGTAAGCCAAGGTCATGCCACTGCACTTCAGCCTGGGTGTCAGAGCAAGACCTTGTCTCTAAATAAACAAATATAAAATAAAATAAAATAAACTATAGTGAGTTAAAAAGCAGATTAGACACAGCCAAACAGATAATTTTTACACCTCAAAAATGAAAGATCAGTAGTCTATCCAGATAATAGAACAGGGAAAAAAAGATATAGAATGCAGAAAGGAGGAATAGCAGTAAGAATTTTTATATATTGCAGAGGGGAGCAGAACTTGGTACAGTCAATTTGTTTTTTTTTTTTTTTTTTTTTTTTTTGACGGTGTTTTGTTGTTTTTGTTTTTGTTTTTGAGGCAGAGTCTCACTCTGTTGCCCAGCTGGAGTGCGATGGCGTGATCTTGGCTCACTGCAACTTCCATCTCCTGAGTTTAAGTGATTCTCCTGCCTCAGCCTACTGAGTAGCTGGGGTTACATGTTCCCGCTACCATGCCTGGCTAGTTTTTGTATTTTTAGTAGAGATGGGGTTTCACCATGTTGGCCAGGCTGGTCTTGAACTCCTGACCTCAGGTGAACCGCCCGCCTCGGCCTCCCAAAGTGCTGGGATTACAGGTGTGAGCAACCACGCCTGACCTAGATTTGGTATATATCTTTGAAAATAAGTATCAAGTATCACTCATATTCTGCATTTTCTTTTGTCAGCATGATCTATCAAAAACTGAGAGGCATATTATCTACCACAACTATTGTGCTACTACCAATTTTTACTTATGTTACAAAGATACTCACTGGCATTTTATACTTCAAAACTCTGCTATTTGATTTGTAAAATGTCATTATTTTAAAAGCCTCATTGAGGGCTGAACCCCTGATTTTCAATAGCCCTCTTGACTATTTCATATTCTTACTTAGTATTTTAACTGGTGAAGTTTTCGTCATCATTTCCTTTTGAAGTTTTGAGTTACTTTATTTTAGCTGTTCCTCCTTTAGATGGCATCTTGCTAGATGTCTGTTTTTAAGCTCATTCTGAGGAATTTGTTTTCAATAGGCGAGTTCACTCCCTTCTACTGTTAAATCAGTTTAGTGTTGTCATTCATTTCATCTTGTATATTTGTAATGACTGTTTTTTAGTTTTTTTTTTACATTATTCCATTTTTCTTTGCTTTTTCTTTAGGATTTTGATAGTTTTATAAGCTGTTGGGTTCTCTGTGTGCTTGGCTTTCTAAATTTAAGTTTTATGTCTGAAGTTGCATTACTCAGTACCTCAACTTCTGACATAGGAGGAAAAGCAAAGAAATAACACAAAATTGAGGGGAGTGGTTTTCTTTGGGAGTATGCAGTAGGGTGGCATAGAGTGGAACACATAGGTAAATGCAAATTATAGATATTTGTTCAATACCCTAAGTTTGGGTGGTGAGCTCTAGGCATTGATTATACTCATGCTTCCTTTTTTAATTTTTTTATTTTATTTTTTAAAATTATTTATTTATTTATTTATTTTTGAGATGGATTCTCGCTTGGTAGCCTAGGCTGGAGGGAAGTGGTGCGATCTCAGCTCACTGCAACCTCTGCCTCCCAGGTTCAACCAATTCTCCTGCCTCAGCCTCCCGAGTAGCTGGGACTACAGGTGCACACCACCACACCCAGCTAATTTTTTTGTATTTTAGTAGAGACAGGGTTTCACTGTGTTGCCCAGGCTGGTCACGAACTCCTGAGCTCAGGCAATCTGCCTGCCTCAGGCTCCCAAAGTGCTGGGATTACAGGCGTGATATACTCATTCTTTAAACTTACATACATTTCATTTATATTCTCATGTATATGTCAAATATTATTTTAAAGAATGAAAATATAATTGTCAAATTCATAAGTATTGACTTCTTCCAAAGCTTTTAATGTTTTTGTTCCTATCAGCACTCTCTTCTCTATCTCAGCGTACCAGTTTTTCCTGTTATACTCTTGACTTCTTACCCTGCCTGTTTTGGGTAAACCACTATTTTGATAATGTAGCTTTTAGTAAAAGACTATCAAAAACAAAATGACATGCACGCAATGATTTCAACAATCCTAAACAAGCAAAATCTTATAAAGCATGTAAACAAGGACTACAGAATAAGATACAAAATGAAAACATTTTATGTTAGTGTTGTGAGATTATGTATTACAATTTTTCCCTGGAATTGTTTTTTGCTACCTCATCATTTAAATTAAAATGTCAACAAGAAACATTAACTATAGCTGTAAAGCCTACTTACCTGTGCCATGATGAAAATATCACACTACAAAATTTTTTGTATTTGTATATTATGTTATATTCAAAAGTGTTTTAGATTTTCAAAAGAAAGTTAGAAACAGTATCTTTAGATGAATGGTTTTGGCAGATTATGAAAGCCTAAAATTGTTGGCAAACTTGAACCTCAAAAAAGTAATTTGATGCTAATTAGCTATTTAAACATGCAGAAGATAACTGACGTGAGAGAAAGGAATGAAAATTCAGACTTATCTGAATAGTAACAACACACAGGAAAACAGAATAATTTAGAGCTGGGGAATTAAAATAGTCCTCGTCTTCTCACAGAACAAAAGGAAAAAATACTCTGAAGTCTTTGTTGCAATGGTGTGGAAAATTTATGTTTGAAAAAGCTGCATGTTTGAAAAATTGCATTTTTAAAATTAGTTCAGATTTTAGCAATTAACTTCAAACTAGCATAAAAGTGTTCCTACATGGAGCAGATTCAATTCGAGGCTAAAGGAAAAGCACCTGACATTTTAGTTAGCCTATGCAGTCTGTCATGGATAAACCTGTAAGTGACTTTACGATTTAGGATTTCTGAGGTGTGAAAAACAGCTCTGGACCTCAGAGTCAAAGGTTGAATCAGAGCTGAAAGCGGACTTTGCCGATCAAACCTCCGTCAGCAACAGCAAATGTTACACAGACGTTGAGACTATTAGGAGAGCTGAGTGCTTGTGACTGACACTATTTTTATCTGAACCCCCTCTCCAAATACCAGTGGGTCCCTGGGGTTGCCAAAATAACTTAAATGCTCTTTATAAGAAAAAGCTTAGGTCATTTTTGTTAATGTGTTCAACTTGCCAGATTCTTTGAAAGCACCGATTCTTGTCTTCAGTACCATAATGAAGAATCACTTCTAAACATTTCTAAATAACAATCATCATGTTACTACATCCAAAAAGTTGTTTAAAGCATGTACTTCAGAATAATCGTATTTAAATTCTTCCTTTGACTTCATGTCCCAGGGCACTTGGAAATGACAGCTGCCGTGAGACATGGAATTGGAGGAGTTTCTGGGAGAATTAGAGGGTAGGGGTTTGTACTCTGGCAGTTTCTGGGTATCACTTTCATCTCTCACCATCACCAAGGAGCGGGAGTAACCCATGGCAGCCTGCTCTGAGAAGACACCATGCAGCGTCTTCATGTCTTGGACCGCAGTGGGAGATGTGGGCTTGTGAGTCCCCTCTGCCCAGTTCACCAAAGATCAGGGACTGGCCCCAGATGATCTGCAGCCACCATGATGCTCTTCCCATGAGCCAGGCTCCACATTCTCCAGCCACGGATGTTCAGCACTGCTTTCAGGTACATGATAGACTCATGGGAAGTGTTGGTGGCCTCCCAGAAAAACACGTCACCCTCTTCACTGACAGCAAAGGACCAGGCATAACCAGCATAGATCTGGGGACCCCATTCCAGGAAAGCCAAACCGCTTGTGGGAGGTGGACCATCTCGTTTTTCTGCTCCACATGGTCCAGCCAGCAATAGCCACCCCGTGTCAGAAGAAGATGTGCTTCTGGGAGTCCAGGACCAGCATGTGGTTAGCTCTACAGGCCACATCTGCACAACCACGTGTGGTACTGGCAAAATCTGCTAATCTTTCTTCCTTCTCCATGAAGACAGCCACTTGCCTGGGCATCAGCTCCCAGCTGGACTCTATCCACAGCAGTGGGGACATGAACTTCTCATCATGAGTTGTATACCAGGTGACCATATTCAGGGCTCCCAAAGGAATAAAGTTTGGGTTTTTGTTTTTTGTTTTTTGTTTTGGTTTTAGTTTTGGTTTTTGCAGTCCATCATCCCACTGAATTCAGTCCCATGGACCATTTTGGTGAATGGCTGGCCTTGTATACCTTCTGCGCAGGGCTAGGAACTGCATCTGTCTGACGACCAAGCCCCACCTTCTGCATCTTGTTCTTTCCAAAGGCAAATGCAGTGCCCACTTCCAGCAACACTGGGTTGTGGCTCCACCCATAGGCTGCTGACACAGTAACCCCAGGACTGGGACCCTTTATCAGTTTGGGTGCTTCAGCTTTCTTGGTGTCACCATGTTTCAGCTGCCCCTTTTCATTTCAACTCCAACTCCACAGATTCCCTTCTGTGGTGATAAGTGGACTGTAGGAAGCATATGTACCCAAAACCACTGCCTGCACCTGGACTCCCAGCAGGCATCCACTTCTATGGGGCACCTACAAATTCTGACTGGGGATCATGGTAAGCATCCTGTTATGTAAGTACTTATTTAACCAATCAAGCCCCAGCCAGTTGCTCTAAAAATCAAGGCTGCCATTTGCACTTAGAACCTTCATCTTTGCTGCACTCCTTGGTGTGTTTGGCTCCGTGATGACGACAGCCACACCTCCCACCTTGTTGGCCACCTGGTCTGCCATGCTGGGTGCTTGCCTCTGCAGGGAGCACCTCAAGTTCCAAGCTTTCCTTCTCATGCAACTGTTTGATGCTGCTGCTGCTGCTGCAGTACTTGGTCCTTGCATTGTTAATAATCACCTCCCTTGCCACCAAAGGGTTTATAATGCTTGCAATAATACACAGCTGTGATGTTACTGGCACAAAAACAGACACATGGACCAATGGAACAAAATATAGAACCCAGAAATAAAGATGCACACCTACAGCCAACTAATTTTTACAAAGTCAAAAAAAAGGGAATGTGGAAAGTACTTCCTATTCAATAAATAGTGCTGGGATAGCAGGCTAGTCATATGCAGAAGAATGAAACTGGATCCTTACCTGTCACCATATACAAAAATTAACTCAAGATGAATTAAAAATTTAAATGTACAACCTCAAACTATAAGAATCCTAGAAGAAAACCTAGGAAATGCCATTCTGGAAAGAATTTATGATGAAGTCATCAAAAGCAATTGCAAAAAAATAAAATTGACAAGTGGGACCTAACTAAACTAAAGAGCTTCTCCTCAGCAAAAGAACCTATCAACGGAGTAAACATGCAACCTGCAGAATGGGAGAAAATATTCACAAACTACACATCTGACAAAAGTCTAACATCCAAAAATCTTTAAGGAACTTAATCAATTGAACAAGCAAAAAACAATTCCATTAAAAACTGAACAAAAGACATGAACAGACACTTTTCAAAATAAGACATACAAGTGGCCAACAAACATATGAAAAAATGCTCCACATCACGAATCACCAGGGAAATGCAAATCAAAACCACAATGAGATACTACCTTATGCCAGTCAGAATGGCTATTATTTAAAAGTTAAAAAACCACAGATGTGGGCATGGCTGCAGAGAAAAATGAGTGCTTATACACTGTTGGTGGGAATGTAAATTAATTCAGCCACTGTGAAAAGCAGTTTGGAGATTTCTCAAAGGACTTAGAACTACCACTCAACCCAGCAATCCCATTACTGGGTATATACCCACAGGAAAAGAAATCATTCTCTCAAAAAAGCACACACATGCGCATGTCCATCATGGCACCATTGGCAATAGCAAAGACATGGAATCAATCTAGATACCCATCAATGACAGATTGGAAAAAGAAAATATGGTACATATACACTCATATAGTTTGGATATTTGTCCCCACTCAAATCTTATGTTGAAATGTAATCCCGAATGTTGGGGGTAGGGCCTGGTTGGAGATATTTGGGTCATGGTGGTGGATCCCTTATGGCTTGGTGTTGTCCTTGCAACAGCAAGTGAGTTCTCATGAGATATGGTTGTCAAGTGTGGGGCACATCACCCACTCTCTTTCTTGCTCCTGCATTCACCAAGTGAAGTGCCTGCTCCTGCTGCACCTTCTGCCATGAGTAAAAGTGCCCTTAGGCCTCCTCAGAAGCCTAGGAGATGCCAGTGCCATGCTTATACTGTTTGCAGAACCATAAGCCAATTAAACTTCTTTTCTGAATAAATTACCCAGTTTCAGGTAATTCTTTATAGCAATTCAAGAACGGCCTAACACCTATACCATAGAATACTATGCAGCCATAAAAAGAATGAAATCATAACCTCTGCAGCAACATGGATGCAGCCTGGAGGCCATTATCCTAAGCAAACAAGAACAGATGGAAGAATAGAAAACCTCATACCTCATGTTCTCATTTATAAGCGGGAGCTTAATATTGGGTACTCATTGACATGAAGATGGCAACAATAGACACTGGGGTCTGCTAGAGCAGGGAGGAAAAGGGAGGAGGGCAAAAGTCAAAAAAACAACTATTGGGTACTATGCTCAGTACCTGGGTAACAGGATCTTTCATACCTCAAACCTTAGCATTATGAAATATACTCAAGTAACAAACCCACACATGTAACCACTGAATCTAAAATAAAAGTTGAGGGCTCACGCCTGTAATCCCAGCACTTTGGGAGGCCAGGCAGGTGGATCACTTGAGGTGAGGAATTCGAGACCAGCCTGGCCAACATGGTGAAACCCCATCTCTACTAAAAGTACAAAAAAATAAATAAATCAGCTGGGCATGGTGCTGCACACCTGTAGTTCCAGCTATTTGACAGGCTGAGGCAGGAGAATGACTTGAACCCAGGAGGCAGAGGTTGCAGTGAGCCAAGATCACACCATTGCACTCCAGCCTGGGTTACAAGAGTGAAACTCCATCTCAAAAAAAATTAAAAAATTAAATTAAAAAGTTGAAGAAAATATTGTAGGACAAAATAATATAATACACAGCTCTAGTCTACAGATGAATTTCTCATCGGGTGCAGTTGTAGTAGTCTAAAAACCCTAATTTGGGGCAATCTGTCATGGGAGAAAGTGAAAGTAGTTTATATTAATAAAAGAAGCTATAAGCTACCTCCCACATGTTCTGCAGACCATGGAATTGTATGAAAATCCTTTAAAAGCAACATAAGTATATCCAGATATAGTTCGATGAGGCAGTAAGACCACTGCCACCAATTATTTAAGGAAAGCCTGTCTGGTGACAGTCATGCCAAGACCCTGAATCCACTTGAATGGTGGAAGTGGACACATAGGCTTAGGGAGTTCAAGTACTTTATGAGTAACATTCTCTTATCATACATAGAATGCAAAATGATGTATTTTTTTTTCTTTTAAAAAAGCAAAAGATGACTGAAGCTGCATTGTTGTTGGACTTTCTGAGGTCTTATTTTATAAATGATTCAACTTGTCCTGTATGCTTTGAAAGTGCTTTTTTCTCTTAATGCTTAACTACAATATTTACTCATAGTTTACTTACCAACCCTACAAAAGAGGTAGTTAACTTGGCTGCTTCCATTTCCTGCCTGCCTGGCTGCTGAACTTCCTGGGACCAGAGAGGCCATGCCATTGCCCAAGTTTGGCTATGGGGGGCTCCCCTGACTTCCTGCCAAGCTGGCCTGGAGTCCTTGAGGCATGGAGATGCCTGCAACAATGAGGTGGCCCCAGACTCATCCCATGTGCTCCTGCTGGCCATGGCACAATGATGGCCTCCACAGGACCCCTGCCACTAGCCCTCAATCTACTTCTTTGCTGTGGGAGCTAACAAAGTTGAAATGGCTTCTCCTTCTGAGCCAAGTGCATTGCCCATTTAAATTTTTTAATTGTTGAATAGTATTCTTATATAGATACACTTTTCTTTTTTTCTTTTGCTAGTTGATGAGTATTTGGGTTGTTTCCACTTTGGGTTACTATGGATAGTGCTGCTATGAGCTTTCACATGAGTCTTTGAGTGGACATAGGTTTCCATTTATTCTGGGTACCTATCTGGGAGTGAAGCTGCTGAGTCATATGGTAATTCTACATATGGCACTCTGAGAAACTACCAAATTGCTTAACAAAGTGGCTGCATTCATTTGCATTTCTGTAGGCAATGTCTGGGGGGTCCCTATTCTCCCCCTCCTTGTCATCACTTGTTATTTTCTATTGTTTGATTACAGCCACTCTAGTGAGTATGAAGTTGTATTGCATTGTGATGCCAGTATGGATGTCTGTATTGACTAATGATATTGTACATATTGGAATAGTATATTTTCCTCGGAGAAATGCTATTGAAATCCACTTTACATTTTAAATAGTTTATCTTTTGTTAATGAGTACTATGAAATGTTTTCGTCTGAATAGTTCATGAGCAGATTTATCATTTGCAAATATGTCATTGCTTTTGGTGATTTGTCCTTTCATTTTCAAAGATAAATATGCAAATGGATAACAACCAGTCTACATATAAAAAGAGAACTCTGAACACAACCTACAACAATCAGTCCCAACAGTCTAGTCTTGATTAGTAACTGACAGCTGACCTAATTTTTGCCTTTGCTTCCAACTTAGGACCAAACTGAGAAGGCCAAACATGCACTCTTACCAGGAAAATAGAATATTCAGCTTCTGCTAAGCCTTCCTGCAGCTTCCCTATGTCAAGAGCCTCCAATCAGGACACATCTGGAGCCTTGCCTCTTTTTCCACTGTGGAGTTTTCCCACTCCTCTTCTTGCCTTTGAGTCTCCAACAAACACAAGTGATGGTGGCTAATTCCCTTGCTAGGGCAAAGTTGGGATACACAGCTTTTCTTGTTTTCATTTTTGTGGTCTCCAATTATTTCCACTGCTGTTATGGAGGTCCCACTGAGGTATCTGCTGCATTGTCCTTTGCCTTGGACCCTATAGTTTGACCAGCACCCACCAAGTCATCTTGTTTCTTCTGTTCATGGCTGCCACAGCAGCACTGATATGATACATGAGCACTGGTTCTGAACTCTCCGTCTTTGCACCGAGTTCCTTAGGTATTTATTCTGCATTTGGTAGAATAAATACCTGGTTTTTGTTATTGGTTCCTACTTTTTTGACATTCTTGGTGGAATCTGGTCTTCCCATTCATTCATTTTGCTCTCTCTATGTTACTGTTTTGTCTTTTGTCATCCAAGTGTTGTCATAAGGAGAAGAATGAGAAGGTGGAACGTAGTCATAGGCCCTAGAAGGCTATTGTTCAAGCCAGCCTCACACACCGGCGAATTTGTGGTACTCATTGGTCAGACATCCATTTGGACACACTTCGCTATGGGTCACCAATGAAATTGGATGAAGTTCTCCTTTATACTTCTGTCTTATTTCTGTGCATTCCGGTTGTGATCCAGAGAGTTTTTTATTTTATTTTATTTTATTTTATTTTATTTTATTTTATTTTATTTTATTTTATTTTATTTATTGACTTTCCACCTGCTAGCAGAACAGATTTTTGTGTCTTCATCTGGAAGTGACCAACTGTCAGGATGAGGACCCAAGACACGAGGTGCATAAGCATTACTCTCCTACTGCCTGCCACCAGCTCTCATGGGGCTAAGTCGGAGTCCTCTCTGCTTCCCAGAAAAGCTCCTGCTTCTTGTGTTTACTTTCATTACAATGCTCATTCTTGTGTCGGCCTTTCTAAATAGCATTACTTCATCAAGAACTGGGCCTTCTGTGACCATTCTGGGGAGCATTTGCTTTGAACAACATTGCTCATTTGAGAGGTTCCTTAAGAAAGAAAAGGAATAAGATTTCTCAGGCCCAATGAGCAGTACATTTTGGTTGGTAAGCAGAAGCTTTCAAATGCTATTCTGAATCAAGAATCATTTCATTAAATCTTCTCTGGCCAAACCTAAGACACAATTTGACACACTTAAGCAACTACAAACTATTAGGTTGGTGCAAAAGTGGTTTTGCAAAACCACAATTACTTTTGCACCAACCCAATGGATTCATTTTCTTAGTAAACTCTCTCCCACTTTCTTGCCCTCCAGTTGACCTTATATCCAGGTGTCCCCCTTCCCCTTTCTCATCCTAATCTCTCTCCTTCTGTGCCTTCATCCTATCCTCCTTCCACTTCTCATTCAGATCCCAGACCCTCCCCAACAACTCTCCTAAAACTCCAAATGACCAGTTTCCTCTGAAGTTTCTTCTGTTCCATAAACAAGTTTTGACAGCAACTGTAGAATTTAAACCTGGGACCCAGCTGAATCAAGAACTACAATTAAAGATTTTTCTAAACCCAGAGAAGTTTAGCAAACTCCAGAGGAGACCAGCAAATATTCATAGAAGATTATAGAATTCTCTGGGTGCAAGAGGGTCAGGGTAACCTGATGCTGTAGACCAGAGGTTTCTGTCCCCTCCAATTCATATGTTGGAATCAAAACCCTTAAGTGATGTATCTGGAGGTGGAGCCTTGGGAGATGATTAAGTCATGAAGAAGAGACCACATGAATGGATTGGTGTCCCTATAAAAGGGACTCCAAGATGGCTCCCTCATAGCTTCTGTAATGTGAGGACACAGTAAAAAAAAAAATAACTGTTTCTGGCTGGGCGCGGTGGCTCATGCCTGTGATCCCAGCACTTTGGGAGGCTGAGGTGGGCAGATCACGAGGTCAGGAGATCGAGACCATCCTGGCTAACACGGTGAGACCTTATCTCTATAAAAAATACAAAAAATTAGCCAGCTGTGGTGGCACATACCTGTATTCCCAGCTACTCGGGAGGCTGAGGCAGGAGAATTGCTTGAACCTGGGAGACAGAGGTTGCAGTGAGCTAAGATCGTGCCACTGTACTCCAGCCTGGGCTACAGAGCAAGACTCCATCTCAAAAAAAAAAAAAAAAAATGTCTGTTTCTGAACCAGGAAGCCAGCCCTCACCAGACCACTTGACCTTGGACTTCGCTATCTCTAGAACTGTGTGAAACACATTTCTGTCGCATATAAGCTGTCTGGTCTATAGTATTCTGTTCTGGCAACCCAGATGAGCGAAAACACCTGACACATCAACTGGCACTCATAATTTTTGGAACCTCTGACGCTAAAACCCTGAGGGCAAAAGGTGACTGATCTGACTTAGTAATAAATCTACATGATCCATGTTTCCACAGTAAGACTGAGAGTCAAAAAAAAAAAAAAGGCCACGAGCAGGTCGAAGTGTCCTTCAACCTAGGCGGCCTCTGTGCAGGTCGGTTGGCCTGGATGGGGCCTGAAGCATCACGTGCATATTGCTTTTGTGCAGCTGGAGCCTCTGGAGCCCATTGAGGTAGAGGCAGACAGTGAGGAGGCCTGCAGCCTGGAAGACTTTCCAGGGGTGGTGTTTGAGGGCTCCAATTCCATTAAATTCTGTGCGGTCATTTCTGTGTTTAGAAAGGCCAGTGGGAAGTGACTGATTTTGGTAACTCATTGTCCTTTTCCAGCTCCTGCTTAATGTCTAGAGACACAGGCAATTCCAGTGCTGGCTCTGGTACATGCTGCCTGCTCCGGAGCCAGAGTGACTTGCAGCCCTGGGCCTCCCACACATCGATCCAGCACCACGGCCAGCTCCAGAGCCACAGTGCTCCTGCCCCGGTCCTGGGACTGCGAAGAACCAGCCCGGCGAGGCGTTGCCTGACATCGTGGTGTCTGTTGCCCCCACTCGCCTCAGCACTGGAGCTGGAAGAGGCTCCCCAGGAGAGGCGGCGGCCAGTGGGGCTCCGGCCAGCAGGCCTCGCGCCGCTCTCGGTCCTGGGCGAAGGGAGAGCCGCGGAGGCGGAGAGCAGGGCTGGCGGGCCGGCTCCTGGGCCTTGCTGAAGAGCTTCCCGCGTGCCAGCCTCGGCCCCAGCACGACCTGAACAACGTCTGTTTCTCGCAAGCCGCCACCCGGCCTATGGGCGCGAACTCCACCAGCTCGCCCCCTCCACGTCCCCGCCTGGCCTGCCGCTGATGGGGGCGGACGGGGCGGAATTCCAGCAACTCCTCCTCCTGCTCCAGGACGTGGTCTCCTCCTCCGGCGACTGGGACCTGCCCTTAGCTGAGCATCTGAGCTGGGGGCCTCTGAGGTGCTGCCCAGGACGGGCTCTTCCTGGTTGGCAGGCAGGTGGGAATGTATTTTCCAAAGGGCACAGGCCCAGGCAGGACCTAGCAGCTGTACCTTGGGGTCACCATTGGCCCCATCCTGCCCAATGACTTATTTATATTGTTATTACTTCAAATTTCTATAACTTTTAAATAAAGAATTTGGCTTTTTAACTAAAACTCTCATGCCTTCTTTAACACCCTAGTGTCAGATGGAATTGTTGAGGCTAACATGAAAATCGCCCACAGTTTCCTCTTTTTGTTGTGGATGTTTCCATGAATGAATTGTGATCTGATCAACTGTTACTGTACCTTTCAGATTTAGGACAGATTCCTCTCCCAGCACCTAGAGATCCCTGTTCTGTCTGTATTGAGGACAAAGATTAGCTAGAAGGAATCTTAAATCTCCTTTACAAATGTAAAAACAGATTTGCTGTCTATGTGCTTTGCCAAACAGAGAGAGACAGAGGCCATTGAGACATGATGAAAACAGCTTCTTCTGAGATGGGGGAAAAGAAAAATATGAAATATGAACAACCACAGTAGGTCCAACAACCTTTCCACAGAGCCAGGCACTCAGGAGCCACCTGTCATGTCTTAGGCCATTTCATTCCTACAAGAACCTCACTGAGATTCATCTTACTACTCCACTTTTCAGAGGTGCAAGTTGAGGCTCAGAAAGCTGCAGTGGCATCCCTAGACACAGCTAGTAGGTAGTAGGGTGTGCCTTGAAAGAAACAGACACTCACCTGCTGAACAGCTGCTCCAGGTGTAGCAGGACAAGCTGCAGACAAAACCCCTCAGATACTGAGTTAAAGAAGTAAGGGCTTTATTCGGCCAGGAGCTTCAGCAAGACTCACGTCTCCAACAACCGAGCTCCCCGAGTGAGCAATTCCTGTCCCTTTTAAGGGCTCACAACTCTAAGGGGGTCCGCGTGAGAGGGTCGGGATCCATTGACCAAGCAGGCGGTACGTGACTGGGGGCTGCATGCACCAGCAATTAGAATGGAACAGAACAGGACAGGGATTTTCACAGTGCTTTTCTATACAATGTCTGGAATCTGTAGATAACAGAAACGATCAGGTCAGGGGTCGATCTTTAACTACCAGGCCCAGGGTGTGGCGCTGAGCTGTCTGCCTGCGGATTTCATTTCTGCCTTTTAGTTTTTAGTTCTTCTTTCTTTGGAGGCAGAAATTGGGCATAAGACAATATGAGGGGTGGTATCCTCCCTTACAAGAACTGTAGGACAGTGGTGAAGTCCCACTAGGAGCCCAGGAAGCTCCTGAAGGAGGGGATGGTTTGACCCTGGAATGCTGGAACCAGGGATTCCACCAGCCTCTCCCTTGTGCCTGGCTGGGGGTTCCCTCTGCATAGTACAGATCTCCCCTAGGTTCAGAGTATGCTCATTTTCATACTAGAGAGGACCAGGAAGGACACGGTCAGTGACAGCATCATGAGCCACCAGGGAATTGGGATCTGGAGATCAGACTAGGAAGCCTCAACCCTTCAGGGACTTGTGCATGTGGAGGACATGGGTGTTCATGGTGAAAAAGGTTTTAGACTTTCAATGTAAAATGTGATGGGGGGGGAACAGATATTCATTAAATCATTAATAGCTTCAAGGCACCATCACAGTATTTGGCAACTGTGGAGCAACAGCACCCACCTGTATTAACAGCCTGTATGAAGAGCACTATCCAAGTGAGTCCTCAAAAAAAAATACACTCATTGTATAGATGAGAAGACACAGACTTTTGGATGTCAAATGGCTGCTCAACAGCACATGAGTCAGAACAGAGAATCATCCGCAAGGGAGGCTGCATGAAATTCCCTCTAAACTACCTGAGGCTCGGCCTGCTCCTGCCATGGAGGAGAAGGGCCTGGGGAAGCCTCCTTTCCTCTCCTTTTCAGAGACAGTGCACAAGGCAAGACACTCTAGAAGAACTCTTTGGACTTAAAGCAACATAATTTGTTTTTCTTCCTTTAACATTAAAGGGAGTCTTGAGAAATAGCTAAAACAATCCCACACCTGGCAAAAGGGAAAATGTCAGGAGACTCCAGGGAGAAAGCTCATCAGAGAACCTAGGGGATCTGAGCATTTGGCTCAGGGAAAAGACACCCTGAGCAGATATTAAACAACTGAAAGACAACAAACACATCCGTTGGGAAACTTGGGAATGAAAGGAACAACGTGATGGTATTTGCCACACAGACACCAGGTTGGCAAAATATTAGAAATGTTAACCTTCAGGGGAGGCTGAATGCAGGGAACCAGTTACCTTCAGGGACTGCTGGTGACAATGTACCTGCTACAGCCATTTTGGAAAGTTATCGGGCTGTAGCTATACAATCTGACATATGTGTACTCTGGAGGGAGTTAGTATATGTTATCAGATGAATTGTGTTCCCTCCCACAAATTCATACACTCAGTGCCTCAGAATCTCACTGTATTTGGACATATGCTCCTTAAAGAGGTAATTAATATGGCCAGGTGTGGTTACTACTCGCTCACACCTGTAATCTCAGCACTTTGAAAGGCTGAGGCAGGTGGATCACCTGACGTCAGGAGTTCGAAACCAGCCTGGCCAAAATTGTAAAACCCTATCTCTACTAAAAATACAAAAAATCAGCCAGGTGTGGTGGCACACACCTGTAATCCCAGCTACTTGGGAGGTTAAGGCAGGAAAATCACTTGAACCTGGGAGACAGAGGTTGCAGTGAACCGAGATTGTGCCACTGTACTCCAGCCTGGGCAATAGAGCAAGACTCGATCTCAAAAAAGGAAAAAAAAAAAGATGTAATTAACATGAAGTGGGTTCATTGGGGTGGGCCCTAATCCGCTATGACTAGAGTCCTTATAAGGAGAGACAGCAAGGACACAGGGAGGCACAAGAGAAGACCTTGTGAGCCCAGAAATAGAAGACAGCTGTTTACAAACCAGGGAGAGAGGCCTCAGAGAAACCAGCCCAGCCAGGAGCTTGATGTCAAATTTCTTGCCTCCAGAACTGTGAGAAACTAAATTTCTGTTGTTAAAGCCCTTCAGTCTGTGATACCATGTTATGGGAGGTCTAGCAAACTGTTGCAGCCTCTTCAGACACACATAGAATGTACCCTGCAGCCCAGTGGGGCTCTGTGTTCTGTGAGACAACACATTGCAGACAAACAAATAGAGTGGCTTCACCCACTTTTTTGTACAAGTCCCCTTTTGTAAAAAAAAAAAAACAAACAAACAAACAAAAAAAACTCCCTAGTAAGACTGATGATTTGTTTTTGTTCTTTGAGACAGAGTCTCACTCTGTCGCCCAGGCTGGAGTGCACTGGCATGATCTTGGCTCACTGCAACCTCTACCTCCTGGGTTCAAGTGATTCTCCTGCCTCAGCTTCCCAAGTAGCTGAGGCTACAGGTGGACACCACCACACCCAGCTAATTTTTGTATTTTTTGTAGAGGCAGGGTTTCACCACGTTAGCCAGGCTAGTCTCGAACTCATGACCTCAAGTAATCTGCCAGCCTCGGCCTCCCAAGTGCTGAGATTACAGGCATGAGCCACTCTCCCTGGCCAAGACTGATGGCTTTTGCTTTTTTTGAGACAGAGTCTGCCTCTGTCTCCCAGGCTGGAGGGCAGTTGCACGATCTCAGCTCACTGCAAACTTCATCTCCTGATTCAAAAGATTCTCCTGCCTCAGCCTGCTGAGTAGCTGGGATTAAAGGCACCCGCCACTACACCCAGCTAATTTTTGCATTTTTAGTAGAGACGGGGTTTCACCATGTTGGCCAGGCTGCTCTCGAACTCCTGACCTCAGGCAATCTGCCCGCTGGGATTACAGGCGTGAGCCACCACACCCAGCCTAGACTGATGGTTTTTAAGGTTTGGAGAAGGTCTACCGAGGCAATGGAACTTTGTGCTACATGAGAGAATTGCGGTAGATAGATAAAACAATAAAAACAGTGACAACATGCAAAAGATACTCATGGCCTAGTGTAAAGCGCCATATGGTCAGGCTCTTGTGAGGACTCTCTTCTGAGTTGCAGAATTCAGACTTCAGGTATTATCCTCACCTGGCAGAGAGGGAGGAAAGAGCTCTGTGAGGTTCCTTTTATAAAGCCAGTAATGCCAATCATGAGGGTTCTATCATCAGGATAATTTCCTCTCACCTCCTAATACCGTTACATTGAGGATCAGAACATCAACATTTTTTGCAAATTTCAGATTCAAGGGTGCACGTGCAGGTTTGTTACATGGGTATATCGCATGATGCTGAGGTTTGGGCTTCTAATAATCCTGTTGCCCAAATAGTGAAGATAGTACCTAACAGATAGTTTTTCAACCCTTGCTCCCCTCCTTTCCTCTCTCTTTTCAGGATCTCCAGTGTCCATTGTTCCCATCTTTGTGTCCATGTATACCAAATGTTTAGCTCCTACTTATAAATAAGAACATGCAGTATTCAGTTTTTTTGTTCCTGTGTTAATTCACTTAGGATAGTGGCCTCCAGCTGCATCCATGTTGCCGCAAAAGACATGATTTTATTCTTTTATGGCTTCATAGTATTCCATGGTGTATATATATGACTTTTTCTTTAGCCAGTCCACAACTGATGGGCACCTAGGTTGATTACATGTCTTTGCTATTGTGAATAGTGCTGTGATAAACATACGAGTACATGTTTCTTCCTGGTAGAGTTATTTATTTTCCTCTGAGTATATACCCAGTAATGGGATTGCTAGGTCGAGTGGTAATTCTATTTTTAGGTCTTTAAGAAATCTCCAAACTGCTTTCCACAGAGGCTAAACTAATTTACACTCCCATCAGTAGTGTATAAGCATTCCCTTTTCTTCACAAACTCATGAACATCTGTTATTTTTTGACTTAAAAAAAAGTTTATTTTAGGTTCCGGGGTACCAGTTAAGGTTAAATAGGTAAACTGTGTCATGGGGGTTTGTTGTACGATTATTTCATTACCCAGGTATTAAGCCAGTACCCAACAGTTATCTTTTCTTCTCCTCTCCCATCTCCCACCCTCCACCCTCCAAGTAGACCCCTGTTTCTATTATTCCCTTCTTTGTGTTCATGAGTTCTCATCATTTAGCTCCTACTTTTACAAGTGAGTACATGTGGTGTTTGGTTTTCTGCTCCTGTGTTAGTTTGCTAAGGATAATAGCTTCCAGTTCCATCCATGTTCCCTCAAAATATATGATCTTGCTCTTTTTTATAGCTGCATAGTATTCCATGGTGTATATGTACCACCTTTTCTTCATCCAATCTGTCATTGATGGGCATTTATGTTGATTCCATGTCTTTGCTATTGTTAATAGTGCTGCAGTGAACATTTGCATGCCTGTGTCTTTGTGGCAGAATTTCTATTCATCTGGGTATATACCCAGTAATGGGATTGCTGATTCAAATGGTATAATAAGTCTGCTTTTAGCTTCTTGAGGAAACTCCACACTGTTTTCCACAATGGTTGAACTAATTTACACTCCCATCAACAGTGTATAAGTGTTCCCTTTTCTCTGCAACCTCGCCATCATTTGTTATTTCTTGATTTTTAATAATAGCTGTTTTGACTGATGCGAAGGTGTATTTCATTGCGGTTTTGATTTGCTTTTCTCTGATGATCAGTGATAGTGACCATTTTCTCATGTGTTTGCTGGCGGCTTGTATGTCTTCTTTTGAGAAGTGTCTGCTTATGTCCTTCACCCACTTCTTAATGAAGTTATTATTCTTTGGATTTAAGTTCTTTATAGATTCTGAATATTAGTGATTTGTCAGATGTATAGTTTGTGAACATTTTCTCCCATTCTGTAGGTTGTCTGTTTACTCTGTTGATAGTTTCTTTTGCTGTGCAAAATCTCCTTGGTTTAATTATATCTCAATTGTCAACTTTTGTCTTTTTGCATTTTCTTTTGAGGACTTAGTCATAAATTCTTTGCCTAGGCCAATGTCTAGAAGAGTATTTCCTAGGTTTTCTTTTAGAATTGTTGTAGTTTGAGGTCTTACATTCAAGTCTTTAATCCATCTTGAGTTTAATTTTTTATATGAGAGGCAGGGGTCCAATTTCATTGTTCTGCATATGGTTAGCCAGTTTTCCCAGCAGTATTTAATAGGGTGTCCTTTGCCCATTGTTTATGTTTGTGGACTCTGAGGAAGATTAACTGCTTGTAGATGTGTGGCTTTGTTTCAGGGGTCTCTGTTCTGTTAGTCTATGTGTCTGTTTTTGTACCAGTATCACGATGTCTTGGTAACTGTAGCCTTGCAGTACAGTTTGAAGTTGGATAATGTGATGCCTCCAGCTTTATTCTTTTTGCTCACGATTGCTTTGGCTATTTGTCACTTTTCTGATTCCATATGAATTTTAGAATAGTTTTTTTTCTAATTCTGTAAAAAATGGTGTTGCCAATTTAGTAGAAATAGCATTGAATATGTAAATTGCTTTTGGCAGTATGGACATTTTAACAATATTGATTCTTCCAACCCATGAGCATGGAATGCTTCATTATCCATTTGCTTGTTTCATCTCCATTTTTTTCTCATCAGTGTTTTGTAGTTCTCCTTGTGGAGGTACTTCACCTCCTTGGATAAATGTATTCCTAAGAATTTTATTAGGTTGGTGTAAAATTAATTGCCATTTCTGCCATTGAAAGTAGTGGCAAAAACCTCAATTACTTTTACACAAACAGAATATTTTTTGTGTGGCCATTATGAATGAGATTGAGCTCTGGATTTGGTTCTCAGCTTGAGCACTGTTGGTGTAGAAATGCAAATTATTTTTGTACATTAGTTTTGTATCAAGAAACTTTACTAAAGTTATTTATCAGGTCTAGGAATCTTTGAGCAGAATCTTTAGGGTTTTCTAGGTATAAGATCATGTTATCAGCTAACAGAGATTTGACTTCTCCTTTTCCAGTGTGGATGCCTTTTATTTATTTCATTTGACTGATTGCTATGTTGAATAGGAATGGCAAGAATGGAGAATTTGCTGCTCTTGGAGTCTTGGCTGGAGATGGGTGTATTATAATAGTTTGCTAAGTCTGCCATAACAAAGTACCACAACCTGGATGGCTTGAACAAAAGAAATTGTATTGTCTCACAGTTCTGGAGGGTACAAGACTAAGATCAATGTATAGGAAGGGTTGCTTCTTTCTGCTTCATGCCTCTACCCTAACTTCTGGTAGTTTGCTATCTTTGGCATTATTTAGCCTGCAAATAAATCACCCAATCTCTGCCTTGAAATTCACATGGCATTCTCTCTATGTGTTTGTCTGTCTCCGAATTTTCCCTTTTTATAAGGACACTAGTCATATTGAATTAGGAGCCCACCTTACGCAAGCATGACTTCATCTTAACAGTTATTATATGTAAAATTGTGTCTGCAATGACCCTGTTTCCAAAGAAAGTCACATTCTAAAGTACTCAGGATTAGGACTTCTACATGTGCATTTTGGGGAGACACAATTCAATCCATAACTCTTTGGAGCTTTGCTTCCAATATGGCATTGATCTCCCCGAACCCATCTGAGGCACCTTCTCTCTGGGACTTGGAGCCTGAATCCACTAACGTCAAGAAGTAGGCCTGGTTGTAATGGTTGATGCTGCTCTGCAGATGTTTTATAGGTGTGGAGGCAATGGAGTTGAGAGTCAAGAGGCTCAGTTGGGAGGATACAGTGGTGGCTGTACCTGCACATTTTCATTTGAACTGGCCTGGGCTCTTGGTGACCTACATTCCCTTGGTTCCTTCCTGTTCTCCTAGCTTTATTTGCCAATATGTCTCCAAATGTGTGCTATCTGATGACTTTCCTGTAAGTCCTGTTTGGCTCCCCTTAGTCAGAGTTGGTTTCTGTTGTTTATAACCAATACACTTGTCAAGTACACATGCTTCATCATATTTTACATGTTTGGGGCTCAACCTATACCTAAAAATAAGACAATAATTCAATGGCATAAGTTCAGAAAATTTTGTAAGTAAACCGTTAATTTTGAACAGCCATTACAATGAGGAGATTCCATTGTACTGGAACGGATTGTGCTCCTAATTGAGTTTAAGGTAAACTAACTTCTGCCTGAGCAAATGAGTCCTATGGTATGATTAAGTAATATACATCATGAATTCAATTCCAACTGACTTCATTTTCAGATGAAGTTATTGAATGAATGTGGCTTATTTTCATTTTTTTCTTTTTCTTAGAATTTAAAAATACTTTCAATTCCCTGTGCTTAAAAAATTTGTCTCATCAATCATTAATTTAAATTTCAAATCTTATATTAAAATGCACAGGCTCTTGACAAATAGCCAATATTTTATTTTATTTTAAACAATTTTTTATTATAAAAAAGGCAGTTTTATTTAGAAAGACCAACATGATTGTAAGCTAACTTGAACAGCTAGATTTTACAAGAAAATATTTGACAATGGCTCACATCTGTAATCCTAGCACTTTGAGAAGCTGAGGCAGGTGGATCACCTGACATCAGGAGCTCAAGACTAGCCTGGCCAACATGGTGAAATCCATCCCTACCAAAAATACAAAAATTAGCTGGGCATGGTGGCAGGCACCTATAATCACAGCTACTCGGGACGCTGAGACAGGAGAATCACTTGAACCTGGGGGGCAGAAGTTGCAGTGAGCCAAGATCATACCACTGCACTCCAGCTTGGGTGAAAGAGTGACACTCCATCTCAAAAAAAAAAAAAAAAAGACTTTAAAATTCTTTTTTTGGTGTCCTTGAAGACTTGGGCTCCAATTATTTGCACCTTTTTCTTGCCTTAGACCTCCAACTTCAGACTGGAATTAAGCAGAAACATGTTTCTAGTGTTTAAAATTTAAGTTTCTTCATATACAGAAAAAAAGGTTAAAGATTATGGTTGCTAAAAATTAAAAGTGGACACAAGAAATTCCTACAGTATTTCAAAATGAGGTCTTATTTTTATTTATCTATTATTTATTTTTCATAGATAACCCTAAGAAGTGTTGAGACTGGCTTACAAGAAGCATTTATAATCGTAATGCAATTATTCAAAAATTGGCTAAATTTATGTTAAAACATCTTTTTCTCCCATACAGAAAATTCACTGTTGAAGAATTATGATACTATTTCTTAGTGAGATGGATGGAAGGGAAAACATAATCTTGTTGTTTTTTTAATTATAATTTATGAGGTGAGGAATTTATAAAATGAAACAATAAGTATTATATTTTATGTCAATTTTGTGATATAAATCAGTTGTGTTTACAGATTCAAAGCCAAGCTTGAAGAAAACTCAGGAGTTAAGGGGCTGATAACCTTATAAACTGTAAAATGTGTTAACAGCAATAAAATGTGCTCCCTCAGTTCAAAGAGCATTTGATTATACTCTGCACTGTCAGGGCCACTCACATCGGAGCTCATCTTGGAATGATAAACAAGGCAGATCTGCAATGTACACCAGAAAGTGACAAGACACACCTGTCACTACAAGTTTTGAGACAAAACAATAGGCACTTGCAGACAGCTGTGTCATCCATGAGTGAGTCTGCTTGAAGGCTTGGCAACAGGCAAGAAGAAACACTTCCAGTCAGTTCAGACTACTGAGACTGGAGGCCCATGTGCTAAAGGACCTTACATGTCATGGCCAGAGTTTGAACCTTGCTAAAGGCCAGAAGGAACCAAAGAACAACTGTGTGAAAAGGTGAATATCATTCGCATAATTGTTTCAGATCAGTTATGGGACGTGGAGATGTGTTGGAGAAAGTCAAACATATTAGGAAAGCATGGTAAGAAGCAATATTGTAATTCTAACAAGAAATGATGAACCAAGTAGCCAGAAGAACAGGGAGAAAAGGCTACATCTGAGAAATAGGACAGAGGTAAATCTAGAGGACCTCCTGTTTGGTTTAAAGATGGAGAACAGAGGAAAGAGTTTGGGGATTAGGGGAATATTGATGATGGTGATGGGATTCAGGATCACACTACCCTAAAATACAGCACCTTGGTATTTGAGAAAATAGCAGAAGCAGGAATATCACTTTCACTTCCCCCTCACCTTCTCCCCTGAAGCTGGTCATAAAACCTAGGAAGGTCATTGTCTGACATTTTCCCACCCTTCTCCCCTGAAGCAGGTCATAAGACCCACATTCAAGAAATGCCCTCTCTAGAAGCAGAGGAAAGGAACATCCTTATCTCTGAAGGCACAGGGACACAGAAAAGAATTGGAACTAACAGGTCTTGCTAAGTTCCCCCCAGTTTGTTACCATTAGATCATACTTTTTGATCCAAACATTCTTCCCAGCTATCCACTTCTTCATCAAACCTAGCATTAAAAAGCCACTGGTTGGCTGGGCGTGGTGGCTCACACCTGTAATCCCAGCACTTTTGGAGGCCAAGGCAGGCAGACCATTTGAGGCCAGGAGATTGCAACCAGCCTGGTCAACATGGAGAAACCCTGTCTCTACTAAAAATACAAAGATTAGCAAGCAAGGTGTGGTGGTGCACGCCTGTAATCCCAGCTACTCAGGTGGCTGAGGCACAACAATCGCGTGAACCTGGGAGGTAGAGGTTACAGTGAGCCAGGATCACACCACTCACTCCAGCCTGGGTGACAGAGTGAGACTCTGTCTCAAAAAAAAAAGCCACTGGTTTACCTGTGTCTTTGAGTCTTCATTTCTTTATGAGGTTTCTCATTTCATATAAAATATATATTAAGTGAATTTGTATGCTTTTCTCTTTTGTTATAAAGGCCTTTTGTTATAAAGGCCTCAGCCATAAACCTGTCAAACCTGTCAAGCGGTGAGGAAAAGATTTCTCCAATCCCTACAGTGGTGCAATTCATCACATAAAAGAGATCATCAATAAGATTATCATCAACGGATGAATGGATAAAGAAAATGTGGCATATATACACACTGGAATACTATGCAGCCTTTAAAAAGAAGAAAAACCTATCATTTGTGACAACATAAATAGACCTGAAGGACATTGTGCTAAAGGACCTTACATGTCATGGCCAGAGTTTGAACTTTGCTAAAGGCCAGGAGAAATCATTGAACAACTGTGTGAAAAGGTGAATATCATTTGCATAACTGTTTCAGATCAGTTATGGGATGTGGAGAATGTATTGGAGAAAGTCAAACACATATTAGGAAAACATGGTAAGAAGCAATATTGTAATTCTAACAAGAAATGATGAACTAAGTAGCAATAAGAATAGAGAGAAAAGGATACATTTGAGAAACAGGACAGAGGTAAATCTAGAGGACCTCCTGTTTGGTTTGAATATGGAGAACAGAGGAAAGAGTTTGGGGATTAGGGGAATAAGCCTGACAAGAAGGACAAATACTGTATAATCTCACGCATATGTGGAATCCAAAAACATTGATCTCATAGAAACAGAGTAGAAAGGTAGTTACCAGAGGCTGGGGTTGGGAGAAGGATGGGTAAAGGAAAGATGTTGATCACAAAGTACAAAGTGTCAGTTAGACTGCAGGAGTAAGTTTTAGTGATCTATTATACTGCATGGTAACCACAGTTAATAATAATGAATTGTATATTTCAAAACTACTAAAATAATACATTGTTAATATTCCTACCACAAAAGAAAAGTTGGTGAGGTAATAGATATGATAATTTACTTGATTTAATCTTTTGTAACAATGTATACATAGATTAAAAAACACATTGTACCTTATATTTAAATTAAATATATTTATATTTAATATTTATATTCACAACCATTATTTGTGAATTAAATAAATAAGATTTCTTTTTAAAAAAGATTAGAAATAGATTTGTCAGCAGAAGACTTTCAGATATGAAGTCAGTGGGATAGAATGTTTAAAGTGATGAAAGAAAAAACTGTCAAATAGAAAACCTATATCTGCAAAACCGTACTTCAAAAATGAAGAAGAAATTTAGACATTCCCAAACAGAAGCTGAGGGTGTTCATTACCGATAGACCTGCTCTGTAAGAAAGGAGTTGAAATAAATGGATGACAGACAGCAACTCAATGACAAATGAAGATATTAAGATCTCTAGTAAAGATAAATCTATAGGCAAACATAAAAGCCAGTAATTTTGGCTTGTAATTTTGGTTTGTAACTCCACTTTTTATTTTCTACAGGATTAAAAGCCAAGTGCATAAAAATTATTTTAAATCTATGTTATTGGGCACACAATGTATACAAAGATGTAATTTTTGACACCAATAACAAAGGAGAGGACAGAGCTATACAGCAGCAGTTTTTGTAGGCAATTTAAATTAACTAGGTATCAATTCAAATTAGGCTGTTAAAAACTATAGAATATTATATTTAATCCCCATAGTAACTATAAAGGATTCACAGAATATACAAAAGAGGAAATAAAAAAGAAATCAGGCCAGGTGCGGTGGCTCACGCCTATAATCCCAGCACTTTGGGAGGCCAAGGCAGGTGAATCACCTGAGGTCAGGAGTCCAAGACCAGCCTGACCAACATGGCAAAACTCCACCTCTACCAAAAACACAAAAAATTAGCTGGGCATGGTGGCATGCACCTGTAATCCCAGCTACTCGGGAGGCTGAGACAGGAGAATTGCTTGAATCCAGGAGGCGGAGTTTGCAGTGAGCCGAAATGGTGCCACTGCACTCCAGCCTGGGTGACAGAGCAAGACTCCGTCTCAAAATTAAAAAAAACAAAAATCGGAACTTATTACACAAAAATCAACTGAAAACAAAAGAAGGCAGTAATTTTAAAAACAGCAGGCAAGCCAGGTGTGGTGTCTCACGCCTGTAATCCTAGCACTTTGGGAGGCCAAGGTGGGTGGATCATGAGGTCAGGAGATTGAGACAATCCTGGCTAACACAGTGAAACCCCATCTCTACTAAAAACACAAAAAAATTAGCCAGGCGTGGTGGTGAGCACCTGTAGTCCTAGCTACTCAGGAGGCTGAGGCAGGAGAATGGCATGAACCCAGGAAGCGGAGCTTGCCGTGAGCCGAGATCGCGCCACTGCACTCCGGCCTGGCTGACAGAGTGAGACTGCACCTCAAAAAAAAAAAAAAAAAAAAAAAAAAAAATATATATATATATATATATATATATATATATATATATATGATTCAACTATATGCTGTCTACAAGAGACTCACTTGAGGTCTAAAGACACAAACAGGTTGAAAGCACAGAAAAAGATATTCATGTAAATATTTTCATGTAACCAAAAGAGAGCAGGAATGGCTATATTAATATCAGAAAAATTAGAACTTACCTAAAAAAAATGGTTGCAAGGGTCAAAGAAGAATATATTAATAAAGGAATCAATTAATCAAGAAGATATCATTTTAAACATATATGCAACAAACTACAGAACCCCCAAATTTGTGAAAGAAATATTTACAGAACTGAAGCGAGAAATAAACAGAGTTCTACAATAATAGTTGGAGACTTCAATAGCTTACTTTAAGCAATAGATAAAATGATAAGACAGTTCAATAAAAATATAGGGGACTTGAACAACACTTAGAAAATACCTTGAAACAAACGAAAACACAACATATCAAAACTTATGGGATGCAATAAAAGCAGTGTTAAAGGGAAACTTATAGCTATAAATTTATGCATTAAAGTAAAAGAAAGATTGTAAATTAATAACCTAATTTGTTAGGTCCATAAACCAACTGGACCTAACAGACTTATACAGTAATTTATAACAGCAGATTAGATCTTTTTCTCAAATGCCCCTGGAACATTCTCCAGGATGGATCATATATAAAAAGACAAAACAAGTCCATACATTCTAAAAGACTGAAGTCATATAAATAAAATGTAAAAGATAAAAATCATAAAACTAGAAACCAATAACAGAAAGAAAATTGAAAAGTTCACAAATATTTGGAAATTAAACAACACACTTTTAAACAACCAAGTGGTCAAAAAAGAAATCAAAAGGGAAATTAGAAAATACCTTGAAACAAATGAAAACACAACATATCAAAACTTATGAAATGCAATGAAAGCAGTGATAAAAGGGAAATTTACAGCTATAAAATCATGCATTAAAGTAGAAGATAGATCTCAAAGTAGCAACCTAATTTTCACCATAAGGGTCTAGAAAAGGAAGAGCAAACTTTACTCAAAGCTAGCAAAAGGAAGGAAGAATAAAGAATAGAGTGAGATAAATAAAACAGAGGTTAAAAAACAGTAGAGGCTGGGCACGGTTGCTCATACCCGTAATCCCAGCACTTTGGGAAGACAAGGGGGGTGGATCACCTGAGGTCTGGATTTCAAGACCAGCCTGGCCAACATGGCGAAACCCCATCTCTACTAAAAGTACAAAAGTTAGCCTGGCATGGTGGCAGGTGCCTGTAATCCCAGCTACTCAGGAGACTGAGGCAGGAGAATCGCCTGAACCCGGGAGGCGGAGGTTTCAGTGAGCTGAGTTCACGCCACTGCACTCCAGCCTGGGCAACAAGACTGAGACTCCGTCTCAAAAAAAAAAAAAAAAAAAATAGAGATAATCAATGAAACCACAAGGTGGTTCTTTGAAAAGATCAACAAAATTAACATATGTTAGCTAGATTGACTGATAAACAAGAGGACTCAAATTACTAAAATGGGAAATAAAAGTGATATAAAGTTTACTATCAATCTTACAGAAATAAAGATTACAAGATAATACTAGTAACAATTGTATGACAACAAATTAGTTAACCATATAAATGGACAAATTCCTAGAAGTATGCAATCTACCAAAATCAAATAAAGAAGAAATAGAAAGTATGAATTGACCTATAACTAGTAAAGAAATTGATTCAGTACTAAAAACCTCTCAACAAGGGAAAGTCTTGGGCCAGATGGCTTCACCTATGAATTCTGCCTAATATTTGAAGAAGAATTAAAATCAATTCTTCTCAAACTTCTTAAAAAATTGAAGACAAAGGTCAGTTCCTAATTCATTCTCTAAAGCCAGCTTTACTCTCATACTAAAGGCAGAGAAAGATAATACTGGAAAATAAAGCTACAGATCAATATCTTAATGAATATTAATGTAAAAATCCTCAACAAAATACTAGCAAACAGAATACAGAAGCATATTAAAAGAATTATACACCATGATCAAGTGAGATTTATTCCAGGAATGCATGGAAAACAATCAATGTAATACACCACATTAACAGAATGAGGGGGAAATAAGCCCAGCCATCTCAATTGATGCAGAAAAGCATTTGACAACATTCAACACCCTTTCATGATTAAAATACTCAATAAACCAGAAATTAAAGGTAACTTCCCTAACATGATAAAGGTCATATGTTAAAAACTCACAGCTCACATCATACTCAATGGTGAAAGCTTTTCTGCTACATGAGGAAAAGACAAGAACACTTGCTTTTGCTGTTTATATTACACATAATATTGGAAGTTTTAGGCAGAGCAATTGGGGAAAAAGGAAATAAAAGACATCAAAATTGGAAAGGAAGAAGAAAAATTATCTTTGTGGCTGACATGATTTTATATGTTAAAAAACTCTAAAGACTCCACAAAATATTCATTAGAGCTAACAAATTCAGCAAAGATGAGAGGTACAAATTCAACACGCCAAAAATCAGTTGTATTTCTGTATACAACAATAAGCAATATTAAAGGAAATTAGAAAACAATTCCATTTACAATAACACCAAAATAAATAAAATACTTAGGAATAAATTTAACCAATTGCTTCTGGCCGGGCGCGGTGGCTCACGCCTGTAATCCCAGCACTTTGGGAGGCAGAGGTGGGTGGATCATCAGGTCAGGAGATCGAGGCCATCCTGGCTAACACAGTGAAATCCCGCCTCTACTAAAAATACAAAAAATTAGCCGGGCGTGGTGGCGGGCGCCTGTAGTCCCAGCTACTCGGGAGGCTGAGGCAGGAGAATGACGTGAACCCGGGAGGCGGAGCTTGCAGTGAGCAGAGATCGCGCCACTGCACTCCAGCCTGGGCGACAGAGCGAGACTCCGTCTCAAAAAAAAAATAAAATAAAATAAAAAATAAGAAATCAAAAGACCTGTACAATGAAAATTACAAAACACTATTGAAAGGAATTAAACAAATTAATGAATTGAAAGACGTTTCCTGTTCATGAATTGGAAAACTTCATATTGTTAAGATGACAATACTACCCAAAGCAATCTACAGATTCAACGCAATTCCTATCAAAAAGCCAATGTTATTTTGCAGAAATAGAAAAACGCATCCTAAAATTCAGAGTCTCAAGAGACCTCTAAAAGATAAACATAAGCTTGAAAAAGAGGAACAAATTGGAGTACTCTCAATTCCTGATTTCAAAACTTATTACAGAGCTATAGTGATCAAAAGAATGTTGTCCAGGCACAAGGGCAGACATACAGACTGATGAAATACAGCCAAGAAATAAACCTTCACGTATATAGTCAATTGATTGTCAACAATGGTGCAAAGCCCGTTCAATTGGGTAAGGTTCATCTTTGGAATAAATGATGCTGCAAAAAAATGAATATCCAAATGCAAAAGAATGAAGTTGGACTTTTACCTTACAACACATACAAAAACTAATCTAAAATAGATCCAAGTCCTGGCTGGGCTCGGTGGCTCACGCCTGTAATCCCAGCACTTTGGGAGGCCGAGGCGGGCAGATCATGAGGTCAGGAGATCAAGACCATCCTTGCTAACACAGTGAAAACCCGTCTCTACAAAAAAATACAAAAAAATTAGCCTGCGCAGTGGCGGGCGCCTGTAGTCCCAGCTACTCAGGAGGCTGAGGCAGGAGAATGGCGTGAACTGGAAGGCGGAGCTTGCAGTGAGCCGAGATCGTACCACTACAATCCAGCCTGGGAGAAAGAGCGAGACTCCGTCTCAATAAATAAATAAATAAAATAGATCAAAGTCCTAAATGTAAGAGCTAAAACTATGAAACTTTGAGAAGATTAACATTCAGAACACACGAAGTACTCATAAAACTGAACAAACACAACCAAAACCAAATAACTCAATTCAAAAATGGACAAAAGACTTATACAGGTATTTATCCAAAGAAGATACACAAATGTTAAGTAAGCACATGAAAAGATGTTCAACATCACTAGCTGTTAGGGAGATGATAACCAAAACCACAATGAAGTACCATTTCAGATCCGTAAGGATGACTATTATCCTAAAAAAAAATAAATAACAATGACAAGTACTTGCAAGGATGTGGTGACACTGGAACACTTGTGTGTTGCTGTTGAGAACAGAAAGTGGTGCAGCTGCTGTGGAAAACTGTTTAGCAGTTCCTTAAAAGTTACACATAGAGTTAAGTTAAACTGTATGATCCAGCACTTCCACTTCTAGGTATACACCCAAAAGAACTGAAAGCAATGGCTCAAACGGATGCTTGTACAGCAATGTTCATAGCAATGTTACCTGCAGTACCAAAAAGTGGAAATCCAAATGTCCATCAACAGGCGAGTGGACAACAAAATGTGATCTATACATAAACGGAAAAGTATTCAGTCTTTAAAATGAGTGAAATTCAGATACATGCTACACTATAAATGAACCTTGAAAACAGCGTATTAAGTGAAGTAAGTCAGACACAATAGGACCCATACTGCATGACTCCCATTATATAGATTACCTAGAATAGGAAAATTCATAGAGACACAAAGTAGAATGGTGGTTACCAGGAGCTGGGAGGAGGGGGCTATGGGCAGTTTTTCTTAATGGGTACAGAGTTTCTGTTTCAAATGATGGACAAGTTCTGGAAATGAATAGTGGTGATGGCTGCACAACACTGTAGATGTAGTTAATGCTACTGAATTGTACACTTAAAAATTATTAAAGTGGTAAATGTTACGTATATTTTACCACAATAAAAAGAAAGAAAATATTTTAAAAAGTGGTGTTTATTATCTGCACCAAAATGCTGATTGACATTTTAGACAACCAGTTGATTTTCCTTTTTCATTTCTTCTTCCTCCTCTTTTTCTTTTTTCTCCACCTCCTAGCTCACTCCCCCTGTCCCCCATCTCCTTTCCCTCCTCTCTTCCCCTTCCTCCTCCTCTCCTTCTCCTACTCCTCTTCTTCTTCTCCTCCCCCTCCTCCTCTCCATCTTCTCCTCCCCTTCCTTCTCCTCCTCCTCCTCCTTTTCATAGAGATAGGGGTCTCCCTATGCTGCCCAGGCTGGTCTTGAACCCCTGGTCTCAAGCAATTCTCCTGCCTCAGCCTCCCAAAGTGGTAGGATTACAGGTGTGAGTCACCATACCCAGCCTTGATTTTCTTAATCCAATCAAATACACCATCATTTATTTTATTTAAAAAAACTATCAATAGCCCGAATAGTCAGTGATATAGTTTAGATATTTGTTCCCTCCAAACCTCATGTTGAAATTTGATCCCCAAATTTAGGGTTGGGATCTGGTGGGAGCTGTTGCCTCATGGAGGCAGATCACTCGTGAAAGGCTTGAGGCTATCCTCACCATCTTCAGTGATTTCTTGTTCTATTAGCTACTGCAAGAACTGATTGTTAAAAAGAGACTAGCGCTTTCCTATTCTATTTCTCCCTCTCTTGCCATATGATATTCTGGCCTCCGTTTGCCTTCCACCATGAGTAGAAGCAGTTTGAAGCCCTGACAAGAAGCAGATGCTGGTGCCACACTTCTCATACAGCCTACAGAATTATGAGCCAAATAAATCTGTTTTCTTTATACGTTATCCAGCTCCAGGTATTCCTTTATATAAAGCAACACAAAAGAGACTAAGCAAGTCAGTTTATTCAAAATAATTGACCCAGTATTTCTGTGTACACAAAGTCTGCATGTGGCAAAAAATGCCACCAAGATCCAGGGACAAATATCTTCCAATAAGATGACTATCAATGGCCTATACCACTGCAGGACTTCAATCTCAAATAGGTCATATCCTACATTTTGCAGTTTCTACAGAACCACTGAAAAATCACAGCTCAAGTGTCAGGAGCTCCAAATGCCAACTCTTTGTGTGATACGATATGGAGACACTCCTTTCAAGCCATTCCCTCCCGCCAGCCTCATCTCATGGCCAAAATTTTGTACCTTTTGAGGTGTTCTGAGTCCATGTACCTTTTGGGCTCCATTAGAGCTGCATGTTTCCTAAGTGTATGTGATTGTTTTATTAAGGCATGAGTATCAACTATCACATGGCAGCAAGCAGGTGCTTAAGGACTCAGGCAAGTGCGATATGTTTCCCAGAGGTAGAAACATGGCGAAACCAAGAAGTCCCATGGGAGAGCCCTGCTGGGAAAGGCATCAGCTAGAGGCAACATGAGAAAATACCTATGACAAACTTTGCCTTAAACAAACAAACAAAAAAATCAAAATTCAAGTGCTGGTTCTACCTCTTATTAGCTTTATGAAAATGAGCACCATGGCCGGGCACAATGGCTCACACCTATAATCCCAGCACTTTGGGAAGCCAAGGTGGGTGGATCATCTGAGATCAGGAGTTCGTGAACAGCCTGGCCAACAGGGTGAAACCCCGTCTCTAGTAAAAATACAAAACTATTAGCTGGGTGTCATGGCGGACACCTGTAATCCCAGCTGCTCGAGAGGCTGAGGCATGAGAATCGCTTGAACCCGGGAGGTGGAGGGTGCAGTGAGCCAAGATCACACCACTGCACTCCAGCCTGGGTGGCAGAGCCAAACTCTGCCTCAAAAAAAAAAAAAAAAAAAAAGAAAAAAGAAAAAGAAAAGAAAAAATTAGCAATGTCTTCAACTTTGAGATGAAAATAACCTTAGAGGTCTCAGTTCAACCTCAGATTCACTGTAGATGTACCCTTTTTCAGCATTCCTGGTGGGAATGAATTAATTCTCAAACAAACAGTGCCACACAGTCTCCCAGTGGCTGAGAGTTCAACAGTGGACAAAACAAAGTTCCTGCTCTCATAGAGTGTACAGTCTACTAGAGGAGAAAATAAAAACTAGCCAATAAATACTTAACATATCAGAGAGTGATAAGTATAGAGTGGAAAATGTGATAAATGATGGAGAATGATGGTGCTAAGCTGAGCAGAGACAGGAAGTCACAGTGAGCCACACAGATGAGCTGAGACAGTTATTAAGACAGTTACTTGCTAGCTGAAGCTAGTACAGTCTTAAATTGTTCACATGGATTAACTTTTTTTTTGAGACAGAGTCTTGCTCTGTCACCCAGGCTGGAGTACAGTGGTGCAATCTCAGCTCACTGCAACCTCTGCCTCCCAGGTCCAAGCAATTCTCCTGCCTCAGCCTCCTGAGTAGCTGGGATTACTGGCACACACCACTACACCTGGCTAATTTTTGAATTTTTAGTAGAGACAGGGTTTTGCCATGTTGGCCAGGCTGGTCTCAAACTCCTGACCTCAGATGATCCACCCGCCTCGGCCTCTCCAAGTGTTGGGATTACAGGCATGAGCCACCAGGCCTGGCCAACTTCTTTAATTGTGTTTACTCACCATCCAATTCTCTGAAGGTGGATCATTTCAGGTAGAGGGAACCTGAGTTGAGCCAAAGACCCTGCAGTGAGGAGACAGCTTGATGTGTCTGAGGAATGGCCATGGAGCAAAAGAGGGAAGATTTATGGAGCTAGGGCCAGAGAGGTGGCAGAGCCAGATCCCACAGTGCCCTGAGGGCCATTGTTGGACTCTGGAGTCCTCTGAGTGAAAATGATGCATTTGGAGGGTTGCAAGCAGAAAAGGCACATGAATTTTCCAAGGTTTTGGCAAGACCCCTCTGGTTGTTGGAGGGAGAATGATACTTGAGATGAGCGTATTTATTTTCTATTGCTGCTATCTAACAAATGACCAAAGAGGTAGTGGCTTAAAACAATACAAATCATTACCTGACAGTTCTAAAAGTTAAAATTTTGACATGGATCTCACTGCACTAAAGTTAGGGCGTAGGCAGGGGCACATTCTTTTCTGAGTGCTCTACAGGGGAATCCACTTCCTTTCCTCTGCTAGCTCTCAAGAGCCACCTGCATGCCTGGCTCCCGTGCCCTTCCTCCATCTGCAGATACAACAATGGTGGGTGAAGTCCTGACCTCTCATCATTCTGACCCTCTCTTCTGCCTCCCTCTTCCACTTTTAAGGACCTATGTGATTATACTGGAGCCTGCCAAATCATCCAGAATAACATACCCATCTCAAGGCCTTTAACTCAATCACTTCTGCAAATTCCCTTTGCCATGTAAGATAACATACTCACAAGTTCCAGGGATTGTAAGCTATTTCTTTTTTCTTTCTTTTTTTTTTTTTTTTTTTTTTGAGATGGAAACTGGCTCTGTCACCCAGGCTGGAGTGCAGTGGTGTGATCTCGGCTCACTGCAAGCTCCACCTCCCGGGTTCACGCCCATTCGCCCATTCTCCTGCCTCAGCCTCCTGAGTAGCTGGGACTATAGGCACCCGCCACCACACCAGGCTAATTTTTTGTATTTTTAGTAGAGACGGGGTTTTCACCGTGTTAGCCAGGCTGGTCTTGAACTCCTGACCTCGTGATCCGCCCGCCTCAGCCTCCCAAAGTGCTGGGATTACAGGCATGAGCCACTGCGCCCGGCCGATTGTAAGCTATTTCAAGAATGCAGGGAACTACTGCCTTGAATAACTATCTTAGACATTTATTCTTGAATAATGCACATTCTGCATCATATATATATATATATATATATATATAATATATATATATATATATATATTACTTCATTTAAATCTTACAAAAACTGTGTTCCAGGTAGGTATAACCATCATCCCTGCTTTATAGCTAATGAATTTGAAAATTAAAGCTTTTCTAAAATCATATAGTTTCTATGCAAAAGAGCTGGACTTTGCACCCAGACCTGCTTAACGTATCCCAACGCTTTTTTCTTTGCTTTTTAAGAGACAGGTTCTCGCTATGTTGCCCAGGCTGGTCTCCAACTCTTGGGCTCAAACAATCCTCCCACCTCAGCCTTCTGAGGAGCTGGGACTACGGGGGCAAGCCACTGTGCCAAGCTCCCCATGCCTTTTCTACTGCACTATGCCACTGCAATAATAGAAGCAAGAACAAAACGTAGTAATTTTTGTAAAGGTTTTTTAAATCTGTTGGGATGTAAGAGGTAGGGAGGGCAGGAAAGCCTAGAATTCTTCTGCCATGAGTTGATTTTCCAGCAAGATTGTAAAGAACAATGTAAGAGCTCTGCAAAGAAATTAACCTGACTTCCTGGCACACTACATTTCAGACAATTACATAATGTTGAAAGTCATTAACAATGGTGCTCTGCAAGCATAATTGTTATTTACATCAATGTTCTTATGGTAACAGACCACAGAATTAAAGCTTTCTGGACAGCAAGCCAGACATGAAACAAAAATGGGGAATGAATATATAAATACATATTTTCCTTTGACCTATTTCTAACAAGCTATTTATTGGTTATTTCAATAGAAAATTCCATTAAGGATTTTCTTCCCCCACAGACTTTCCACTTTTTTCTTTCTGCCTAACAAACCCTTTGACTCTAATTCACTCTTCTTTAATGCATTCAGGCTTTAGACTGTAGTGCTCCCCAAATCAGATCCAATAATGCCTCAGTCACTCATTTTCAGAGCCTTCCTAATTAGGACACTTATCTCCTCTCCACAGAAATGCACCATTAGTGCGCTTGTTTCTTTTCCCATCGAGGAGGCAACACAGGTGAGTTTGTGGGCAATCTGGCCAGAGCTCCAGCTAGATGGCTGCTGCAGAGCAAAGCAGTGTTCTTGTTTGGAGGACTAGGGAGGGGGTTTTGTGTTTCTTCTTTTGCGTGACATTGCTTATGCTGTAAGCATACAGTAAAGTTTATGAAAAAGCCCTACCTATTGCTGCTCTTCAATTTACCTATTTCTACTATAAAGAGAATTTGGGGTAAAGGGAGAACTCTAAATCTCAGGGACAGGGGTTCTGTAGTTTGAAAAATCACTATGGGCAGGGCGCGGTGGCTCACGCCTGTAATCCCAGCACTTTGGGAGGCCGAGGCAGGTGGATCACGAGGTCAGGAGATCGAGACCATCCTGGCTAACACGGTGAAACCCCATCTCTACTAAACATACAAAAAATTAGCCAGGAGTGGTGGCAGGGGCCTGTAGTCCCAGCTACTCGGGAGGCTGAGGCAGGAGAATGGTGTGAACCCTGGAGGCAGAGCTTGCAGTGAGCCGAGATCGCACCACTGCATTCCAGCCTGGGCGACAGAGCGAGACTCCATCTCAAAAAAAAAAAAAAAAATTCACTATGGATGATTTTGAGAGCCCTTCACTCCTGCTGTAAAGTAATTACCATTCTTAAAAATTAGAGGCCAACTTGACTGAATTCATGGAGATGGGTTCTTTGAGGATTTCTTTGTGGGAGCAAGGGGTCATGATGTAGCATCTCCCTGATGCTCTTATGGAAACAATTTGCAAAGTTTCCCCATCACAGCCAGAGAGGTGCACAGTGTTCCCAGAGCTATCAGAGTGACCAAGCAGAAGTCTGCAGCTCTATCACCCTGAGTGGCTTCCTTCCTTGATCATAGAAGACACCCCTGATGCTCCAGGTGGGTAGAAATATTGAAACTCACTACCTCCTCCCCAAAGTAAACTCAGTCTTGAGAAAGAGATCAGTCTTCCGAGTTGGACTTAGACCAAACTGTAAACAAATCCTTCTAAAAGGTCTCAACTTTCAGTTCTAAGAAAATAGAAAGCTACAACCTAACAGAAATCTAAGCAACAGAAAAGCTCAATTTTATGTGTCTTAAAAGAAGTCTTAAGCCCACAACTCATTGGAATACAATGGATTCGTTCTGCTCTTCTCTTCTCTTGTTCACTGGACTTGAAAGAGGAGGGAAAATGGTAATTACCTCACGGAGCCTGTGCTTTAAAGGGCAGAACTGTGTCACCTTAGGTCTGGCAGGAGCCAGTAGCAGGCTGCATCTATTAACATATTTTAGTTAAAGGAGATTCCTTCCTAGAGGGACAGCCAGTGGAAAGATGCTTTAACTTTTCATTTTTAATACATGACTGGTTTCCACAGAGACCAAGGTAAAGCTGCTACACAGATTTTTCTTGGAGCAGCCAGGTGACATCTTTATGCCTGAGGGGTACTCTTTGTGCCTCCTTTTCTGTCTACTGCCCTTGTTGCAACTCTCCCAAGGGCCAACAGTCACTTTGCTGGAAGCTGAGAATGCAGACACCACGGGAGCAGGGCCAGCTACATAATTTGTGTGACCCAGTGCAAAATGAAAATGCAGGTTCCCTGTTCAAAAAGGAGGACAAAAGTGCTGTTAAAGTTGCTAAAATGCTTTCCTTTTCCTTCCACAGTCTTTTTCTCTCTCACTTGTCATGATGCTTTTTCTTTGCAATTGAATTTTGTTGTAAGTAGAACAAAATTGAAATTTCAAATTAAACAGAAGATTTTACTATTTACCTTTATAGGGTTCATCTTTAGAATGCCAGTTGTATGTGCGAACATAAGAGCATTTAATTAAGGCAGAATCACAGAAATTACCCAATTTCTATTTTATGGCTCATACATACATAGGTATTTTGTCTTACCAGGATGGTGGTAATGCTGCACAAAGCCAACTCAGCTGTCTCTTTTCCACCTATTGATCGTGCACATATTCTACCAAAGCACTCTATCTTCAACTTACTGATGGTTGAGGAAGAACTAAAAGGAAAAGGAACAATGGGTTTCTCTACATTGCCTTTTCCTTCCATGTCCTCATTTTCAGCATAAGTGTTTGACTAACACTGGGAAATAACACAAGCAAGTAAGAACATGATAGGGGTCCCGCATCATGCTTGTTTCTTAAAACTCAATTTCCTTTCTACATTGGAAGTAAATTTTGGTCCAAACAGAAAGTGTCGCTTTTTGGGACACTGAGTCATGGACCTTCACACTGTCAGAAAAAAAGGAAAATTCGAAAGAAAAAGTTTAAACAGTGGCCCAAGATGGCTTCAGTTGGGCACATGAGTAATAAAACCTAGGCCTACAAGCTAATGCTGACCTCTCGCCTGTATAACTGAAACCAGCCCATTTTTCCATAGAACTAATATTTATGTTTTTTTTTAATACAAATAGAAATTTACCCCATCCCAGAAAGCTTGAAACTTACACACTTGTCTTATCTGAGCTCCTTTCACAAGACACTGACCATCAGGCCCTCCAGAGAGTATCAAAGAACTGAAACTTACCAGCTCACCACATCCAGACAATGAGATGCCAGACCTCACACTCATCACCATGGCCTAACCGACTACCTGCTTCCCATTGACCAGCTCCTCTTCCTTATCTCTCCCTAATTCTTGTTTCCCCTACATAGTTACATTCCTTCCTCATTCTACAAACCCCTAATTTTAGTCAATTAGAGAGACAGATCTGAGATTTATCTCCATCTCCTGGCTGATGTCACCTGCATTAAAGCCTTTCTTCCCTGGAAATATGGCCAGACACCATGGCTCATGTCTATAATCTCAGCCAACTGGGAGGCCAAGGCAGGAGGACAGCTTGAGCTCAGGATTTCAAGGCTGCAGTGAGCTACGATTGCACCACTGCACTCCAGCCTGAGTGACAGAGTGAGATCCCATTAAAAAAAAAGAAAGAAAGGAAAAGAAAAGAAAAAGAAAGACAGAGAGAAGAAAGACAGAAAGAAAGAAAGAAAGAAAGAAAGAGAAAGAAAAAGAAAGAAAGAGAGAGAAAGAAAAGAAAGAAAGAAAAAGGAAGAAAGAAAGAAAGAAAGAAAGAAAGAAAGAAAGAAAGAAAGAAAGAAAGAAAGAAGAGAAAGGGAAAGGGAGAAAGAAAGGAAAGGAAAGAAAGAAAGAAAGACAGACACAGTGTCTTTCAACCAGAGCTTGGCCGAACCCCTGGCAATCAGCAACATAATTGGAGTTTATTAAATATTTCACTGGCAGATACTGGTTGTAATCCTGTTTATCAGATGTAGAACAAAGACCAGATGATATCAATCACCCTCCACCAGACCCTAAAAGGCCTACACAGTCATTAACTTTCTCCCTACCCACTTAAACACACAGTTACCTTATTTTATGTATATAGTCACTGAACACCGATCAGAATCACAAGAACGTAACTGCTGCTCCACTATCTGCCTTTGGTGCTACACATATCCCCCTGTTAGAAAATGTCATATGTACCCTGTGCCTCATTTAACCTACTTCAGGACATAGACTCAGTCTCTGCTGAGTCTGTTGCTCTCAGGTTGAGCACATCTGTTCAAGAACAGATCTGTGATTTCTGTAAGTTCTGGCGTGTTATTCGACTTTAGGTGGAAACTATTTACCTTGTACTCACTTTGGGTCTCATGAACAGCCACGCTGCATAAGTCAACTGCAGTTCTATGCTCGCACAGTATTGCAAATGCTATATGCTCACATGGCGGTGCACAACAGTGGACATGCGTATTATGCATCTGTCCTTGGTTCATGCTCCATTGTCCCATCAGACTGCACTTACAAAACACACAATCAAAGATAAAATTGTAAGGAATTTCAAGACGGTGTCAGCAGATCATTAAACTCCACTGGTAGAGCTTTTCAGAGCACCTGGTCTTGTTTGACTAGACAGGCCCAAGCAAACAGCCCTGAGTTGGATGATCTGGGCTGTAATTTTGATTCTTCCCCTCAGTTTATAAAGTACCTATTGAAAACTCGGTTTTCTCCTCTGTACTATTAAGGCAGAACATTAGCTCCAAGGTGCCTTGATATAAAAACTATGCTTCTGGACTGATGGCCAACCCAAGCCTGAGAACTGGTTTAAATGGCTCAGTACAGAGAACCTGAGGGAGCCAATGATCCATATTCCATTTTACCAGCTGGACATTGAAGAACTTGACTCACATTTACACATTCTCTCCCACATCCAACTCCTAGTACAGCTCAGTTTGACAAACTTGCCTGACATAAGAACCCTCTGGACTATTTGTAGGATCCCAAGCCCCTTCCCCCACTCCCTATTCTCCAAGGATCACATTCAATAGCTATTCTTACCCTTGGGCAAATTTCAGAAAGCTGGTCTTCTAATTTAAAATCTCTTGCAGTAAGCAATAGAAAATCATTTAAAAGATGCCCGTTTTAACCAAAAGCTGACATCTCGTCTAACCAAGAGACTGATCATTCAGTTTGGCATTCATAGGACCCCCTCAATATGCGTGATGTGTAGGGCAAAAGAAGACAGGCTCGAGGTGGGCAAAGTCACAGTGGCAGAAGTGAGGATCACTTATTAGCAGGACAGTAAGGAGACCACCTGCCTCAGGAGGGAGTTCAAGGTGAAGAAAAACCTCAAACTGCAGTCACAGAGTACGTATCAAAGCACGCTGTCACCCAAACTAGCCTCTGGCATTAGCAGTTTAAAAGCCTGGAAAGGAAAGCTTGAATTTCAATCAAAACAAAACTCAAGTGAATTTTCTTACAGGTAAACCTGCTACACAGTCTAATTGCTCAGTTTCTTTTTCCCTCTTCTTGACTTACAGTGCAGGCAAAAGCTGCTCTGTCTAAAACTGTCAGGACGATTCAGGCAAAATTTAAGATCTTCAGTGGAGCCAAATCAGTAAAGTTGGTTTTTTAGTTCCCGCATCTAAAGACTGAGATTGGTTGACTGAATATTTCACTATGAAACCAACTGTAGAGACCTCATGTACACAC
The DNA here is from genome assembly GCF_000001405.40 of Homo sapiens. Lineage (NCBI taxonomy): Eukaryota > Metazoa > Chordata > Mammalia > Primates > Hominidae > Homo > Homo sapiens. The sequence continues at coordinate 11,817,440 of NC_000024.10, forward strand.
AGCTTAAGATTATTCTTTGCTACCATGGGTAATGCCTCCAGAATACTGAAACCTATTTCTAAGAAATCAATATCAAAAAATGAAAAGAACAGTGATGGAGTATTCCCCAACACACAGTGCCTGATCGAAGTACAGATAGACTTGGAAGTTGATCAGTGCCTGAAACAGGAACTGTGGCTACCCAGCATCCCCAGCTAATGATTCTATCTGAAGTCATGTCACAGAAACCACTGTAAGAATACTTCCTACCAACTTGGCAATAGAGATGGTGTTTGTTCCTTACATGAAAAAGAGCTATGCTGTCCAAGAGCCAAGTGTGTGTTCTGTGAGTTAAGAAATGGGTAGGTGGTAGGCCATGTGCAGTGGCTCACGCCTTTAATCCCAGCACTTTAGGAGGCCTCGGGGGGCAGATCACCTTAGGTCAGGAGTTCGAGACTAGCCTGGCCAACAAGGTGAAACCTTGTTTCTACTAAAAATACAAAAATGAGCTGAATGTAGTGTGTGGTGGCGGGTGCTTGTAATCCCAGCTACTTGGGAGGCTGAGGCAGGAGAATCACTTGAACCCAGGAGGCGGAGGTTGCAGCGAGCCAAGATGGTGCCATTGCACTCCAGCCTGGGCGACAGAGTGAGACTCCACGAGACAGGAGAATCGCATGAACCTGGGAGGCGGAGGTTGCAGTAAGCTGACATCACGGCACTGGACTCCAGCCTGGGCGACAAAAGCGAGACTCCCTCTCAAAAAAAAAAAAAGAAAAGAAAAAAGTAATGGGTGGGTGGGTCATTAAAAAAAACATGCAGAGAGAGAGGGAGAAAAAAGACTCCCTAAGCAAACTTTGTGTGTACGTGTGCATGGTGAGGATAAAACTCATGAAGATAAAATTCACCCAGTGAAATTCTAATTGTTATTATTAGCACAGCTTTACCTTTTACATAGAATGGTAACTCCTTTTGCACCTCGTGTTTTTTCCTAGAGAAGAGAAAATTAGCAGTTTTGCTGTCAGAATTACAGCTGCAGCAGTTTTGGTCATTCATGCCACAAGGTTTGACCTTCATTCACCTATGTACTGACTAAAAGCTGAAATGTATGGGAAGCAGAAACTCATAATAAAAAGAGAAGCTTATTGTTATAGCTTGGCTTTATTATATTCCCCAAAGAATGAAAGTTATTCTCTCACTAAATTTCTGCAGTTTGGTTTTAGTATTAAATATTAAATAAATATTATTAATTTACAAATACTGATTTTGGCAGAAACTTGCACAGCCTCAGACTTAGCCTACATTCAAATCTGCTGATTTTGCTCTGAGTTTGTTCTTTTGGAGAATAATGTTACATGACTGCATTTATTGTATTTCTGGGCTTCTAGTAGCAGCCTAAATCCTTAAAGTAATTAAAGTTTAAAGTGCCCTGCCAACAGCTGTAGGATGATTTCCCCATTCAATGCTTGAATTTCACCTCAAGTCATAACAAAGTTTCCTATCCCTGCCACTGCTCTTTTGACAATAGGGGTGGCTCAATATTTTAACAAATAAATATTAAGCACCTATTATGTGGCAGGTGCTATTTTTAAACACTAAATCCTTTAAACAAATGATAAACAAATTAGATAAAGTCTGTTTCATTCAGTGAAGGGAAGTGAAATAAAAGAGCAAAAAAATTAGTTAATTTCATATAGTCACAAATGCTAAGATAAAAGTAATATAGGATGATACCTGCAGTGATTCTCAAACATGTTCAGTTGACAGTGGGCCAGGCGCAATGGCTCACGCCTGTAATCCCAGCACTGTGGGAGGCCGAGGCAGGTGGATCACCTGAGGTCAGGAGTTTGAGACCAGCCTGACCAGTATGGTAAAACCCCATCTCTACTAAAATTACAAATATTAGGTGGGAGGCTGAGGCAAGAGAATTGCTTGAACCCAGGAGGCGGAGGTTGTAGTGAGCCGAGATAACACCACTGCACTCCAGCCTCGGAGATAGAGCAAGACTCCATCTCAATAAATAAATAAATACATAAATAAATAAATAAATAAATAAATAAATAAATAAATAAATAAAATAAAAATTGATAATGTCCACAGAGCGCTGGAGTAAAGACATAGGCTGTGGGTAGCGGCTCCCCCAGGCCTTCCCTAGGGTGGAGAGGTCACTATGGCAGCATCCTTTTTTCTCACCAACAACACGCCGATGTACCAAGGTGCACTGGCTGGAAAGCTCTGCTATGGCAGTAACTAAACTCTGTTAGATAGAACTCTCAAGGAAGGCCTTTCTGAGGAGGTGTCACTTGAGCTGAGACCCAGATGATTGTTACAGGATTAACAAGATCATATGTCCGCTGCATAGTATCAGACCAGTTACATTGAGACAGAAGCGTCTGCAGCAGAGAAAGAGTTTAACGCTCACTGGGCAGCCAAGAAAGGAGATGAGAGGAGGCCAGGTGCAGTGGCTCATGCTTGTAATCCCAGCACTCTGGGAGGCTGAGGTGGGCAGACCACAAGGTCAGGAGTTCAAGACCAGCCTGGCCAACAGGGTGAAACCCTGTCTCTACTAAAGATACAAAAAATTAGCCAGGTGTGGTGGTGCATGCCTGTAATCCCAGCTACTCAGGAGGCTGAGGCAGGAGAATGGCTTGAACTTGGGAGGTGGAGTTTACAGCAAGCCGAGATTGTGCCATTGCACTCCAGCCTGGGCAACAGGGCGAGACTCTGCTGAAAGAAAGAGAGAGAGAGAGAGAGAGAGAGAGAGAGAGAGAGGGAGGGAGAGAGGGAGGGAGAGAGGGAGAGAGGGAGAGAGGGCGGGGAGGGGAGGAAGGAGGTGGGAGGAAACCCTCAAACCCATCTCCCTAAGGAGTTCTGGGCTGGGGTTTTTAAGGGAATTATAGAAAGCAGGGGCCTGGAAATTTGGGGTTATTGATTGGTTGGGGTAAGGCAGATGAAATCATCAGGATGTGGAAACTGCATCCTTTGGTGAGTCCACTTCTCATGGGGTCCTTCAGACCAGTTGCCACTAGTGGCGCTGGTATGCAAGACCTGAAGGAATATGTCAAAGGGAAACCCTAATATTTTGTAATGTTCAAAATGTTACCTATAGAGCAGTTAAGGGGAGCTACAATCTAGGGTCTATGTGATTCTAGGACAATAGGCACCAAACTGCTCTGAGGAAGCAGTTCAGAGAGCAGGCTGGCCTCATGATGAATGCTGAGTGTGCTGCAAGCTGGGTTTATTTTCATTCCCTCTGCCTCCTGCCTGTTTCTTCCTGATTAATTCTATAAAGCATATAGGGATGGTGCCACAATGAGAAGACACCTGTGATCTGTGGGTCTGGGGTAGGAGCATCCCAGGCAAAGGAAAGAGCACATGAAAATGCCTGAGGCAGGAAAGCACTTGGCATGTTTGGGGAAAGCAAGAGGCAGAATGGAAGGTGAGGAAAGGGAGAGAGTGCCAGCTATGGGACCCATAAGCCTTGCAAGGATGTGGGCTTGATCAGAATTGCAACAGGGAGCCATGGGAAGGTTTTCTTCAGGAGACTGACATGATCTGATTTACATTTTTGATTTTTTTTTTTTTTTGAGATGGAGTCTCGCTCTGTCGCCCAGGCCGGACTGCAGAATGCAGTGGCCCGATCTCGGCTCACTGCAAGCTCCACCTCCCAGGTTCAAGCAGTTCTCTTCCTCAGCCTCCTGAGTAGCTGGGGTAACAGGTGCCCGCCACCACACCCAGCTAATTTTTTTGTATTTTTAATAGAGACAGGGTTTCACCAAGTTGTCCAGGCTGGTCTTGAACTCCTGACCTCGTGATCCACCTGCCTCGGCCTCCCAAAGTGCTGGGATGACAGACGTGAACCCCCACACCCAGCCGATCTGATTTAAGTTTTAAAGGGTCACTCTTGCTGCCGTGTGGAGATGATTCTGAAGGAAGAAATGGAAGCTGGGAGGCCAGTTAGTGAAACAGAATACTCCAGGCAGATTACCTGGCTTTGCATCGTACCTTGGCTACAAAACTTACCTAAGGAACTGGGTCTATGTTTTACAATCTGCAGAATGGAGACAACGATTGATTTTCATGTCCAAGAGACATTGTTAGAATCAAATGAAATGACACAAGTGAGAGGACTTTGAGAAATACAAAACATTTTATGCATCTAAGGATTAAACCACCCATTTCTAATCTCATCTCCCTAAACTGCCCTAAAACACCACATCTGACACTACTTCTTGCTCTATGCCCTTTCAGCTCCCTACTCATTAATTCGTTTGGAGGTGCTATGATGTACTATAACAGAAAACATAGGTTATGGTATATAGTATGGTGCTATAAATACATAACCACAAAACATAGTCCCAATTTGCATTGCTTGAAATACATGTTTCTATGAAGAAGACTAGTATTTGGTGATCTGTTCTCCAAAAAGAAACTGTTTGGATGACCCAAAACACCATTCTGGAAAACACACACACCCACACAAATACACACACACACACACACTCATTTCATACACACATTGATACATGCAGAACTTTCTTAGAGGCCAGAAAACATTTCAATTAAGAATTAAGATGATTGGTCTCTTAACCAAAATCCACCTGTGTAAAGAAACAATGTAGCCAAATCCACCTGTGTAACCAAAATCTACCTGTGTAAAGAAACAAAGTAGCAGTCAGAAAGAAGTTCATGAGGACTTGTCCTGGTTCCTCCACTAAACCAAGCTCAAGGTTCACTCACCTGCAAATTTATTCATTCAGCCAACATCAAGTCAGTGCCCATTTTGTTCAGTTTTCTCATTTAACTTCCATAGCACCCTGTGAGTAATTATCATTTCCCCTATTTGACATGTGAAAAAACTAAGGCTTTGAGGAGCAAATGACTTACAAAAGTATTACTAGTTAGTGGTAGCATAGAGCATACCCAAAGCGCAATCCCAGTGTGCAATTCGTGGGGCTCAGAGACCACTCCAAAAGGAAGGCCTGTGAAGCTGCCTCAGAAGCAAATGTTTTTCTCTGACCTTCTCCTCCCTTCGTGTTTCTGGCCCCTACAGCTTCCCCGGAGTTAGCCATCGAAACTAGAATCCCTCTTCCCCAAGGCAGGTCACAGAAACCAGAACCCCTTTTCTCCAAAGCCAGCCATAAAACCTAAAAATACTACTATAACTTTCCCTCTGCCATTCTATGTTAAAAAACTGGACATGAAGAAATTAATCTGACCTACCTTATTTGACTTATTCTACAGTCATTTGACTTATTTGCTGAAAGGGTCCTGCCCCACGCCCCAGAAGGAAGGACTGCACAGAGGCCAAGAAGGAAAGAATGTATGCTCAGAGAGGCCCACCCTCTCTCCTTCTATTCCAGCATAGAACAGAGTCACACCTAATGCACCCACAGAACAGCGCCTTGTGTTTAATGCGTTGCTTTCAGTCCATTTCACCAGCATGTAAGAGCCCATGTGGATGATACATGCTTTCCCCTTTAGTTTCAACTCAAAGACATCATTTCTCAAAATATATCTACACAGACAGGCTTTGCTAGGTTCCCCACTCACTCTGTTAGCATTAGATCATTCCCTCTTTATCCAATCATATTTCTACATGACTGTTCATACTATGTTGAAACTAAGCATAAAAATGGACACTATCAGCCAGGTGCAGTGGCTCACGCCTGTAATCCCAGCACTCTGGGAGGCCGAGGCAGGCGGATTACGAGGTCAGGAGATCAAGACCGTCCTGGCTAGCATGGTGAAACCCCGTCTCTACTAAAAATATTTTTAAAATTAGCCAGGTGTGGTGGCGCGTGCCAGTAGTCCCAGCTACTCAGGAGGCTGAGGCAGGAGAATGGCGTGAACCCGGGAGGCGGAGCTTGCAGTGAGCCAAGATCTCACCACTGCACTCCAGCCTCGGCGACAGAGTGAGACTCTGCCTCAAAAAAAAAAAAAAAAAAAAAAGGACACTATTCTCCGTTTTGTGGTCTTCATTCTGAAGGCTCCAATGTATACATATTACATAAATGTGTATGCCTTTTCTCCTTTGAATCTGCCTTTTGTAAGTTGATTTTTCACCAAACTTTGAGACCTTTTAGAGCACCTTGGCCCCTCCTCATCCCTCTCTAGACTGTGAGACCATTCACTGCAACTTCTAACTGCTGCTGGTGAGGGAGGAAGGCAGTGGGAAGGCACGCAAAACTGCATTTCAAATCAAAGGACAAATTCAGACCAGATGAAAACTAAGATAAAAGAGCCAGTCTTTGAAAAACATTGTTGTCTATTTCTCCTCTAATGTGCAGAGAGGTAACTGTTAAGAATCTGAAAAAGAATCAAACACACTTGCTCAGCAATAAAGAAAACGTAATTTACTTTATATTTCCTGCACTCTCATTCCAAGTGAGGGGACATGGGAACAGCTTAGCAGAACAATCCTGTACAATTTAGTTGGAAATGGTGGGTGGATATTAACACAACCCTCTCAGGACGGAGAAGAAGCTGTCAGCCCAACCTCCACCTCCGCCTCCTGGAGTCTGGCCAGGCTCATGCTGCCCTATCCAGATATCTAGAGTGAGCAGCCCACAGGCACAGAGCCAAATCCAGAAGTAGGTAAAGTTCAACTTGATCACAGGAAAAGACTGGAAATTCACTCAAAGGGAGGCCTCGGTGATTTATTACGGCCTAAAACGTGAGGCCTCAGCAAACCATCTTTCTCAGTGGTCTTTGTGCTCTCTCAGGACTCAGAGCCTTTAGGAAAATGTCCTGCTGGACCCATGTAAGAAAGAAGGACTGAACAGCATTGCTAAGCCTTCAGAAAAACCCTGGGAACATGCCTCCTATCAAGCAGCTTTGGAAGATGTCTTTGACCTAGCCATCTAGTAGCCCACAAGGCAGTAACCTATAAGCCAGTTCTGCCAGAGATGACTGTTCAGGGTGACAATTCCAGGATTATACAACCCTCACAGCCTTTCCTAACATCTGCCTAACTCTGCCTATACAGGGCCCTTCTTCTGTTCTTCCGGAAAACAGAGAATAATTTTCCTTTCCTCCCCTCCCCGCCCTCCTCTCTCCTTTCTCTCTCTCTCCTTTTCCCTCTCTCTTCTCACACAAACACACACACACACAACCATCAGTGTTGCAAGCCCTTCAATCTGTCCTTCTCCAAATCCAGGACACCTAATTAAACTCCTCCAGGCTGGGCGTGGTGACGCACGCCTGTAATCACAGCACTTTGGGAGGCCAAGGTGGGTGGATCACGAGGTCAGGAGATCGAGACCATCCTGGCTAACTTGGTGAAACCCTGTCTCTACTAAAACAAAATACAAAAAATTAGCTGGGCGTGGTGGCAGGTGCCTGTAGTCCCAGCTACTCGGGAAGCTGAGGCAGGAGAATGTCATGAACCCGGGAGGCAGAGCTTGCAGTGAGCCAAGATCGCACCACTGCACTCCAGCCTGTGAGACAGCGTGACTCCGTCTCAAAAAAATATATATATATAAATATTCCTCCAAAGAAGAAGAGAAAAACAGTAAACCATCTCCATTAACTTTCTTCACTCCTAGATTGCACATACAAATATCTTGTAAACCCTCATGCTCTCAAAGACAGCATTCATTACTCTGGGCCTGCCAGGAGAATGATCTCAGCTCTTTAGAAGGCTAGGGCAAGGCTGTCTTCCGAAGTTCACCATGCTAACTTCTTGTCTCTGACACGCCCTTCATCGCTAGTACTTAAAGAGGCACTGAAAAGCGAAAATAACTCTGAAGACCTGAGAGGCTGATAACTTGGCTACTTTGCAGCAATGTGCTGGCCTGGGGATTCACAATCTCTGTTTCTTTCCTAGGTCATTTAAAGGGATACATCTCTCGATGAGAAAATGTACCGCTCATGATGTCACCTGAGACAATCATGGGAGGGCAGTGAGTCCTGAGTATTTGTATCACTCATGTGGGAAAAATTTCTGGATAATGGATAGCATGCCTGGCACTCCTGCCCACCCTCTCTCAGTCTATTCCAGCATCGAACAGAGTCACACCTAATGCGCCTACGGAACAGCTCTTGTGTTTTATGCGTGGCTTTCAGTCCATTTCACCGGGATGTAAAAGCCCATTTGGATGACACATGCTTTCCCCTCTACTCTCCGTTCAAAGACATCATTTCTCTAAAGTTTCAATCAGGACAATATGCCCCTAGCTACTTGGACACTGTTCCTCAGGCCCTTCTACTTACCCACACATCCCACCCTGCTTAGCTGACCCTTTGATTCATTTAGCCAGTCATTCCAAGAAGCATTTTGTGGGCATTTCCCATGTGGTAAACGCTGGGCATACCCCGGGCCATGAAAATGAATTATCTCTGCCCACCAGAATCCCAGAGCCTAGCTGGGGAGACAAGTACAAAACTATCATAATGACACGACACCTGTGAAAAAAGAAGTTCTCTTGAGATGCTACAGCAACACAGATACGGATAAATTACCAACCTGAGTGAGCCAGGAAAGGCCTCTCAGAGAGGATGATAAGAGAAATGGTATTTACTGTGGGACTGAGAAAAGCATAGATGCTTACCAGGTGGAAACAGAGAGGGCGTAAGGAACCAACACCGATCAACAATAATGGGATCAGACACTGGGCACTCACCTTGTAGTTCCAGCATCAGACGAAGCCTCACTCCAAGTCCTTAAGACACTTGGCTTAGTCTCTGTACATTGAGAATCACATACCTGCCCTTTCAGGGAACGTCTCGTTTAATTAAGCAGGAAACCAGTACTCAGTGTAGAGGAGTGGCTTGCTCATCGTCATCCCATGAGCGGTGCCTCTTGTTTTTTGTTCTCCCTGACTCCACTTCCAAATAAAATAAACCCTTTCTTAAAACATTCTGATTCTTCGTGTTAAAGCTTCCCTTGCCGAAAGAAAAGCATCCAAATGCCAAACACTTGTAGGAAGCAATATAGAGGCATCATCTCAGCCAGCAATGTGTGTAAGCCATTACTAAATCTCACAGCAGCAATCACACTGGTACAGGCAGAAATAAGTAAAACTTAAATGTAATAAATATGACTCTTTCTTTTTAGAATCACTAGTACATGTTCAGTAGTAGCCAACTAATATCATTTAGGAAAACGATATTAGTTCTGTCATTTAGGAAAATGACAGTTGAACGTCGTTATTCAATAATTCAATAGATAGAATACCCATGGCTGGAGAGTCAAGATCTAGAACAGTCTCAACATTGACTGCACGTGAAAACCACCAGGGAAGCTCTTTCTGTAAGAATCAATGCTGCAGGCCAGGCGCAGTGGCTCATGCCTGTAACCCCAGCACTTTGGGAGGCCGAGGTGGATGGATCACCTGAGGTCAGGAGTTTGAGACCAGCCTGGCCAACATGGTGAAACCCCATCTCTACTAAAAATACGAAAAAAAAAAAAATTAGCCAGGCATGGTGGCGGGTGCCTGTAGTCCCAGCTGCTCGGGAGGCTGAGGCAGGAGATGGCATGAACCCAGGAGGCAGAGCTTGCAGTTAGCCAAGATCGTACAACTGCACTCCATTCCATCTCAAAAAAAAAAAAAAAGAATCAATGCTGCAAAGCAATGAAAACCTGCATCTGGAGGTGGGTCCTGGTAGAGCTGGCCCTCAGGCAAGGGGAGAGCCATGGGTCTTAGAGGACCTGGCCCAGGAAGAAGATGACCAGCAAGGCCCTGGTCATGGGATGACAATGAGCAAACCACTCCTCTGCTAAGTACTGGTTTCCTGATCTGTAAAATGAGGAGAAATTTGGTTGTTTAAAAGTTTATTGTCTGAGTCAAGGGAGGGAGTTTGGACAGAAATGCTTTATAACTATCAAGAATCCTTTAGAGAAAAGGGAATGGTGTCAATCAATAGCAACCCTTCTAATTGATGTACTGGGTTATGGGGACACGAAGTGTCGTGTTGGTATTTCTAGTACTTGTTTATCTCAAATGCCTTGGAGGGAAATGGTACATTCATAAAAATGGGCAACGTGGAGGAGCATGTTTCTGGAGCTGAGTTACCAACCTTGATTTTCATGTGTTAATTTTGAGGTGCAGGTAGAGAGGTCCACAAGAGAGGCAGTTGAACAGGTAGAATATAGCTTGAGAGAAATTAGGACTAAAAATACAGATTGGGTAAATATTTGTGTATAATTTGGGTGAGATTGATTCCTGCAACCCATAAATCTGCTGCCTGGGCCAGGCGTGGTGGCTAACACCTGTAATCCCAGCACTTTGGGAGGCCGAGGCGGGTGGATCACAAGGTCATGAGATCGAGACCATCCTGGCTAACACAGTGAAATCCCGTCTCTACTAAAAATACAAAAATTAGCTGGCTGTGGTGGCAGGTGCCTGTAGTCCCAGCTACTCGGGAGGCTGAGGCAGAAAAATGGCTTGAACCCAGGAGGTGGGGGTTGCAGTGGGCCTAGATTGCACCACTGTACTCCAGCCTGGGTGACAGAGTAAGACTCCATCTCAAAAAACAAAACAAAAAAAAAATATGCTGCCTAAATGTCTTCTGAGCCTTCCAGACTTTCCTTTAATAGTTCAGTAAAATGGCTCCAATTTCCATGTGCAGTTCATTTGAGATCAACTGTCCTGGACCTTGACTCTCCAGCCATGGGTGGAGTATTCTATCTATTGAATTCTTGAATAATGATATTTAACTAATATTATATTCTACGGGAAACCCAGTGCTCCCACTAAGATTTCTGTAGATTCCCAGAAAATTAGGGGTGTGGAGTGCAGCTTATGTTTATTACAACTTTTCCTTCCATTGAATCTCCTATGTCCTTTCTAATTGGTTCGTACTGACTCCCCAAAGCCCCACTAACACAATGTCCCACACATTTTGTTTTTTGTTTTTTGTTTTTTTGAAACTGAGTCTTGCTCTGTCACCAGGGTAGAGTGTAGTGGCATGATCTCAGCTCACTGCAACCTCCGCCTCCTGGGTTCAAGTGGTTCCCCTGCCTCAGCCTCCTGAGTAGCTGGGACTATAGGTGCATGCCACAATGCCTGGCTAGTTTTTTGTATTTTAGGAGAGATGGGGTTTCACCATGTTGGCCAGGATGGTCTCCATCTCTTGACCTCGTGATCCGCCTGCCTTGGCCTCCCAAAGTGCTGGGATTCAGGCATGAGCCCCGCATCTGGCCTTGTCCCACACTTTTATTAGGTTTGGCAGTAATGGCAGAAGATAAAACCAAGACCAGGAACAACTTCACCTTGACAGTTGGACATCCCATCCATCCCAACCTTGGAAAATTTCTCATTGAGTGGATTTCTCTGCAGTCCTCATCTGCTTCCGTGTTTGTAGCCCCCTTTCCCTACCCTGCCCACACACTCTTCTCGGAGCTCTCTAATTCTCTGCATGTTTCTGCTTTTGCTTTCAGTCCTACTTCCTGAATTGCCCGTGGAATCTCAAAATTCTTCTCCCTGTATCACACAGACGAAGTCAGCTCTATCTTGTACTTAATGTCACCCAAATAGGTTGTGTCAAGGAGGCGTTTCACTTTTCTGTCCATAAAGGTCCCCTCAAGCTGCATCAAGTCATATTCTTAAACAATAGAAATATCTACCCATAAAACAAGGGTTTGCAACTTCTGCAGATGACAAAAGCAGCCATATCTATCTCAGAAAAGACATATTTTCTTCCCACTACATAAAGAGAAGGCTGCAGTATTAACAAGTACAATAGCAATCAGTTTTTAAGCATAATCCATGTGATGAGGGAAGAAAGAATTCTGATATGTCTTATAGGCATTCTACTGTTTGACTCTCACAACAAATCCATTTTACAGACAAGGAAACTACAGTTCAGAGAGATTAGGCAATTTACCCCAGGTGACACGACTGCTTGACAGAGACTCAAAGCCTACCATGTCACTCTTCAATGGCTACAGCCTCACCACTGCAGTGTGTGCTGACAAATGTTTAACAACTGGCTCTACGAAGACTTGCTTTGTACAGTTTCAATTCCCACAGTGAAAGTACGCCTACCAAGACCAATTTCAAGTTACCAATGTGACATCACTAAATACAGAGCTGGGAAGGAATGGACAGCAGCACATCTTTATAGAGTAATTCTACCATACAGATACAATACAATAGACAAAAAACCCAAGAGCATAGATGACAATAGAATGTAGTCCAATCCTTGGAAAGTGATGAGTTTGGCCTGGCAGGCCTGGCACAGTGGCTCATGCCTATAATCCCAGGACTTTGGGAGGCTGAGGTGGAAGGATCACCTGAGGTCCGGAGTTCAAGATCAGCCTGGCCAACATGGCGAAACCCCGTCTCCACTAAAAATACAAAAATTAGCCAGGTGTGGTGGCAGGCGCCTGTAATCCTAGCTGCTCAGGAAGCTGAGGCAGGGAGAATTGCTTGAATCCAGGAAGCGGAGACTGCAGTGAGCTGAGATCATGCAACTGCACTCCAGCCTGGGCAGGGGAGCGAGACTCCGTCTCAAAAATAAAAATAAATAACAATTTTAAAAAGTGATGTTTTACATATTTATTACCTGTTTTAATATGTTAAATAACATAAACATATATAAATAATATATAAAGACTAAGTTTAAACAATTTTACCTTTTTATAACAGCTAGGTTTCATAATCAGCTTGCAAAATTCCTAAAAATTTAACAATTGTTTCTAGCGAGCCAATATAAGCCATCTCTAGCACGCACACAACTGCTCCTTGAGGGTGCCATAAATATAATCCAGACTTAGAGGAATTAGGGAAGGAAATAACATCAAGACGGAAAGAGAATCAGATAAAGAGGGCAAAACAATTCAAGAAGCTGGGGCGGGAGATTGGGAAGGATAAATATTTTCTTTTTTTTTTTTTTTTTTTTTTTGAGATGGAGTCTCGCTCTGTCGCCCAGACTGGAGTACAGTGGCGCGATCTCAGCTCACTGCAAGCTCCGCCTACCGGGTTCACGCCATTCTCCTGCCTCAGCCTCCTGAGTAGCTGGGACTACAGGTGCCCGCCACCACACCCAGCTAATTTTTTGTATTTTTAGTAGAGACGGGGTTTCACTGTGTTAGCCTGGATGGTCTCGATCTCCTGATCTCGGATCCGCCCACCTCGGCCTCCCAAAGTGCTGGGATTACAGGTGTGAGCCACCGCGCCCGGCCAAAAGATAAATATTTTCTTAAGCAGTGTGACAGTGTTTGGAGTTTAGATACATTTGTCATGAGTTCAGAATTCAATTCAATAGACAAAATGGTTAGAGGGCACCACGGGGTTGTATATTATTGATCATCTTAAAGTTATAAACAAAACAGGAGCCTAACGATGTCTTATAAAGAAAAAAAACATGAAATCATAATGAATATCAGTACTCTGGGTTTAGGAAATAAATGCTGGCTTGGTTTGGGGAGCTAGGTATATATATATATATATATTTTTTACTTTATTTTAGGTTTGGGAGTATATGTGAAGGTTTGTTACATAGGTAAACACGTGTCATGTGCGGTTGTTGGAGAGATTATTTCATCAGCCAGGTATTAAGCGCAGTACTCAATAGTGATCTTTTTTGCTCCTCTCCTTCCTCCCACCCTCCATCCTCAAGTGGGATGTTGTTTCCTTCTTTGTGTTTGTATATTCTTATCATTTAGCCTCCACTTATATGTGAGAACAGGCAATATTTGAGAGCTAGATATCTTAATCCACTCCAAATACCTTTTTATTATTAATTTTTAAATTTTTTCCTATTGGAACAATCCTATGAGGATTTCACACAGACTAAAGATCATTTTCCAAGACTTTTGGCATCACTGCCATCTGGTGTAGGGGGTGGAAACAAAGCACCCCATATACCATTCCTGCTGGCAGAGATTGGGGAACAGAGACCAAGAGAGACTGGTACTATCTAGTTTGGAGACCTGAGCCCTGGATTCCAGCCTCTGTTTTTTGACTTAGAGACGGAGTCTCGCTCTGTCACCCAGGCTGGAGTGCATTGGCGAGATCTTGGCTCACTGCAAGCTCTGCCTCCCAGGTTCAAGCCATTCTTCTGCCTCAGCCTCCCAAGTAGCTGGAACTGCAGGCGCCCACCACCAGGCTCGGCTGATTTTTGTATTTTTAGTAGAGACGGGGTTCCACTATGTTAGCCAGGATGGTCTCGATCTCCTGACCTCGTGATCCGCCCATCTCAGCCTCCCAAAGTGCTGGGATTACAGGCATGAGCCACCGCGCGCGGACATTTATTGACTTTTTAATTTGGGGACAAGGAAATTGACTTTTTTCAGCCTCAGTTAACGTGCCCCCCAAAATACTGATCATGACGACTGGCCTATCTGGCTACTTAATCCGCATGATAGTGATGACAATGGTAACCAAAGCCAAAGTACCTGGAATCCAACTCACTTTGAGAAATACTGACTGAGCACATAACTTTTGGTCAGGCACTGGGGCTAAAATCATAAGCAACAGAGACACGATCTCTGCCCATAAGGAATGTTCAGTGGATTGGTAAAGCAAAGGGTGTTCAGAGAAGCACAAGTCTATGTACGACCTATGCATTTCCTTTGTGATTTGCTGTTCAAGAATATTCTTTGGCAAAACCAAAAATTAAAAAATAACCCATGGACCTCCAGAACTCACAGGATTTTCTGCACAGCCTCCTAAAATCCGTTCACTGTGATGCCACCATCAGACTGGATGAGCTGTGTTTATATAATTAAAAGAAAGGGACACAGTTACACTGAGATAATGATTTTCATAATAAAAAAGACCCGTCATTAGTACCGGCTTCAAAGCCAAGACAACTTGTCCTTCTTGACAATTTTTTTTATTTTAAGAAACTAAATAGATGGTTTCATCACAAATAGACAGCATATAGGAGATAATTATATGGTGAAATGAAGCCAAGATAAATGCCTAAAAGTTTTTTTCATCCTTCCTTATATGGCTGTTGTTGGCAACAAGGTTAGTTTTAAGTTGGACCCAGGGTATTTCACCTTGAATGTCTGTCTTTCATTTGCATAACAATAAGTTCTGGCTATTGTACACTCTGTCCAAAAATCTAAAACTCTGTTATTACTGGCTTAATGGCCTGGGTAACCTAATTTAAAATAGGAAAATGAACTTCAGGTTTTCTCTCTTCAGTTGACTGTGAAGTAGGTATTAGCATATCATGGTCTTCTTGCTACCCTTCACCACTTACTGTGTCTCCAAGTGAGTTTGCCACATCATGAGTTTGATTCAAAGATACTTGGTTAGAATGGCTTAGAAGGACACAAGAGAACACAGTAAACTGTAGATGGGGAGGTTGTGGGCTTTCGGAGGCACAGAAATTTACATTTCAATCTAGGTTCTACATTTCACTGATGACTCAATGTGACCTTGAGCATGAAGGCAGATATATCTGATCTTTAGTTGCCTCATCTGTAAAATGGGACTAGTGACTGCAGTAGACAGCTTCTGTGGGGGCTGCCGTCTCTGCAAACAGAGAGGTATGGGTCCCAAGGGGTCATGACTGTACCAAGTAATCTTCCCACCTGTATTGTGTATTAGTCTGTTTTCACACTGCTGTAAAGAACTGCCCGAGACTGGGTAATTTATAAAGGAAAGGGGTTTAATAGACTCACAATTCAGCATGGCCGGGGAGGCCTCAGGAAACTTACAATCATGGTAGAAGGTGAAGGGGAAGCAAGGTAGCTTCTTCACAGGGTGGCAGGAAGGAGAATGAACGCAGGAAGAACTACCAAACGCTTATAAAACCATCAGATCTCAAGAGAATTCACTCACTATCATGAGAACAGCATGGGGCAAACTGCCCCCCAAGATCCAGTTACCTCCACCTGGTCTCTCCCTTGATGCATGGGGATTATGGGGATTATAATTCAAGATAGATTTGAGTAGGAACACAAAGCCCAAGCATATCACCACCCATATGCTACAACCTGACTCAGCCTGAGGTGACACCTGGCCCAATATAAAACAACTCATTTCTCTTTCCTGGAAATTGGATGTTCGTACTGAAAGGCAGAAACCTGAGAGTCTTTAGTGCAAATAATAATAATAATAATAATAATAATAATAATAATGCAAACACAGATAGGGTTTACTGTGTACCAAACACTGTTCTAAGCACTCTTTTCTATTAACTTGTTTACATCCTCAAAATACATCTAGGTACTATGTACTAGTAATATCACCTTTGCTTACAGATGAGGAAACTGGGACCAGAAAGTTGGAATTGAAGTCACATTCATAGTAACCTTTTGGGGAGAAGATAAACAAAGTCCTGCCGCTCAGGTCCCTGGGGTTGCCCAGGCTCTGACCCTTCTTGAATCTTGTGGTCCAGCTGTTAGGATTCTATGGGGGACCTCAATGCTCCCTGATAAAACGCCTCTGGCTAAAGTTGTCCAGAGTCAAGTTGTTTGCAAACATATAAGATTGTGTGCAAACAAAAATAATAAAATATTTATGAATGTAATACTAACCATTATGGTTTTTAGAAACAGCTGAGGTAAAGCGGCTAACAAGGGGCCTAGCATAGGTACAGGAGAGATTCTAGAAAAATATTAGCACTGAACCATCACAACTATCCAAGATCCTCCAGTCCCCATAGAGTAGACCCTCGGGATATAGCTATAATACCACTAACAATAATCATTGTTGAAAGATTCTTCTGTGCTTGGCACTGCGCTATGGGCTTTGCTTGCATTATCTCATTTGAATCCT
Organism: Homo sapiens; assembly: GCF_000001405.40. Lineage (NCBI taxonomy): Eukaryota > Metazoa > Chordata > Mammalia > Primates > Hominidae > Homo > Homo sapiens. Next base: position 11,834,098 of record NC_000024.10, read on the forward strand.
ACAAAGCCTCTGTAAGGTAAGTACTTTCCTTCTCTCTATTTTATGTGTGGAAAAACACAAGTCTGGTTCCTTCATCACTCCCCTTCCTCACCCCTGAGTGGAAGCAGGGTCTAACTTAGTATGATAGCGAGAGATTCTGTGAATGTTGATGTCTGTGAGGATCTGACCAACATCAGCAAGAAAAGTTGGCTTATCTTGCAGATGCTCTGATTTACAGAATGGAAAAGACCTAAGGCCTCTCTGACCTACAGTATCTGAATCTAGAAATGCTGGTCATGAAGTTGGGAGGCACCCGCTAGAGGGAGCTGGGACTCTGAGGTGCAAAGAGTGGACCGAGGAAGAGAAAAGATCAGAGGACGAAGGCAGAGAGAGAAGGGGCTCCCCAGTACTGCTGAAGTCCAGCCTGGAGACTTGATCGGGAAAGAAGGGGAATCCCGTGGATGCTGAGGCACCCATCGTCTGTCAAAGCCAAGATGGTTTCCTAATCAGTCATGAACATGACCTGTGAGACACTATGGGCAGTGTTAGGGGTTTCCATCCAAATGAGGACAGTTTAGCTGAGGGACATTAAATGATCGCTCACAGTCACACAGCCAGAGTTGGTAGAGGCAGAATTGGAACCCAAACTGTCTGATTCTGGAGTCCGTGTTCCTCACCCACTATTCTACACTGTACCCTCTTTGGCTAGATAGAACTACAGGTTGTTTTGGGTTTCACACTTTGGAGCTTTATTTGACCTGCATTTGTTCACATCAATCCCCAAAACCTTTCTGAAATCCCCTCAAAGCCATGCTCAAATGCCACCTTTTCCAGACTCTCCAGCCTCAGCACCACTCTCTCTTCCTGACACCCAAATGTCTGTGCCCTCCCGCAAAATTCATATGTTACAATCCTAACTCCCAAAGTGATGGCACTAGGAGGTGGGGCCTTTAGGAGGTAATTAGGTCTTGAGGATGGAGACCTCGTGAATGGGATTGGTGTCCTTATAAAAGAGACCCCAAAGAGGCCCTTCCAGCATGTGAGGACACAGAGAGAAGGCATCATCTATGAACCAGAAATTGAGCCCCTACCAAACACCAATTCTACAGGCACCTTGGTCTTGGATTTCCTAGTCTCTCAAAGTGAGAAATAAATGTCTGTTTTTTATAAGCCACCCAGTTTAAGATACTTTTGTTAATTTTGTTAATTTTCTACATTTTTTTTGTAGAGATGGAGTTTTGCTATGTTGCCCAGGCTAGTCTCTGGGCAAATTTCTGGGCTCAAGGGATCCCCAGGCTCAGGTTCCTGAGTAGCTGGGACTTTAGGCATGCCACCACAGCTAGCTAAGGTATTTTTGTTATAGCAGCCCAAACTGCCTAAGACATCCCACAGCACTTTACCTCCCTAAACCTCACAAAATGAATTCTGCTTGGCTTGAGAGCTGGGTGGATGTGTCTCATCTCCCCTACTAATTGAGCTCCTCAAGGGCAGAGGTATTTTATATATTTTCTACTTCCCCCGACTCCATCCCAACATACACACCACCACTGTCACCACCAGGACAGTGCCCTGCACTTGGCATTCAAGAAATAGTTATTAAAGGAGGCAGATATTCAGAGATTTCAAACAACCACAAACACACCACAGGCTCAGAGAAAATGTCGAGGTCAGTATCTGCTCCTGCTCCATCCCTCAAGGCCAGAAGGCCAGCAGGAGTCTTGGAGTCAACTGTTTCTGGAAGCTTCTTCCAAAGATAGCGATATGGTATCCTATAAGTTATCTGTTGACTCTTTATATGTGAACAGTTAATTTGTTGTCTCATTCAAACGCACACACAAAGAGACCAGAAGGAAGCTCCTGCGGGGGAATCGATAGAATTCACCACATTTGCTCTGGTAATTTCCCAGGAAGCCAATTTGATACAGGAAATGCTTTTCTAACCGTAGGTGCCTCTCAGCTCCCTGTCCCCAAGCTTCAAGCTGTGCCCGGTGTCCCCTGGTGGTGACACAGCCAGCAATCGCCCCTGAGGAGCCACCTCCCGTGTGGCTGCAGGATGTCACCGCAGCTCCTCAAGTTCCACACTCTGAGCATCAGCCCGGGAGCGAACTACCAACTTTGGGAGGTGAAATATCTTACAGAAGGAGTGTGGGAGAAGAAAAGGCATTATAAGTAAAGACCATCTTAGAACCCGTTAACTCAAACCACCACAGATTAGTGTCAGTGAGCAGTGAGGACGGGGCTTTTGAAAGAAACTGTTCCATAAAGCCTGATTGAAAACAAGCTGGGGAGGCAGCCTGGGCTTCAGCTGGCACCTTTAACTGTGTTGCTGTTAAATTTACATACCCATTTGTAGGGGTAATTGCAAAATAAAAGAGGAGCTAAGAAGTGGTCCCTAGTGGTCAGGTCTTGGGTTTGTTTGTTTGTTGAGACAAGTCTCATTCTGTCGCCCAGGCTGGAGTGCAGTGGCACAATCTCAGCTCACTGCAACCTCTGTCTCCTGGGTTGAAGTGATTCTCCTGCCTCAGCCTCCTGGGTAGCTGGGATTACAGGCATGTGCCACCATGCCTGGCTAATTTTTATTTTTATTTTTATTTTTTGTATTTTTAATACAAATGGGGTTTTACCACATTGACCAGGCTGGTCTAAAACTCCTGACTTCAGGTGATCCGCCTGCCTCAGCCTTCCAAAGTGCTGGGATTACAGGCATGAGCCACCACACCCTGCCAGGTCTTCCATTTCACAAGAGCGAATGACCCAGGTGCAACTCAGGGCTGGCCTGCAAGGCAGGTGGGCTCATTCTTCTCACCCTGCAAACCTCCCTAGTTCACAGACTCCACATGAAACATCTGCTCTTGTGGAAGCTGTTTTCTAAGAGCTTAAGGAAACATTTCTGTGTGCAAAGTTCTTACATTAGATTGCATGACTGTGCTTTTCTCCCACTTACTTGACAGCTCTCTCATCCTGTTATGTGCTCAGAAGGTGAGCTGCCCTTTTCAATTCACACAGGTGTTACCCTGTGCTTAGTCCACAGGCTCCACATAAGCCAGCTTTGTATTTCTTTTTTTTTTTATTTTTATTTTTAGACACAAGGTCTTGCTCTGTTGCCCTGGCTGGAGTGCAGTGGTGCGATCATAATTCACTGCAGCCTTGAACTCCTGGGCTCACGTGATCATCCCACCTCAGTCTTCCAAGTAGCTAGGATTATAGGCATGGGTCACCACGTCTCGTTAATTTTCAGAACACTTCTTGTAGAGATAGGGTCTCGTTATGTTGCCCAGGCTGGAGTGCAGTGACAGGATCACAGCTCACTGCAGCCTCGAATTCCTGGGCTCAAGCAATCCTCCCACCTCAGCCTTCTGAATCCAGCTCTCTATTTCAAATCTCTTTTGTGCTCTATCCAAAAAGTCATCCCAAAGCCCAGTAGCTGGAATTCCACTTCCTTGAAACAGCATTATTAGACCCCACCTCAGAATTACCGAGAAACTACCTCCGTCTGGATGCAGTGGCTCACATCTGCAATCCCAACACTTTGGGAAGCCGAGGCAGGCAGATCACCTGAGGTCAGGAGTTTGAGACCAGCCTGGCCAACAGGGTGAAACACTGTCTCTACTAAAAATTAAAAAAAAAAAAAATTAGCCGGATGTGGTGGCAGGCACCTGTAATCCCAGCTACTCAGGAGGCTGAGGCAGGAGAATCACTTGAACCTGGGAGGCAGAGGTTGCTGTGAGCCAAGATTGTGCCATTGCACTCCAGCCTGGGTGACAGAGCGAGACTCCATCTCAAACAAAACAAAAACAAAAACAAAAAAAAACAAAAAAGAAGAAAGGAAGGAAGGAAAGAAGGAAGGAAGGAGAAAAGAGAAGAAAAGAGAAGAAAAGAAAAAGAAAGAAAAGAAAACTACCTCCCAAACCTAGGATTAGCTGTTTTTAATTGTTCTGAGTAAATGCTATTAAACATACGTTTATTTTTGTTGCCTATCTGCCTTGTGCCTAGCCCTCTGCTAAGAAGGAAGTCAAACCTAGGTGCAATGATGATGGTAGATGATTCAAGTCAGCCCACAAGGAAGGGCTAAGCTATAGGTTGTACGGGCTGCAGAATCCAGAAAAGAAAGAGAAATAAATGAAGCCAAGTAACAGGGATGCGTAGAGAGAAGATTGGACTTGAGCTGAAACTAGATGAATGGATAGGCTGTAGATATGCAAAATAGCATGAGGAAAGAGGATTCTAGACAAGGGAAGCCTCAAAGGTGGGAATGAGCCCAGTGAGCTCACGCTGCAGGAGACCCCAAAGAGAATGTTGCCCATCATAGGGAATAAGCTCTGGAAAAGGAACAGTATGGTGGAGGACAGTGAAAGGATCTTGAAAATGTGCTTAGTGATTTAAAATTGATATACGGACTTTTCAAAGATTCTTCATCTCTCTACCCAAGTGGGCTAGCTCTTTTTACATTTTTAAATATACTTTTTACTTAAATACTGCACGCCTAACTGAAGCTTTGGCAAACATGTCTTGAGTGTCAGTTGTGCCAGGGCCCTAACTGGGGCTAGAAAATTGTAGATGAAACTCTTGACCACACCCTCAAGGAGTTCTCATGCGTATGAAGAGGCTCGCGTCCACATAGTTAGAAGTAGTGGTTGTCTCTAGGTGGTAGAATTTGGGTGGGTTTTGTTTTCTTATTTGTAATTTTCTAATATTTTTCCAACTTTCTTCAGAGAGAAAATATTATATTTTTATAAAAATAACAACAATGTCAGCTGGGCATGGTGGCTCACACCTGTAATCCGAGCACTTTGGGAGGGCGAGGTGGGTGGATCACTTGAGGTCAGATATTCGAGACCAGCCTGGCCAACATGGTGAAACCCTGTCTCTATGAAAAATACAAAAATTAGCCAGGTGTGGTGACAGGCACCTATAATCCCAGCTACTTGGGAGGCTGAGGCAGGAGAATCATTTGAACCCAGGAGGCAGAGGTTGCAGTGAGCTGAGACCATACCATTGCACTCCAGCCTGGGTGACAGAGCAAGACTCCATCTCAAAAACATAAAATAAATAAAATAAAATAACAATAATGTCTATATGAAAATCTGATGTGACAAATAGGATAGAGTTTAAAAACAGGGTGCTTGGGGAAAGGGATGATATTTCCCTTGTGTCAAGAAAAGGAAATAAAAGCCAAAAAACAAAACCAACTATTCTCGAGATTATTGTCAAATAAATTCGTAGAAAGATACTATATAGGATAGTTCTGAAGTTACACAAAAGAAAACGACAAGGAAAGATGTTCTAAATACACTAATCATACTATTGGAGACAGATCCCCAGGGATCAGCCATTTGAAGTATGTAATCTTTGATAAAAGGCCCTCTGAGAAGGTGGCATTTAAATCCAGGGACTCAGTGCTAGTTCCCTTTCTTCTCTTGGTAGCTCTGGGAGTGCCTGTCAAGAACAGCTTGAACCAGAGTTCCCTCCATCATGCACTTTTCTACAGCGGTCTGTGAGCAGAAAGCTCTTTCAATCACATCTGCCAGGGTCAGCCAGGCAACACCAGTCTCAAAGATAGAAGCAATCTTCAGAGAATAACTAATGTTCCCTCAGGTCTGTTACCTGCTCCTTTCACCATTTCCTCTAACTTGCCCTTTCACATGCAACAGATGAGAGGGATCAGGGCTTCGGTTTTAGAGTTGAACTGCTTCAGCTCACTCTGGCTTCTCCCTCTGCTGACTGTGACCTGGAGCTACTTACCAAGCTGTTTAAGCCTGCTAAGCCACATTTTCACCTTTTGTAAAATGGGCATGTGGATAAAAGGATGGATGGATGGATGGATGGATGGATGGATGGATGGATGGATGGATGGATAGATGGATGGATGGATGGACGGATGGACGGACGGACAGATGGATGGACAGACGGATAAATAGATGGATGGATATAGAGATAGGTGGGTAGCACTTTGGGAGGCTGAGGCAGGTGGATCACTGGAGGTCAGGAGTTCGAGACCACCCTGGCCAACATGGTGAAACTACATCTCTACTAAAAATACAAAAATTAGTTGGGTGTGGTGGTGTGCACCTGTAATCCCAGCTACTCAGGAGGCTGAGGCATGAGAATCTCTTGAACCTAGGAGGCAGAGGTTGCAGTGAGCTGAGATCACACCACTGTACTCCAGCCTGAGTGACAGAGTGAGATTCCATCTCAAAAAAAAAAAAAAGAGAGAGAGAGATAGGTAAGTAGATAGATAATAGATAGATAGATGATAGATAAAAATTGATCGTCCTAACTATCTTCCTGCTTCCAGTGCTACGCCCAATCTCATTTTCAATGTAATCGGAATTATACTTTCCCATGCTTTTTTTAAAAAATCAAATAATTCTGTAAGTCCTCTCAAGAAACAATAGCATTCCCCAACCATTCCTTTACCATCCTATTCCCCCTCTCTGAAAACAGCCACCTTCAATTCGTTTAATTAATCTGTTGTGTTTACCTCTGTATCTCTGAATAAATCATGACTAGTCAGTTTTTGGCATTATCTATTGACGTGCTGCTGTGAAGAATGAGGGTGTGGCTTTTGTTCTCTGACTGTGCACCTCCTATTTACCCTATCTTCACAATCCACTAATTTTGATTTAATAATCAGGATTTACATTATTATTACTCTGTAAACCAGTGATTTTTTGACGTGGCTCAATAATGCCCCTTAAGAGGAAATTTGAAGTGTGGGGCAGCATTTTGGTTTGTCAGAATATTGCGGTAGGAGGATAAACTGGATCACTGGCATCTAGTGGGTGAGGGTCAGGGATGCCATAAATTCTGCAATATGCAGAACACTGCTGCACAAAAAATTCCCCAAATATCAATAAGTCCTCCTGAGAAGCAGTTAACACTATTTACTGCTAATCTATGCAATATACAATGGTTACCTTTCTTTCTTGGGCAACTTTTTCTTTTCCCTGGAGTTAACAATTGCCTTGATGTTTTCGTTTTTATCCTCTGAAAGCTTTCATAATCATCTCTTTGTTCCTCAATATTCTGATATTTCACAATGTATGTTAGTCTGTTTTCACCCACAGTGTTGGGCATTCAGAGAACCCTTTCAATCTGAAGATTTCCGTACTTTAGTTCTGGATTATTTTCTAAAACTGTTTCTTGATTTTTTTTCTGTCTCTTTTCCCTGACTTCTTTGATTAACTCATGTTATCTAAGTTTTGGAATTCCTAGTCCTCAAATTTTCATAACTTTTTTCTTTTTGTCTTTAATCTTTCCTTTTTTTTTTTTTTTTTTTTTTTTTTTTGAGACAGAGTTCACTCTGTCACCCAGGCTGGAGATCACTGGTGCAATCTCAGCTCATTGCAACCTCTACCTCCCAGGTTCAAGCATCTCATGCCTCAGCCTCCCAAGTAGCTAGGACTACAGGTGCACACCACCACACATGGCTAATTTTTGTATTTTTAGTAGAGATGAGGTTTTGCCATGATGGTCAGGCTGGTCCCAAACTCCTGGCCTCAAGTGATCTGCCTGCCTCAGCCTCCCAAAGTGCTGGGATTATAGGTGTGAGCTACTGCACCCGGCCTAATCTTTTTGTTTGCTATATATCCAGGAAGATTTCCTCAGCTTTTCCTTTGAATCATTCCACTGAGTTGATTTTTGTTTTGTTGTGTTATGTTTTTAATCATAGCTATGGTGGTGGGAGTAGGTACCAAGATCTTTTTGTTTTCTAAATGTTTCTATTTTCTAGCATTCTATCCCTGATCCATAGATGCATTTTATCTTTTCAGGGAAATTAGTATAAATAACTTTTTGTCTGATTTTGCATTTTCTTTTTCTTACAGGGAAATCTCCTCCATGACACTTTGTTCTGTTTGCATATTTGATTGGCTTTAATAATTTACATTATAATATAAACAATGGAGCCCAAATGTCTGGTGATCCTTGGCAGTCTGTAAATATTTAAGTGAAGTGCTAAAAAGATGGCTGACTGTGCACATAACTGCAGACCTCCCCACAAGGTGATCTATTCAGACTATTTCCTTGGGAATCCCCATGTCAATATCTGAACTTCTTTTCTTAGACTAGTACAGTTTCCCTAGAAAAAGCTTTTCTAATATCCTGCCTGAGGGTTATAAGTTTTGCTGTCAACTTTCTAAGAACTCATATGCTATGTAAACTTTCATTTAATTCACCTGTTTTTATTCTGGTACTCCTTCTCCCACTGTGCCTGGGTAACTCTAGAGACCCTCAGATTTTACCCCTTCAAAGAATGAATCTTCAGTCTTCTGAAGAGGGCAGGAGGGACAGTCACCAACTTCACAGAATGAGGGAATCAATTTACAAGGCTATTTTCTTCTTAAACTGACCATCAACCAATGCTTCAACCTTCACCTCGACCTCATTTCCAGAGGCATCTGATCTTGGTGATTCCTGAGCCTTTGCAAGAGCTTTGGAGGTTAGGGTATCTACAGAATAAATCAGAATCTCTGCTTCTCCCATTGTCAACCTTATACCTGACAAGTCAGGTACTTTCTTGGAGCTGACAAATCAGATCCCACTCACCCATCTGTTTTTCAGCTTCTAAATTAGTGTTGCCATCCTGTCCTCTTTAATTCCCTTTGTACTTATAAGTTTTACCTTTTTATTTAAATTTATGGTCATTTTAGTAGGGTGTTGGGGAGAAGCAGAGAGTAATGGAAAAATGGACCCTCTGTCATTTTGCAAGTCCTATGATTCAGTCCTTACACAACAGCCAGAGTGATATTTTTAAAATTCATATTAGAACCTATTACTACCCAGAACCCAAATTGTCAGTGGCTTTTCATTATCATTACAATAAAATTCAAACTCTCTCTGGCTTATAGTTTACAAAACTCTACATTGCCTGGGCTCTGACATATCTTTGGTCTCATTTTCTACCCCTTTGCCTCTTTTTCACTAGATCCTAGTCACTTTGGCCTTTGTTACTCATGCCATGCCTGTTCCCACCTCAGAGCCTTTGCACTTACTGTTCTCTCTATTGGGAAGCTTTTACCCCCAGGTCTTCCAGCAGGTTAATTTTTTTTTTTTTTTTTTTTTTTTTTTTTTTTTTTTTTTTTTTTTTTTTGTGAGATGAAGTCTCACCCTGTTGCCCAGACTGGAGTGCAGTGGCATAATCTCAGCTCACTGCAACCTCCGCCTCCCAGGTTCAAGTGATTCTCCTGCCTAAACCTCCTGAGTAGCCAGGACTACAGGTGCATGCCACCACGCCCAGCTGGTTTTTTGTATTTTTAGTAGAAACGGGGTTTCACCATGTTAGCCAGGATGGTCTTGATCTCCTGACCTTGTGATCCACCCACCTCAGCCTCCCAAAGTGCTGGGATTACAGGCATGAGACACTGCGCCCAGCCCCAGCACACTAATCTTTTGTCATCAAATCTCAGTGTAAATGTCACCTCCTCAGAAAGACTTTCCATGACCATCCAGTCTAAAAGAGCCATCCAGTCACTTACCACCATATTACCTTGTTTTAATTCTCTGCACAGGCTTGTGCATGATTTGATATCATCCTTGTTCATTTGTTTGTTTGCTGTGTTTATTATAAGAATTTAAGGTCAGTGAGAGCAGGGGCCTTATTTTCTTATTCACTTTATCTTGGTGCATAGAATAATTCTTGTATTAGTTAAGGTTTTCAGGGAAACAGAACCAATAATCTGTGTGTGTGTGTGTGTGTGTGTGTGCACATGCATACAGAAAAAGAGATTTGTTATAAGAAATTGGCTCACATGATTATGAAGGCTGAGAAGTCCAGACCCAGGAGAGCTGATGGTGATAGTTCCAGTCAGAACCTAAGTCAGAAGGCAGGAGGAGACTAACATCCCACCTGGAAGACAATCAGACAGAGAGAAAGAATTCTTATTCGACCTTTTGTTCCATGTAGTCTTTCAGCAGCTAAGAAAAGGTCCATCTACATCAGGGGAATAATTTACTTTCTTCAGTCTACCTATTCAAATGGTAATCCCACTTACTGGGTAAAATGTACATTATTTGACTGATGGATACCCTAAAAACCCTGATTTCACTACTCCGCAATCTATGCATACAACAAAATTACACTTGTACATCATACATTTATAGAAATGTAAAAATAAATAAAAATTAAATTAAATTTTTAAGAATGTTAATTTCATCCAGAAACACCCTTAGAGAAATATCAATATTTGGTTAGAATATCGTCTAACTGGCTGGGCATGGTGGCTCACACCTGTAATCCCAGGACTTTGGGAGGCCGAGTTGGGTGGATCACAAGGTCAGGAGATCGAGACCATCCTGGCTAACACAGTGAAACCCTGTCTCTACCAAAAATACAAAAAATTAGCTGGGCGTGGTGGCATGCTCCTGTAGTCCCAGCTGCTTGGGAGGCTGAGGCAGGAGAATCACTTGAACTCAGAAGTTGGAGGTTGCAGTGAGCTGAGATCATGCCACTGTACTCCAGCCTGGGTGACAGAGCGAGACTCCATCTCAAAAAAAAAAAAAAAAAAAAAGAATAATGTCTAACCAAATATGTGAATATTGTCTAACCAAATATCTGAGCACCCTGTGATCCAGTAAAGTTGACACATAAAACTCACAATTACACTGCCTGACATTGTTCAATAAGTGTTTGTTGAAAGAACAAACAAATAAGTAGGGAGAGAGGGCAAGATGGCCAACTAGACACAGCCAGGTGGAAGAGCTGCCACCAAGGGACTGGGTTGACTGGCGCACTCCTAAAAGACCTTCAGACAGAAGGCACTGAGAATGAACTGGGGGCACAGGGGAAGACACAGAAGCTGGGCTGAAGCAGGAGGAAGCTGGGAACACTGCATGGGGCTACCATGTACTGGGACTTGTTCCTGGCCCCCAACAACTCTGGGGGAATGAGTGAGTTGAACTGGCAAGGAGCAACCCACTCTCACCATAGGCCTCTGGAATCCTGGCAGGAGGAGACCCCTTGACCACCACAGACACCTGAGTTGGCAGGGAGAGCTGCTTAGAGAGGTGGTAGGAGCAGCATAATAGCTGAAATAGAGCCCAGAGGGTTTGCTGTAGGAGTATGCGTAGCACAACACAGCCAGGGAAGCCCATCTCCCTTGGCTCAATTTGCACCCATAGGAGACTTTAACCCTAGGGGAACTGTCAGACCTGAACTCTGCATGGTGGTCTTGCATATCAAATGGGGCCAGTCTGATCTGACCCTGGCCTCTCCCAGGGTCCCAGCCTGGCCATGCCTGCTTGTAGGGCAGCCTCAGGTCCCCTGGGGGCTCACATCATAACTCCTGTGCTGGCAGATCCTCTCTTTCCAGTGGACAGCTCCAGCAGGGTGGCCCCCATGGCCACTCACCAGCCCACCTGCTCCCTCCCCACACGGCAGCCTTCCCCCAGATCCATGGCAAACCCCCACATCACTTTGCCAGCACATGTGTTCACAGGAAAGTTTTGCCTTCCCTGCCCCACCAGTGCACCTGTGTGCATACACCCTGACCTGCCACCGCTGCAGCAGGAGTACATTCCACCCTCACCTCTCCTAACCCAACTGCCATTGCAGTTGGAGCCTTGGTGGGCACAGAGCCAGACAGCCCCACCCCCACCAGCACCCTGTACTTCTGCAAACACTGCCACAGGAGCGAAACTAGACGTAGAGAACAGCGGACCCTCCCCAACCCTGAGTGACCACCCCTGCCTGTGGCACATAGAGAAAACACACAGACCTGTGCCTGCCAGCACCCTGCCCTCATGCTCACACCACCACCAGCACCACCATGTGCACAGCTACCATTAGACCCTCCCAACTCCCACAGCCATGCTGCCTCTGCCACAGTGAATGCACCCATGGAGGCAGGGACCCTGGCACCCACTAGCACCCTGCCAGAGCCATCAAGTATGCACCTCACCATACTGCCACTGCTGCTTCTGCAGGCACATGCAACAAGGATGGATCCCACTGCTACCACATTGCAAAATGCTTTGGCTGACACCATCCATCACAGTGTAGTGCCCAGCAGTCTGGAAGCACCTCAGCACTCCCAGCCCAGTGAATTCCTAACCTTGAGGAGCCAGAGAACAAAGCTGGGGCCTGATACAAGTCCCTCAGAGTTAGAGCACACAGTCCAGGAGTTGAGAGTTGATCACTGGCCTTCTAAAATCTTCCAGAAATGAAGCCAGTCAGCTGAATCCAGCTTATACCACAATCAAAAGCTCAAGGTCCTCAAATAGGATAAAAGGGGCAAAAACCCACCAAAAGGTCAGCAACTTCAAAGACTGAAGAAACATCAGCCCACAGAGATGACAAAGAACCAGTGCAGAAACCTTGACAACTAAAAAGCCAGAGTGCCTTCTTTCCTCCAAATGACCACACCACCTCTCTGGCAAGGGTCCTGAACCAGGCTGAGATGGCTGAAATAACAGAAATATTAATAGAATTAAGAATATATATAGGAACAGAGATCATCCAGCTTCAGGAGAATGTTGAAACCCAATCCAAGGAAGCTAAGAATCACAATAAAATGATACAAGAGCTGACAGGCAAAATTAGCCAGTATAGAAAAGAATGTAACTGACCTGATAGAGCTGAAAAACACACTACAAGAATTTAATAATGCAAACAAAGTATTAATAGCAGAATAGACCAACCTGAGGAAAGAATCTTGGAGCTTGAAAACTGGCTTTCTGAAATAAGATAGTCAGGAAAGAATAGAGAAAAAAGAATAAAAAGGAATGAACAAAAGCTCCAAGAAATAGCGGATTAGGTAAAGAGACCAAATATATGACTCATTGGTGTCCCTGAAAGAGATGGGGAGAGTTTAAGTAGCTTGGGGAACGTATTTTAGGATATCATCATATGAGAACTTCCCCAAACTAGCTAGAGACGCCAACATTCAAATTCAAGAAATGCAGAGAACCACAGTAAGATATTTCACAAGAAGATCATCCCCAAGATACATAATCATTAGATTCTCCAAGGTCAAAAAGAAAGAAAAAATGTTAAAGGCAGAGAAAGAGAGAAAGGTCAGGTTGCCTACAAAGAGAAGCCCATCAGACTAACAGCACACCTCTCAGCAGAAACTCTGTAAGCCAGAAAAGATTGAGGGCCAATATTCAATATTCTTAAAGAAGAGAAATGCCAACCTGGAATTTTATATTTGGTCAAACTAAGTTTCATAAGTGGAGAAATACGATCCTTTTCAGACAAACAAATGCCTAGAGAATTCGTTACCAGCAGATCTGCCTTATAAGAGCTCCTGAAGGAAGTTCTAACTATGGAAAGACCATTACCAGCAACTGCAAAAACACACTTAAATACATGACTAGTGACACTATGAAGCAACCACATATACGAGTCTGCATAATAATCAGCTAACATCATAATGACAGAATCAAATCCACACATATCAACACTAACCTTGAAGGTAAATGGGTAAATTTCCCAATTAAAAGGCACAGAGTGGCAAGCTGGATAAGGAACCAAGACCTACTGGTATGCTGTCTTTAAGAGACCCATCTCATATGCAGTGACACACATAGGCTCAAAGTAAAGGGATGGAGAAAAATCTACCAAGCAAATGGAAAACAGAAAAAAGCAGGGGTTGTCATCCTAGTTTCCAACAAAACAGACTTTAAACCAACAGAGATCAAAAAAGACAAAGAAGGGTAATACATAATGGTAAAGGGTTCAATTCAATAAGAAGACCTAACTATCCTAAATATATATGCATCCAACACAGGAGCACCCATATTCATAAAGCAAGTTCTTAGAGACCTTCAAAGAGACTTAGATTCCCACACGATTATAGTGGAAGACTTTGACACCCCACTGACAGTATTAAACAGGTTATCAAAGCAGAAAATTAACAAATATATTTGGGACCTGAACTCACCACTGGATCAAATGGACATGATAGACATCTCATCTACAGAATTCTCCACCCAAAGGCAACAGAATATACATTCTTCTCAGTGACACACATGACACGTACTCGGAAATTGACCACATAATCAGACACAGAACACTCCTCAGCACATGCCAAAGACCTGAAATTATAACAACCACTCTCTCAGACCACAGCACTATCAAATTAGAAATCAAGACTAAGAAATTTGCTCAAAACCATACAATTACATGGAAATTGAATAAACTGCTCCTGAATGACTTTTGAATAAATAATGAAATTAAGGCAGAAATCAATAAGTTCTTTGAAACTAATGAGAACAAAGATGTAACATACCAGAATCTCTGGGAGACAGGTAAGGCAGTGTTAAGAGGGAAGTTTATAGCACTAAATGCCCCCATCAAAAGGTTAGAAAGATCTCAATTTAACAACCTAACATCACAACTGAAAGAACTAGAGAACCAAAAGCAAACCAACCCCAAATCCGACAGAAGACAAGAAATCATCAAAATCAGAGCTGAACTGAAGGAGACAGAGGCACGAGAAAAATGTTCAAAACATCAATGAGTCCAGGAGTTGGTGTTCTGAAAAACAGAAATAGAAGAGATAGACCACTAGCAGACTAATAAACAAGAAAAAGAGGGAAGATCAAAATAAACACAATTAGAAATGACAAAAGGGATATTATCACTCACTCCAAAGTAACACAAATGATCATCAGAGAATATTATGAACACCTCTATGTTCATAAACTAGAAAATCTGGAAGAAGTAGAAAATTCGTGGACACATACACACACCTTCCCTAGACTGAGCCAGGAAGAAACTGAATCCCTGAACAGACCAATAATGCATTTTGAAATTGAATCAGTAATAAACAGCCTACCACTCAAAAAAGCCCAGGATAAGACAGACTCACAGTGAAATTCTATCAGATGCACAAAGAAGAGCTGGTACTGTTTTTTGTTTTGTTGTTATTGTTGTTGTTTGTTGTTTGTTTTGTTTTTTGTTTTTTGTTTTTGAGACGGAGTCTCAATCTGTCACCCAGGCTGGAGTATAGTGGCATGATCTTAGCTCACTGCAACCTCTGCCTCTCAGGTTCAAGCAGTTCTCCTGCTTCAGCATCCCGAGTAGCTGGAACTACAGGCATGCACCACTACATTCAGCTAATTTTTGTATTTTTAGTAGAGACAGGGTTTCACCATGTTGGCCAGGCTAGTCTTGAACTCCTCACCTTAGGTGATCCAGCCACCTCGGCCTCCTGAAGTGCTGGGATTACAGGCGTGAGCCACCATTCCTGGCCGAGCAGGTACCATTTCTAATGAAACTATTCTTAAAAAGTTGAGCAGAAGGGATTCCTCCTTAACTCATGCTATGAGGCCAGCATCATCCTTATACCAAAACCTGACAGAGACACAACAAAAAAAGAAAATTTCAGGTCAGTATCCATGATGAACACTGATGCAAAAATCCTCAACAAAATACTGGTTAACCAAATCCAGCAGCACATCAAAAAGCTTATCCACCATGATCAAGTAGGCTTTATCCCTAGGATGCAAGGTTGGTTCAACATATGCAAATCAATAAATGTGACTGATCACATATACAGAACTAAAGACAAAAACTACATGATTATTTCAATAAATGCAGAAAAGGCTTTCAATAAAATTCAACACTCCTTTCTGTTAAAATCTGTCATAAGCTAGGTATTGAAGGAACATACCTCAAAGTAATAAGAGCCATCTATGACAAATCCACAGCCAACATCATACTAAATGGGCAAAAGCTGGGATCATTCCTCTCAAAAACCAGCACAAAATAAGGATGCACTCTCGCACCACTTCTATTCAACATGGTTTTTGGAAGTCCTGGCCAAAGCAATTGGGCAAGAGAAAGAAATAAAGGGCATCCGAACAGGAATAGAGAAGCCAAAATATCCCTGTTTGCAGGCGACGTGATCCTATATCTAGAAAACCCCATCATCTCAGCCTAAAAGCTCCTTAAGCTCATAAACAATTTCAGCAAATTCTCAGGATACAAAATCGATGTACAAAAATCACTAGCATTCCTATACACCAACAACAGTTAAAGCCAAGAGCCAAATCAGGAACACAATCCCATTCACAATTGCCACCAAAGAATAAAATACCTAAGAATACAGCTAACCAAGGAGGTGAAAGACAAGGAGCAATAAAGAGAACTACAAAACACTCCTCAAGGAAATAAGAGATGACACAAACAAATGAAAAAACATTCCATCCTCACAGATAAGAAGAATCAATATCATTAAAATGGCCATACTTCCCCCAAAAATTTATAGATTCAATGTTATTTCTATCAAACTACCAATGACATTCTTCACAGAACTAGAAAAAACTATTTTAAAATTCATGTGGAACCAAAGAAAAGAGCTTGAAAAGCCAAGGTAATCCTTAGCAAAAAGAACAAAGCTGGAGGCATCATGCTATCTGACTTCAAACTATACTACAGGGCCATAGTACTCAAAACAACATGGTACTGCTACAAAAACAGACACATAGACCAACAGAACAGAATAGCGTATCAAGATATGAGGCTGCAGCCTGGGTGCAGTGGCTCACACCTGTAATCCCAGCACTTTGGGAGGCTGAGGTGGGTGGATCACCTGAGGTCGGGAGTTCAAAACCAGCCTGACCAACTTGGAGAAACCCCATCTCTACTAAAAATACAAAATTAGCTGGGCGTTGTAGTGCATGCCTGTAATCCCAGCTACTCAGGAGGCTGAGGCAGGAGAATCGCTTGAACCCAGAAGGCAGAGGTTGCGGTAAGTGGAGATTGCACCATTACACTCCAGCCTGGGCAACAAGAGGAAAAAGAAAGAAAGAAAAGAAAGAGAGAAAGAGAGACAGAGAGAGAGAAGGAGAGAGAGAGAGAGAAAGAGAGAGAGAGAAAGAGAGAGAAAGGAAAAGAAAGGAAAGAAAGGAAAGGAAGGAAGGAAGGAAGTCAGGCAGGCAGGCAGGCAGGCAGGCAGGCAGGCAAGCAAGCTAGCTGCACATCTTTAACTATCTGATCTTTGACAAAATTGACAAGAACAAGCAATGGGGAAAGGATTTCCTATTCAGTAAATGGTGCTGGGATAACTGGCTAGCCATATGGAGAAGATTGAAACTTGACCCCTTCCTTATACTATATACAAAAATCAACTCAAGATGAATTAAAGACTTAAATGTAAAATCCAAGACTACAAAAACCCTCGAAGACAACCTAGGTGATACCATCCTGGCCATAGGAATGGGTGAAGATTTCATGACCAAGATGCCAAAAGCAATAGCAACAAAAGCAAAAATTGTCAAATGGGATCTAATTAAACTAAAGAGCTTCTGCACAGCAAAAGAAAGTATCAACAGGGTAAACAAACAACCTACAGAATGGGAGAAAATTTTTGCAAGCACACATCTGACAAAGGTCTAATCTCTAGCATCTATAAGGCACTTAAACAAACGAACAAGAGAAAAACAACCCCATTAAAAAGTGGACAAAGGACATGAACAGACACTTTTCAAAAAAGATATACATGTGGCTAAGAAACAGATGAATAAAACCTCAACATCACTGATTAGTAAAGAAATGCAAATCAAAACCACAGTGAGATACCACCTCACACCAGTCAGAATGTCTATTATTAAAAAGTCAAAAAAATAACAGGTGCTGGCAAGGCTGCACAGAAAAAGGAATGCTTATGAACTGTTGGTGGGAATGTAAATTACTTCAACCATTGTGGAAAACATTGTGGCACTTCCTCAAAGACCTAAAAACACAATCCTCATTTGACCCAGCCATCTCATTACTGGGTATATATCCAAAGGAATATAAATCATTCCATTCTAAAGACACATGTACACATATGTTCATTGTAGCATTAATCACAGTAGCAAAGACATGAAATTCACCTAAATGTCAACGGTAGACTGGGTAAAGAAAATGTGGTACATATGTGCCATGGAATACTATGCAGCCATAAAAATGAGATCATGTCCTTTGCAAGAATATAAATGGAGCTGCAGGCCATTATCCTTAGCAAACTAATGCAGGAACAGAAAACCAAATGCCACATGTTCTCACTTATAAGTGGGAACTAAATGATGAAAATACACGGACACATAGGGGAGAACAACATACACTGACGCCGACTGGAGGGTGGAGGGTGGGAGGAGGTAGAGGATCAGAAAAAACAACTAATGGGTACTAGGATGAATGCCTGGGTGATGAAATAATCTGTACAACAAACCCCATGACATGAGTTTACCCATGTAACAAACCTACACAAGTACCAGTGAACTTAAAATAATTAAAACAAAAATACAGGAAGAACAAATAAATAAATTCTCTGATTTTAACAGTGGTAGACCCTGTTCAGGTATACTTGAAAGTGAATGGAGTCTGTTTCCTTGTGCCCCCACACACCCTACCCACACACACAATGCTTCCACCAAGTATCCCCAGCTGCTTGCAAACTTAGCTCTAAACCTCTGCTTGGCATCAGAGCTAAGGCCAGTCTTCTCCCAGCCTCACAACCTCTGCTTTGGCACTGTCATCGTGCCACGCTCTTGAGAACATGCTCCAGAACCTGGCTTAGTTAAAGACTGCTCTTTTCAGCTCAGTAATCCCCTGCCCACCCTAGGTAGGGCCCACGGCAATGGAGGGAGCATGTGGAGGAAGGGTTTGGTACCTCTGAGCTTCAAAAGGGGCCTAGTGCAGGGATGGAAGGAAATCTGAGAATAGAGTTTTAGAATGACTGAAAATGCCACCTCTGTGCTACTGTGGGACCTTCAACAGTCCATTCCCACAGCCATTCCTTGCAACCCCACCATAAGCATCTCCCTCCATGATCCATGGGTAAGAGCACATCTAGGAAAGCCTCTAATTGACATGGCAACTCGCTCCTATGATGCTTTCCAACTGATGTGTCAACTATCAGTTCCTTTCTTCCAGCATCTACGTATACAATTCCAACTCCTCAGGCCGTGCCAGCACTGATCAAAGCACTACCATCTAGTTGTAGTAGTGACACTGTGGAAGAAATCAAACAGCATCTCCAGAGGCAAGATCACAACTCTTCATAACTCTTGGTTTGGCAGGATACAACCTATCACTGATGCAGTGGTACTTATGTGCTGAGTATTTAAGTTATTAACCCACTGTGGCTGAGTGGGGAGAATGGAAGGTTCTGGAGTATGGAGAGAACTTCTTGAACGTGGTTAGTGTATCTAAGAAACATGTATTGAAATAATTGGTGACTCAATAATCTATTCGTGCTTTAAATCTGAGTCCAAGGTACCCTCTGTAAGGAAGCTAAAATTCCAGCGTTGTTTCCTGATGTGGAAATAACCCTTCCTGAAGACCCTGGAATTCACACGTGACGGTTTTCTACAGAGGACACCTGTCCTTAAACCTCCTAGGAATAAAGGTCTTTGAGAACCTGTTCCTCTGTGCCTTCTACCTTTAGTAGTGCTTTAGCCACACCCCCAGCACAGAATTTGCTCCAGTGCTTTCTGGTGAGGTGTCTATTTCTTTGTCTTCGCTGCTAGATGACTAGCTCCTGAGAACACAGGCTACACCTTATTAATTGTAATCTCCCAAATAAATGCTCAAGAATTCATAACCAATGGCTACAGTGAATCCAGGCAATAACCATAATAAAACTGAGAAGAATCAGGTTTCTTGGCCATCCAGAAAGTAGCAGAGAGTCCACTATGTTGTTCATTCTTAGCAATGATAAGTAGCTATTAAGCAACCTTAGCAGACATGTGCTAGGCAAAGGATGGAAAATTAAAATAACAATTGTCAGACACAGTGTGTTTTATGAAAAATTGCTTCAGAACATTCAGGCAATTATGGGGATGGGAAACACACTGGGACAGTCACAATTTCAGTGAAGTTTTCTCCTCTGTTCCAGCCTTCCCAGTAGCAACCCTACACATTTGAACCATAGTGAATAGCCACACATTTGAAAGGCTTACAACCATTTCTTTTTCTTCTTCTTTTTTTTTTTTTTTTTGAGATGGAGTCTCTCTCTGTTGCCCAAGCTGGAGTGCAATGGTAGGATCTCAGTTCACTGCAACCACCACCTCCAGGGTTCAAGCGATTCTCCTGCCTCAGCCTCCTGAGTAGCTGGGATTACAGGTATGCACCACCACACCCAGCTAATTTTTCTATTTTTAGTAGAGACGGGGTTCTTCCATGTTCGCCAGGCTGGTCTCAAACTCCTGACCTCAGGTGATCCACCCGCCTTGGCCTCCCAAAGTGCTGGGATTACAGGCTGAGCCACTGCACCCAGACACAACCATTTCATTATCTCTTCCCACCTTTCCTCCTTTCCCCCAACCCCCCACAACACAAAAACTAATTAGAAGGTATCATCCTCACCATAGCAACATCAGATATTGTGCAATGATTGCAGCACACTTTCTGGTGACTGTGCTGCTTATAGCCCACTGGATGCAGAATGAATTCATGCGCAACCTCTCCCAGATAACTCCTGATTCAGAGCACTCTTTGTTCAGTTGCCAGAAGTAATAGTGCTTTTTATTTTAGGAATTTAAGAAGTTTCTTCTTTTAGAATCCTCACATTTCACAAATAAATTGCTGAAGGCCATTAAAAAAGAATGTCCTATTTTCTCAGCTATTTATTTCCTGCAGCATCTACTTTTTCAGAACTGAAGACTTAATGCCATTCATTCATTAGATATACATCCAATCAAGCTCCAAATCCATAGCAATCTTAGAAAGGTGCAATTTACCAGCCCCTATCTTGGACCTGGAGTTTACATATATATAGAATCTTATCTTGTTAAGGCAGCTGAGGAGTTTCAAAGGAAAGATGGACCTTGATATCTAGTCTGCAGTTGTGAATCCTACCTATAAGGTCAGTCTCTCTCCTGGGTTGCCAATAAGGCTTTGCCTTGTATTTTGATAAGAAAACAAGACTACCGGACTTGAACATAAGGGTGATGGTGAAGACTCCTCCTCAGAAAGTCATCTTCAGCCAAGCATGCCTTCCTAAAGTTAGCCAAGGCCAAGCAAGTTACATTTCAATTTACAAAGAATGGAAGTGGAAACTCAGTGTAAAAGAGGGTGCCTGGGAGGAACAGCCAGCCATGTGCACGTGGACCCACAAGCAGATGAGAAGGCAGACTCTTCCATCTTGCTACCTGTTACTTCTCTTCATTATCTATACACAGAAAGTGTAGAAGTCACAGATTCTTTTTTAGAAACTCTGCTATTTGTTTCATGTCAGACTCCCCAGAACATTTCAGTTGAGTATGACTAAGCAAAACTTGCTGCTGTTTCCCTCTCCTTTAACCTTTACTGACTGGTGCTAACAAATTCAAAAATAGCCAAAAAGTGAGCTAGAAAAAGAAAATCGAGGACAAAAAAAAAAAAAAAGAGTTCAAATCAGAATAGCTGGTTCCTCAGCCCTTGTAAAAGTTATTCTCTCAATAAGTGCAGATGCCAAACGACTCTAGACTCATTAACTGATTGCACATTGCTGACATCTTCCCTTGAGAACTCCACTGACATTTCAAACAGTGATGCTCAGATATCTGCACAGGAAACTTCTTGTCTTTTCTCAAAGAAAGTTACCACTCATGCCTGTAATCCCAGCACTTTGGGAGGCTAGAGGCAGGCAGATCATGAGGTTAGGAGATTGAGACCATCCTGGCTAACAGGGTGAAAACCCGTCTCTACTAAAAATACAAAAAATTAGCCGGGCGCCTGTAATCCCAGCTACTCGGGAGGCTGACGCAGGAGAATGGCGCAAACCCAGGAGGCGGAGCTTGCAGTGAGCCAAGATCGTGCCACTGCACTGCAGCCTGGGTGACAGAGCGAGACTCCGTCTCCAAAAAAAAACAAAAAACAAAAAACAAAAAAACAAAAAACAAAGTAGAGACATCTCTTATAAAACCTAAGAAATAGATGGCACATTGGCACATCAGAAAATCATTTTTAGGCCGGGCGCAGTGGCTCCAGCCTGTAATCCCAACACTTTGGGAGGCTGAGGCGGGCAGGTCCTCGAGGTCAGGAGATCGAGACCATCCTGGCTAACACGGTGAAACCCCGTCTCTACTAAAAATACAAAAAAAATAGCCAGGCGTAGTGTCGGGCGCCTGTAGTCCCAGCTAGTCGGGAGGCTGAGGCAGGAGAATGGCGTGAACCTGGGAGGCGGAGCTTGCAGTGAGCCGAGATCACACCACTGCACTCCAGCCTGGGAGACAGAGTGAGACTCCATCAGAAAGGAAAGGAGAGGAAAGGAGAGGGAAGGGGAAGGGGAAGGGGAAGGGGAAGGAGAAGGGAAGGGAACCAAAGTAGAAAGATATCTCTTATAAAACCTAAGAAATAGATGGCACATCAGAAAATCATTTTCAGGCCGGGCGCAGTGGCTGACGCCTGCAATCCCAGCACTTTGGGAGGCCGAGGTGGGCGGATCAAGAGGTCAGGAGGTCGAGACCATCCTGGCTAATATGATGAAACCCCGTCTCTACTAAAAATACAAAAAATTAGCCGGGCATGGTGGTGGGCGCCTGTAGTCCCAGCTACTCGGGAGGCTGAGGCAGGAGAATGGCGTGAACCCGGGAGACGGAGCTTGTACACTCTATAGATGTACTGTAATTGGAACTTTAAAGTAGCTTTTTCCAATTCTGTGAAGAAAGTCATTGGTAGCTTGATGGGGATGGCATTGAATCTGTAAATTACCTTGGGCAGTATGGCCATTTTGATGATATTGATTCTTCCTACCCATGAGCATGGACTGTTCTTCCATTTGTTTGTATACTTTTTTATTTCCTTGAGCAGTGGTTTGTAGTTCTCCTTGAAGAGGTCCTTCACATCCCTTGTAAGTTGGATTCCTAGGTATTTTATTCTCTTTGAAGCAATTGTGAATGGGAGTTCACTCATGATTTGGCTCTCTGTTTGTCTGTTGTTGGTGTATAAGAATGCTTGTGATTTTTGTAGACTGATTTTGTATGCTGAGACTTTGCTGAAGTTGCTTATCAGCTTAAGGAGATTTTGAGCTCAGACAATGGGGTTTTTTAGATATACAATCATGTTGTCTGCAAACAGGGACAATTTGACTTCCTCTTTTCCTAATTAAATACCTTTTATTTCCTTCTCCTGCCTGATTGCCCTGGCTAGAACTTCCAACACTATGGTAAATAGGAGTGGTGAGAGAGGGCATCCCTGTCTTGTGCCAGTTTTCAAAGGGAATGCTTCCAGTTTTTGCCCATTCAGTATGATATTGGCTGTGGGTTTGTCATAGATAGCTCTTATTATTTTGAGATACATCCCATCAATACCTAATTTATTGAGAGTTTTTAGCATGAAGTGTTGTTGAATTTTGTCAAAGGCCTTTTCTGCATCTATTGAGATAATCGTGGTTTTTGTCTTTGGTTCTGTTTATATGCTGGATTCCATTTATTGATTTGTGTATATTGAAACAGCCTTGCATCCCAAGGATGAAGCCCACTTGATCATGGTGGATAAGCTTTTTGATATGCTGCTGCATTCGGTTTGCCAGTATTTTATTGAGGATTTCTGCATCAATGTTCATCAAGGATATTGGTCCAAAATTATCTTTTTTGGTTGTGTCTCTGCCCGGCTTTGGTATCAGGATGATGCTGGCCTCATCAAATGAGTTAGGGAGGATTCCCTCTTTTTTTTATTGATTGGAATAGTTTCAGAAGGAATGGTAGCAGTTCCTCCTTGTACCTCTGGTAGAATTTGGCTGTGAATCCATCTGGTCCTGGACTCTTTTTGGTTGGTAAGCTATTGATTATTGCCACAATTTCAGCTCCTGTTATTGGTCTATTCAGAGATTCAACTTCTTCCTGGTTTAGTCTTGGGAGAGTGTATGTGTCGAGGAATTTATCTGGTTCTTCTCAATTTTCTGGTCTATTTGCATAGAGGTATTTGTAGTATTCTCTGATGGTAGTTTGTATTTCTGTGGGATCGGTGGTGATATCCCCTTTATCATTTTTTATTGCATCTATTTGATTCTTCTCTTTTTTTCTCTATTAGTTTTGCTAGTGGTCTATCAATTTTGTTGATCCTTTCAAAAAACCACCTCCTGGATTCATTAATTTTTTGACGGGTTTTTTATGTCTCTATTTCCTTCAGTTATGCTCTGATTTTAGTTATTTCTTGCCTTCTGCTAGCTTTTGAATGTGTTTGCCCTTGCTTTTCTAGTTCTTTTAATTGTGATGTTAGGGTGTCAATTTTGGATCTTTCCTGCTTTCTCTTGTGGGCATTTAGTGCTATAAATTTCCCTCTACACACTGCTTTGAATATGTCCCAGAGATTCTGGTATGTTGTGTCTTTGTTCTCATTGGTTTCAAAGAACATCTTTATTTCTGCCTTCATTTCGTTATGTACCCAGTAGTCATTCAGGAGCAGGTTGTTCAGTTCCATGTAGTTGAGCGGCTTTGAGTGACATTCTTAATCCTGAATTCTAGTTTGATTACACTGTGTTCTGAGAGATAGTTTGTTATAATTTTTGTTCTTTTTCATTTGCTGAGGAGAGCTTTACTTCCAAGTATGTGGTCAATTTTGGAATAGGTGTGGTGTGGTGTGAAAAAAATGTAGATTCTGTTGATTTGGGGTGGAGAGTTCTGTGGATGTCTATTAGTTCGGCTTGGTGCAGAGCTGAGTTCAATTCCTGGGTAAGGGGGTGTTAAAGTCTCCCATTATTAATGTGTGGGAGTCTAAATCTCTTTGTATGTCACTCAGGACTTGCTTTATGAATCTGGGTGCTCCTGTATTGGGTGCATATATATTTAGGATAGTTAGTTCTTCTTGTTGAATTGATCCCTTTACCATTATGTAATGGCCTTCTTTGTCTCTTTTGATCTTTGTTGGTTTAAAGTCTGTTTTATCAAGGACTATGATTGCAACCACTGCCTTTTTTTCTTTTCCATTTGCTTGGTAGATCTTCCTCCACCCTTTTATTTTGAGCCTATATGTGTCTCTGCACGTGAGATGGGTTTCCTGAATACAGCACACCGATGGGTCTTGACTCTATCCAATTTGCCAGTCTGTGTCTTTTAATTGGAACATTTAGTTCATTTACATTTAAAGTTAATATTGTTATCTGTATTTGATCCTGTCATTATGATGTTAGCTGGTTATTTTGCTCGTTAGTTGATGCAATTTCCTCCTAGTCTCGATGGTCTTTACAATTTGGCATGATTTTGCAGCGGCTGGTATCGGTTGTTCCTTTCCATGTTTAGCGCTTCCTTCAGGAGCTCTTTTAGGGCAGATCTGGTGGTGACAAAATCTCTCAGCATTTGTTCTTCTGTAAAGTATTTTATTTCTCCTTCACTTATGAAGCTTAGTTTTGCTGGATATGAAATTCTGGGTTGAAAATTATTTTCTTTAAGAATGTTGAATATTGGCCCCACTCTCTTCTGGCTTGTAGAGTTTCTGCTGAGATATCTGCTCTTAGTCTGATGGGCTTCCCTTGGTGGGTAATCCGACCTTTCTCTCTGGCTGCCCTTAACATTTTTTCCTTCATTTCAACTTTGGTGAATCTCACAATTATGTGTCTTGGAGTTGCTCTTCTCGAGGAGTATCTTTGTGGCGTTCTCTGTATTTCCTGAATCTGAATGTTGGCCTGCCTTGCTAGATTGGGGAAGTTCTCCTGGATAATATCCTGCAGAGTGTTTTCCAACTTGGTTCCATTCTCCCCGTCACTTTCAGGTACACCAATCAGGTGTAGATTTGGTCTTTTCACATAGTACCATATTTCTTGGAGGCTTTGCTCATTTCTTTTTATTCTTTTTACTCTAAACTTCCCTTCTTGCTTCATTTCATTCATTTCATCTTCCATCGCTGATACCCTTTCTTCCAGTTGATCGCATTGGCTCCTGAGGCTTCTGCATTTTGCACGTAGTTCTCGAGCCTTGGTTTTCAGCTCCATCAGCTCCTTTAATCACTTCTCTGTATTGGTTATTCTAGTTATACATTCTTCTAAACTTTTTTCAAAGTTTTCAATTTCTTTGCCTTTGGTTTGAATTTCCTCCCATAGCTCAGAGTGATTTGATCGTCTGAAGCCTTCTTCTCTCAGCTCGTCAAAGTCATTCTTTGTCCAGCTTTGTTCCATTGCTGGTAAGGAACTGGGTTCCTTTGGAGGAGGAGAGGCACTCTGCTTTTTAGAATTTCCAGTTTTTCTTCTCTGTTTCTTCCCCATCTTTGTGGTTTTATCTACTTTTGGTCCTTGATGATGGTGATGTACAGATGGGTTTTTGGTGTGGATGTCCTTTCTGTTTGTTAGTTTTCCTTCTAACAGACAGGACCCTCAGCTGCAGGTCTGTTGGAGTACCTGGCAGTGTGAGGTGTCAGTCTGCCCCTGCTAGGGGGTGCCTCCCAGTTAGGCTGCTTGGGGGTTAGGGGTCAGGGACCCATTTGAGGAGGCAGTCTGCCCATTCTCAGATCTCCAGCTGCATGCTGGGAGAACCACTGCTCTCTTCAAAGGGGTCAGACTGGGACATTTAAGTCTGCAGAGGTTACTGCTGTCTTTTTGTTTGTCTGTGCCCTGCCCCCAGAGGTGGAGCCTACAGAGGAACACAGGCTTCCTTGAGCTGTGGTGGGCTCCACCCAGTTGGAGCTTCCCAGCTGCTTTGTTTACCTAAGCAAGCCTGGGCAATGGTGGGCGCCCCTCCCCCAGGCTCGCTGCCACCTTGCAATTTGATCTCAGACTGCTGTTCTAGCAATCAGTGAGACTCCATGGGCATAGGACACTCCCAGCCATGTGCAGGCTATAATCTCCTGGTGCGCCATTTTTTAAGCCCATCGGAAAAGTGCAGTATTCGGATGGGAGTGACCCGATTTTCCAGGTGCCCTCTGTCACCGGTTTCTTTGACTAGGAAAGGGAACTCCCTGACCCCTTGTGCTTCCTGAGTGAGGCAATGCCTTGCCCTGCTTCAGCTGCCACACAGTGCACACACCCACTGACCTGCGCCCACTGTCTGGCACTCCCTAGTGAGATGAACCAGGTACCTCAGATGGAAATGCAGAAATCACCGCTCTTCTGTGCCACTTACACAAGGAGCTGTAGACTGGAGCTGTTCCTATTCAGCCATCTTGGCTCCTCCCCCTTTAACTGTTTAAATCTTAATTTTTTTTGAGACAGTCTCACACTGTGGCCCTGGCTGGAGTGTAGTGTCAAGATCTTGGTTTTTGCAGCCTTGAGTTCCCCAGGCTCAGGTGATCATCCCACCTCAGTTTACTGAGTAGCTGGGACTATAGGCACACACCACCACATCTGGCTAATTTTCATATTTTTTTGTAGAGAGAAGGTTTTGTCATGTTGCCCAGGCTTGCCTAGAACTCCTGGGCTAAATCAATCTGCCCACCTTGACCTCCAAAGGTAGTGGTATTACAGGCATAAACAAGAGCACCTAGCCTCTGTCTGAACTCTTAAAACCAGAAACAGAGCATGACAATGTAAAAATACAAAGAAACATTGACTGGAAGAATAGAGACAGGAGACCTGTGGAGGTTGTTCTGTCCCCAATGTCTTGCCGTAATATGTGTCCTGCATATGGGTAGAAACTCATAAAATACAAAGACTGTAGGTTTAGCATGAGGATATGTCATGTGGCCAATGATGAGGAAGTTCTGTCTTTCCCTTCATCAATTGGGCTATTGTGCATGATCTGTTTTTGTTTGCTGAAATTCAGGTTAGAGATAGAAAACTTCCTTATGTTGGAAGAGCTTTAAACATTCTCAGACCTAGTCATCACTCACTTGGTGTCTGGGGTTCACCTTCATACTCCAGGTCACAAAGCAGCTCTGTCCAATGGAACATTCTACAGTCATGAAAATGTGCTATAATCTGCACAGTTCAATAGCTAGCTAGCTGCTATTGAACACTGAAAATATGGTGGCTAGTGGTGAATAAACAAATGGATTTTTATTTTATTTAATGTTAATTCACTTAATTCACTTAAATTTAAATAGCTACATGCAACAGGCTATCCTGTTACACATTGCAATCCTAGGACCTGTGGGTTTCTGAAATCCGATGCAAAGTCTTTGCAAATATGACTATTCAAAGTATATCCTGGGCTCTTGATCAATGAGGATGTGAGCATCTCCAAAACAGAATGATCCCTGATGGAAACAAGTGCAATGACTTTATCTGTACAGTTGACCCTTGAACACCACAGGTTAGATCTGCAGAAGTCCACTTATATGGGGATTTTCTTTCACCTTTGCCACTGCTGAGACAGCAAGACCAACCTCTTCTCTTGCTCCTCCTCCTCAACATACTCAATATGAAGATGTTGATGATAAAGACCTTTATGATGATCCACTTCTATTTAATGAATAGCAAATATACTTTCTCTTACTTATGATTTAATTTTATCCAGCTTGCCTTATTGGAAGGATACAGAACATAATGCACATAACATACAAAATAGATGTTAACCAACTGCTTATGTTATCATCAGTAAGGCTTCCAATCAGTAGTAGGCTATTGGTAGCTAAGTTTGGGGAGCCAACCGTTATGTGCAGATTTTTCACTGGGCAGGGGATCAGTGACTCTAATGCACATATTGTTAGAGGGTCAAACGTACTTGCCAGCAGAATATTGGCCTTATTTTTCTGTGAGGCCAGATGGCTCTTTCCTCCCTCTGAATCTGAATTCATGGGTTTTGTTTTAGAAAATATATCTAATTTCAAAAAAGCTATGCACAAGTTGAAAAGTCTCTCTTGTGGCATGCATTGAAAAGATTCAAGAGCAGGAACTATGTTACTGTTGGTATTATGTTCCCAACGTGGACCGTGGTGTCTGAAGCATAGTAGAAGCTTGGTAGCTGTAGAGGAAAGGAAGGAAAGAAGGAAGGAAGGAAGGAAGGAAGGAAGGAAGGAAGGAAGGAAGGAAAGGAAGGAAGGGAGGAAGGAAGAATGGAAGGAAAGGAGAAAGGAAAGAAGGAAGAAAGGAAGAGAGGGAGGGAGAAAGGGAGAAATAAGGAAAGAAAGAAGGAAGGAAGAAAGAAAGGAAGGAAGGAAGAAAGGAAGGAAGGAAGAAAGGAAAGAAGGAAGAAAGGAAAGAAGGAGGAAATAACAGAGATTCAATGAAACAGGCAACTTGATGTGGTGGTTAACTTTATGGGTCAACTTGAACGAACCACAAGGTGCCCAGAATTTTGTTAAACATTATTGCTGGATATGTCAGTGAAAATGTTTGCAGAGAAGATTAGCAATTGGTGGATTGTGTGAAGCAGGTTGCCCTCATTGGTGTAGATAGGCATGATCCAATCTGTTGAAGGTCTAAATATAAAAGAAAGAAAAAAGATCACTTATGTTCTGCTCTAAACTGGCTATTCTAGTTAGAAATTTGTCTAACCTTTTTTCAATGTTCTTAACTTCCTTGCATTGGGTTAGAACATGCCCCTTCAGCTCAGAGCAATTTGTTATTACCCACCTTCTGAAGCCTATTTCTGTCAATTTGTGAAACTCATTCTCCATCCAGTTTTGTTCCCTTGCTCATGAGGAGTTGTGATCCTTTGGAGGAGAAGAGGCATTCTGGTTTTTTGGAATTTTCAGCCGTTCTGCACTGATTTCTCCCCATTTCATAGATTTATCTACCTTTGGATGGGGTTCCTGTGTGGATGTCCTTTTTGTTGATGTTCATACCTTTCCTTTGTTTGTTAGTTTTCTTTCTAACAGGCAGACCTCTCTGCTGCAGGT
Organism: Homo sapiens; assembly: GCF_000001405.40. Taxonomy (NCBI): domain Eukaryota; kingdom Metazoa; phylum Chordata; class Mammalia; order Primates; family Hominidae; genus Homo; species Homo sapiens. The sequence continues at coordinate 11,863,697 of NC_000024.10, forward strand.
CTGTTGGAGTTTGCTGGATGGTAATCTAGACCCTGTTTGCTTGGGTATCACCAGTGAAGGCTGCAGAACAGCAATGATTGCTGCCTGTTCCTTAATCCCAGAGGGGCATCCACCAGATGCCAGCTGGAATTTTCCTGTATGAGGTGTCTGTCAACACCTGCTGGGAGGTGTCTCCTTGTCAGGAAGCACAGGGGTCAGGGGCCCACTTGAGGAGGCAGTCTGTCCCTTAGCAGAGCTCAAGCGCTGTTCTTGGAGAATGGCTGCTCTCTTCAGAGCTGGAAGGTTTAAGTCTCCTGAAGCTGCGCACACAACCACCCCTTTCCCCAGGTGCTCTGTCTCAGAGAGATGAAGGTTTTATCTATAAGCCCCTAAATGCAGCTGCTGCCTTTTTTTCAGAGATGCCCTTCCAAGAGAGGAGGAATTTAGAGAGGCAGTCTGGCTACAGAGGATTTGCTGAGCTGCAGAGGTCTCTGCCCATTTGGAATTTCCACTGAGGAGTTAGTACCATTCCTTCTGAAACTATTCCAATCAATAGAAAAAGAGGGACTCCTTCCTAACTCATTTTATGAAGCCAGCATCATCCTGATACCAAAACCTGCAGAGACACAACAACAATAACAACAACAAAATTTCAGGCCAATATCCCTGATGAACATTCATGCAAAAATCCTCAATAAAATAATGACAAACCAAATCCAACAGCACATCAAAAAACTTACCCACAACGATCAAGTCTGCTTCATCCCTGGGATGCAAGGCTGGTTCAAAATATGCAAATCAGTAAATGTAATCCATCACATAAACAGAAACAATGACAAAAACTACCTGATTATCTCAATAAATGCAGAAAAGGCATTAAAATTCCACACCGCTTCATGCTAAAGACTCTCAGTAAACTACGTACTGATAGAACATATCTCAAAACAATAAAAGCTATGTGTGAAAAGCCCACAGCCAATATTATACTGAATGGGCAAAAACTGGAAGCATTCCCTTTGAAAACCAGCACAAGACAAGGATGACCTCTCTCACCACTACTATTCAACATAGTATTGGATGTTCTGGTCAGGCTAATCAGGCAAGAGAAATAAATAAAGATATTCAAATAGGAAGAGAGAAAGTCAAATTGTCTCTCTTTGCAGATGACAGGGTTGTATATTTAGAAAACTCCAATGTCCCAGCCCAAAATTTCCTTAAGCTGATCAGCAACTCCAGCAAAGTCTCAAGATACAAAATCAATGTGCAAAAATCAAGAATTCCTATATACCAATAATACACAAACAGAGATCCAAATCATGAGTGAACTCCCATTCACAATTCCAACAAAGAGAATAAAATACCTGGGAATACAACCTACAAGGGATGTGAAAGACCTCTTCAAGGAGAACTACAAACCACTGCTCAAGGAAATAAAAGAAGTCACAAACAAATGGAAAAACATTCCATGCTCATGGGTAGGAAGAGTCAATATCGTGAAAATGGCCATATTGCTCTAAGTAATTTATAGATTCAATGCTATCCCCATCAAGCTACCATTCACTTTCTACACAAAATTAGAAAAAAACTGCTTTAAATTTCTTATGGAACCAAAAAAGAGCCCACATAACCAAGACAATCCTAAGCAAAAAGAACAAAGCTGGAGGCATCACACTACCTGACTTCAAACTATACTACAAGGGTTCAGTAACCAAAACAGCATGATACTGGTACCAAAACAGATATATAGACCAATGGAACAGAACAGAGGCCTCAGAAATAACACCACACATTTTCAACCATCTGATCTTCAACAAATCTGACCAAAACAGGAAATGGGGAAAGGATTCCCTATTTAATAAATGATGTTGGGAAAACTGGCAAGCCAAATGCAGAAAACTGAAACAGGACCCCTTTCTTACACTTTGTACAAAAATTAACTCAAGATGGATTAAAGATTTAAATGTAAGACCTAAAACCATGAAAACCCTAGAAGAAAACCTAAGCAATACCATTCAGGACATAGGAATGGGCAAAAGACCTCATTACTAAAACACCAGAACCAATGGCAACAATAGCCAAAATTGACAAATGGGATCTAATTAAACTAAAGAGATTCTGCACAGCAAAAGAAACTATCATCAGAGTGAACAGGCAACCTAAAGAGTGACAGAAAAATTTTTCAATCAAAGGGCTAATATCTAGAGTCTACAAAGAACTTAAACAAATTTGCAAGAAGAAAAAAAACAACCCCATCAAAAAATGGGCAAAGAATATGAACAGACACTTCTCAAAAGAAGACATTTATGTAGGCAACAAACATATGAAGAAAAGCTCCTCTGCACTGGTCATTAGAGAAATTCAAATCAAAACCACAATGACATACCATCTCACACCAGTTAAAATTGCAATTATTAAATAGTCAGGAAACAACAGATGCTGGAGAGGATGTGGAGAAATAGGAATGCTTTTACTCTGTTGGTGGGAGTGTAAATTAGTTCAACCATTGTGGAAGACAGTGTGGCAATTCCTCAAGGATCTAGAAGTACAAATATCATTTGACCCAGCAATCTCATTACTGGATATATTCCCAAAGGATTATAAATAATTCTACTATAAAGACACATGCACATGTATGTTTACTGTGGCACTGTTCACAAAACCAAAGACTTGGAACCAACTAAAAAGCTCATCAATGGTAGACTGGATAAGGAAAATGTGGCATATATACATCATGGAATACTACGTAGCCATAAAAAAGGATGAGTTCATATCCTTTGCAATGACATGGATGAAGCTGGAAACCATCCTTCTCAGCAAACTAACACAAGAACAGAAAACCAAACACTGCATGTTCTCTCTCATAATTGGGGGTTGAACAATGAGAACATGTGGACACAGGGAGGGGAACATCACACACGGGCCTGTCAGAGGGTTGGGGACTAGGGGAGGGTAGCATTAGGAGAAATATGTAATGTAGATTAGGAGAAATATGTAATGGTTGATGGGTGCAGCAAGCCACCATGGCATGTGTATACCTATGTAACAAGCCTGCATGTTCTTCACATCTACCCCAGAACTTCAAATATAATTTTAAAAAAAGAAGTGAGAAATCACTCTTTCTACCTGACTGCTTGACCTGGGACATTGGTCTTCTCCTGCTATTAGACTGAAACTTAAACCATTGTTCCTTCTGGAACTGAGACTTCTGCACTTGGACTGGAACCCACACCTTCAGCCCTCCTGGGTCTCCAGCCTTCAGAGTCAGACTGCAAATCACACTCCTGGCTCTCCTGGGTCTTATGCCTTTAGGCTCAGCCTGGAACTCAAACCCTTAGCTCTCCTGGGTCTCAGGCCTTCAGACTTAGACTGGAACTCACACCATTGGCTCTCCTGGGTCTTAGGTCTTCACACTTAGACTAGATTCACACCATTGGCTCTCCTGCAACTCCAGTTTGCAGATATTAGATCATGGGACTTTTTAGTCTCCATAATCGTGTCAGCCAATGTCATATAGTACATTCATTTTATTAGTCCTGCTTCTCTGGCAAACCCCAAGTAATGCACTTGATGTCTGCATTTTTGTCCCTAGCTCCCACCAGCTGAGCAATAAGCCTTTCAGCATGCTGGGCCAATAGGGACCCAAGAGATTCCTGGACACCACCTGCCTTCTTGGGAGAAAATTTCCTCTTCCTGAATCATAACACATGTGTGAGTTTCTGTGCGTGAGAACACACCCGGTACAGCTCAGTATCATAATCTGTTTCCTCAGCTACAAAAGGAGAGTATAGAAAGAGGTAGAAGGGACTTAATTTCAGTCCCACAGACCTTTATTTTGCTGCCTCATGTGTTGCATTCTCCTTGAGTTCCTGCTGACTTTCTGTGAGGCAGAAATAATCTTTGTGATTGAATGCAGCTGCTGAGGTTTTCAGAATGACCTCTTTTGAGAAAGTCAGCAAGCTGGCCTTGGCAGGTAAAACATGTACTCCCTCAGTGGTCCTTTTCAGCTCTGCGACTCAGTTTACCATGAGTGCAGCCAGAACATATTTGATTCAGGGCTTCAGCAGGGAACCTGGATCCCACAATGTGTGGATCTGTTCCTGCTCAACATCTAGTATGGGCTAAATTATATCCCACTAAAATTCACAGGTTGAAGCCCAAACACCCGGGACCTCAGAATGTGATTTTGTTTAGAGATAGGGATTTTAAAGAGATAACCAAGGTAAAGTGAGGTCACTATGGTGGGCCCTGATGCAATGTGACTTGTGTCCTTATAAGAAGAGGAGATGAGGACAGAGACAAACACAGACGGGCCACCCTGTGAGGACGCAGGGAGAAGATGGTGTCTACAAGCCCATGAGAGAGACCTCAGGAGGAACCAGCCCTGCCCACACCTTGATCTCTGACTTCCAGCCTTCAGGACTATGGGAGAATAAATGTTTGTTGTTTATAAGCTGACCAATCTATGGTATTCTGTGATAGCAGCCTGAAATGAACTAAGACACCTGATAAGATAAGAAGAGGAGATAAAGACACAGACGCACACAGAAAGATGACCCTGTGAAGACACAGGGAGAAGATGGCATCTGCAAGTCAAGAAGAGAGGCCTCAGGAAGAATCAGCCCTGCCCACACCTTGATCTCCGACCTCTAGCCTCCAGGACTGTGAGAGAATAAATGTCTGTTGTTTCAGCTGTCCAGTCTGTGGTATTCTGTTACAGCAGTCTAAAATGGACTAAGACATCTTATAAGAAGAGATGAGGACACACACATGCACACAGAGGGATGACCACATGAGAACATATGGAGAAGATGGCATCTACAAGCCCATGAGAGAGGCTTTGGGAGGAACCAGCCCTGCCCACACCTTGATCTTGGACTTTCATGCTCCACGATGGTAGGAGAATAAATGTCTGTTGTTGAAGCTCCCTAGCCTTGGGTATTTTATTGTGATGCCTCAAGCAGACTGATAAACTATCCATTGTTTGTGGTCCAGTGGGGATTCCAAGTGATGGTTTTGCTTTGTGTAGAAGGAAAGAGTCAAATCCAAGCAGGAGAGTAAATGAGACAATCTCAAGGTTCTAATGGAACATGGGTTCAATTTCTGTCCCATGGATGAAAGGCCTCTGGAGGGCATGTGTCAGATTTGGGGGGTGGCACAAGATTCTGTTTCTGAGATGGGTTCTGTCTGTGGAATTCATGAATGGGTAGGTGGAGGAGAAGACACAGAGTCTGATGGGGCTGGCCTGGAACCTACACTAGCAGACTTGCTGGTATCAGTGAGATTTAGCTACTGTGCCCTGTGAGGAAATATTTACTGTGATTAATCTTTTAATAACACTCCATTTTAATTGTACCACCTGAAGCAACTTGCCTCCCAAAACAGTTCCTGTAACCAAAGGGTTTATTTATATGTGAAGAATTAAACTAGAATTAAGCCAGATGGAGATTCACACATTCCTGCCTTTGTCTCCTCCTGGATTAAAAATATTTGGAGAGTGAAACTGTTTCTCCAAAGACTGGAAGTGTTAAAGTTCATATGCATTAATTTATTGAAAATGTAATCCAAACAGGATTTTCACCATTCCTTTCTATTTTTGATTAGTTTTTGGCTTGAGTTTACTGCTTTCCTCCCCAACTACCCCAATTTTTATTATTATTACTACTTTTATTTCTGAAGGCATACCCAAAAAATAAAAGCAGAAAATGATTTAACAAGGTTTCCCTCCTAAGGCATTTTTGTGATCCAAAGTGTCACTGAAGTCATTTTAAATTTATATATTTTCATGAAGAAAAATATATCTCTTCCATGCATATTAAGATATAATTACAGCCAAATCATAAACTGTGTCTGCTCCAAATGCCAGAGGAATGAAGAAAACAGATTCTTCCCTCTCCAGTAACATACAAATGCATTACATTATTTTTGTGTCTTCTTTTAGCCAACTTTAAAATGACAACATACAAAGGATATTCAAGTTGGGTAATTAACATTCTAATAGGTTTGAAGTTTATAGAACTCTTGCGTGATACCATCAAGTCATCTTTGATCTACTAAATGACAAATACGCCTACTCTTCACTTCTCTCAATTTCTTCCCTGCAGTGATCATACTACATTTGCTATCATCACCGTATCTGAAATAGTGGCTTTCAGAATTCACCAAGACTCTGGGTCCTTCCAACTCACTTTCTGTAGGGTGTTCACTGTGCCATATGGGTGCGGATGCATGGACCAAACCACTTTTATTTCAATGTCATGGCTGGAAACCACATTACCCTGCAAACACCCTTAGTGCTCTTGTCCTCTCTCTGGTAATAGGATGCAACCTCAATTCTGCTTCAATCCCATCTGCCAACTCACCTGAGCTAGATGTTTCTGGAAAAAAGAAAACACCATGGTGCCAATTTGTCTGTAGTATCATTCTCTCCTAGTAAATTTATGTTTCCCACTTTTCTAAAATCATTACAGTAGCCCCTTCTTATTTTTGATTTTGCTTTCCACGGTTTCAGTTATCTGTGATCAACCACAGTCTAAACATATTAAAATAAATATTCCGGAAATGAACAATGCATAAGTTTTTAATTGAATGCTGTTATGAGAAGCATGATGAAGTTTCATAGCATCTTGCTCTGTGGCCGCAAGGACAGGATCATCGCTTTGCCAGCACATTCACGTTGTACAAACTACCTCCCTGTTAATCACTTGGGTGCAAAGAGATCACATTCCTATAGTGTTCATTACAGCATACTGTGATAATTGTATCCCACATAGATAAGAGGTGAACTACTGTCTTTACATCTTACCATCACTGACCCTAAGACCAAAATATCCCCTCCCCAGTTTAATCTAACAAACTTGCCTTAAATCTTACAGGGAAAATACATCCTGTGAGATGAGATAAATTTCACCTTTTTACTACCAATCCCACCCATCCTCTGGAGACACACTCACCTTCTCTCTATTCTTTCTGGTTAAAATAAATGTATTTCTGTGCTTATTAACTTTGAAGATCTCCTAACTTGATCTCCTGCTGCTGGCAGCTTGGGGTAATTCCCACATTCCCACAGGGCTGTTCTCCTTAGACAGCCTACCCTTTGGTCACAACCGACCACAGGGACTACTGGTCTCCCAGTTCCATTGCATGCAAGTGACTTCAAAGACTGGCTGTCAAGGCTGCTCTGCCTAAGGGTTTGTACAGAGTTCAGACCTTATTTTCTTGGGGTTGGGGAGATGATGAATGCCTTTCAAATTATCCTCAAATAAAAGCAATGGGATGAGGAGATATATACCTCCTCCTTGCAGAAATAGTCCTGTTGCTCATTCTACAAAAATGTGCAGAGTTTCCACAATGGGGCTGAAACTCTGCTGTAATAGCCAACATTTTTACCTTCCTTTTTTTTTTCCCACTTATTCCAGCTTCTTCAGACAACCTCCCAAATAAACTACCTCTCCCAGGTCCCTCACTTGGGCTCTGCTTTTGGTGGAAATTGAACTTAAACACCCACCTAAACACTCAACAGGAAATCTCTGCTTCTCCATCAAAGAGAATAAAAAGTCTCATCCTTCCCGTGAGAGCTAGAAAAAGGCTCACCTCAAAAGAGAAAGTCTAGGAAAAGCCTGGCCAACATGGTGAAACTCCGTCTCTCCTAAAATACAAAAAAATTAGGTAGATATGGTGGCAGGCACCTGTAATCCTAGCTACTCAGGAGCCTGAGTCACAAGAATTGTGTAAACCTGGGAGGTGGAGGTTGCAGTGATCAGAGATTGCACCACTGCACTCCAGCCTAGGTGACAGACTCAGACTTTTTCTCAAAAAAAAAAAAAAAAAAAAAAGGAAAGCCTGGGAAAGTCTTTTCTCAAGATGTCCTAGAAGGTAACCCACTACCCAATCTATGGTGGTAGCATTCATTAATAAAAACAAAAAAAACTTCATAACATGGTGGATAACATATGCACACTGAAGTATTTTTTGAGTCAATGCCATTTTATTTTATTACAATTTCAAATTTTATTTTAGATTCAGGGGCCATATGCGCAGATGTGTTACATGGTATATTTCATGATGCTGAGGTTTGGAGTATAAATGATCCCATGATCAGGTACTGAACTTAGTACCCAATAGGTAGGATTTTAGCCCTTGTCCCCTTCCCTCCTTTCTCTCTTTAATAGTCCCCAGTGTCTATTTTCCCATCTTTATGTATATTTTTCCCATCCTTATAATTGGGAGCTACCCAGTGTTTAGCTCCCAATTATAAGTGAGAACCCGAGGTATTTGTTTTCTGTTCCTGTATTCATTTGCTTAGAATGATGAACTCTGGCTGCATCCATGTTGCTGCTAATGACATAATCTCATTCTTTTTTACGGCTGCATAGTATTCCATGATGCATAGTGAATATTCTTAGAAATTGCTAAGAAATACTGGCATGTATTTCACTGCAACAAAAAGACATTCAAATGTGTGAGATGCTGCAAGATGAAATAGTTTTCCTGAGAATCCATGATCCAGGGCTTAGGGATATTTGCTATTGATGCTATGGTGATAATTCAAGCATCAGATCAGTATTATGTCATAACTATGCCTCTTTGTTGCATGGGTGGTCATCTGAGCCACATATTTTTGATGTCAACACAGCATTCTGGTGATAGGAAAACAAATCAACAAAATCTGGAGGAAGGAGTTGATGGCAGCTGACCAAAGGAGATGGAAGGCATGCCATGGGTCCTCCAGGTTGGGGTAGACATACGTTTGCCAGCCCAGGCTCTCACTTCTGCTTTCAGGTATCATTCTTAGTGCTCTCTGGCACTCTCCACAGCGTCTTGGTTGGAAACACACATTCCTAGTCCATTCTAGGAAGAGTGGGTCTCTGTGGAAATAGCCGCAGTGAATACAAGACAGAGATGCAGTTGCAAGGAGAGCCATCCTGTGCTCACAAACTGAGACAATCAGCAACATTAATCGCATTTGCAAGCTTCATTCCCCTTTGATGTCTAACCAAGTCTATTCACATGTTCCAGGGATTGCAACGTGCCCATCCTTGGTGGGTCTTATTCTGCTTACCACCAAGCTAAATACCCTAAGATCTGATGAGCTAAAGATGGAATTACATGCTGAGAAGCACTGCTTTATTTCTGTTTTAACTTTTGGGTCCAGCCCCTGTTTGGTTCCTCTGAGAGCCAGAAAAAAGCTTACCTCAAAACAGGAAGGCTGGGAAAATCTCACTTAATCAGGACATTTATCTCAGTGGTAGACAGAATAACACTCACTGAGGATGTTGTTTTAGTCTGTTTTCACACTGCTATAAAGAATTGCCTGAGACTGGGTAATTTATAAAGGAAAGAGGTTTAATTGATTCACAGTTCCACATGGCTGGGGAGACCTCAGGAAACTTACAGTCATGGTGAATGGTGAAGGAGAACCAAGACACGTCTAAATGGCAGCAAGCAAGAGACAGTCAAAAAGGAGAAATTGCCACTTATAAGACCATGAGATCTTGAGAGAACCCACTATCACAAGACAGCACGGGGCAAATCACCCCAAGATCTAATCACCTTCCACCAGGTCACTCTCTCAACACCTGGAGATTACAATTCAAGATGACATCTGGGTGGGAACAAAGAGCCGAGCCATATCAGATGTGCACATCACAATCCCTGGAACATGTTAACAGACTTAATTAGATGTCATGGGGAATGAAGGCTGCAGATGCAAAAAAAAGTTGCTAATTGGCTGACTTTAAAAAGTGGGAGTTTTATCCTGGAATATCCAGGTAGATTCACTGTCATTAAAAGAGTCCTTAAAAGTGGAAGAGGGAGAAAGAAGAGAGTGCAAAGGGATTTGACTACCCAAAAAAAGCACAGAGAGATGCACCTTGCAGGCTTTGAAGATGGAGGAAGAAGATCTCTAGAAGCTGAAAAAGGGGAGAAAAAGGATTCTCCCCTAACCTGGAGCACAGCCCTGCTGACACCTTGATTTTAGTCCACTAAGACTCAAGTCAGACTTCTGACCTCCATATCTGCCAGACTAAACTGGTGTTGTTTTGAACCAGTAAGTTTGTAGTGATTTGTTACAGCAGCAAATAGGAGACTTATACACTCACTTTCACTTCCATTTTTGCAGTTGACATCTAAGTGGTCTCTCTGCATTCTTGCATGTTGCTATTGGGTTAAGCTTTCTTAATGCATGGCTTTTCTTGTTCTCATTCTCAACAACAAAACAATACAAATCACTTTCAATGGCTTGGAAGGCATGAATTTTCCACAACCTTCTTAGCTGGGCATCCAATATCCCCAACTGTATTACCATGACCTCCACTTCTAGTGTTATTTCTTACTGCTTCCTTGCACATTTTCTATGTGTTCCTGGCAGACTGGACAATTTTCTATTCCTCAAACCTGCTCAAGTTTCTGTAAACCAAAAAGTATTTGACATAGATCCCAATAAGCTTAGAAGTTTCTTTTGCCAAGGTTAAGGACATGCCCAGAAGAAATAAACATGGAATCAGAGAAACAGTCTCTGGCCTGTGCCGTTCTCCAAAGATGATTCTGAAGCCTTCAGTGTTTAAAGGGGAGAAGTGGGTTTGAAGGGAAAAAGGGCGGGTATGGTCACATTACTGAATCAAAATTGCAAGAGAAAGGGAGCAAGAGGGGCAGTAGTCAAGCATATATTTGTCTCACGTTTAGGAAATTAGCACTTTGCATAAGGTGAACCTAGCTTATGTAGCTACCTTTGGAGATGTTTAACCTTTTATCTGTAGCTATCTGCTTAGGAATGAAAGGAAAGGCATCTTCTTGCATGATTCGACTTTCAGCTTGTTCTTTCCTTTTGGAAGAGTGAATTGAGGTCCTGAGTTTTTATGTTTTCTTTCACATTTCATTATGTCTGTGTCTATGTCTGTACCTCCTATATGGCTGGCATTGCCTTTGAATTCTATCTTTTCCTAACAAATGTCTATTCATTGATTCATTTCAAGGGAGCGTAAGGCTATTGTCTCTCACTGTTTTACAGTAACGGCTGTTGTTTTACCTTGCAGTACAGTGTGTGTACATGCCTGAGTGTTTATGTACTTGCCTGTGGGTTTACGCACATGTGTTATAATGCCATGCCCATTTGACAACTCTTATAGGATCCTGGGAGATGCATCAGACATTTAGTAATAAGACACACATGTCAGCTTACATTTCCAAAAGAAGGAAATAAAATGAACATCACATTTCATGTGATGCAATCTTTTTATCCTTAATCCTTGAAAAAAGCCTACCAGCAGATGGAAACATCTCTATTTTCAGAGTGATGAAGCCGGCATCCATAATGTATGTGTACGGTTTAGGACTCATGATCTAGTGAGTGATCAGGGTCAGACTCAAACCCGGTGTTTTGAGTCTGAGCTTTTTGTTGCACCACTTTTTTTTTATACATAATGAGCCCCAAGGAAATATTCTTAGATTGGTTTGTTTCATCAGGTAAATCTCAGCCATTCTGAAAAAAGTTCAGGGCAAGTTATTGAAAGCCTGTCCTTGTTCTGTCCACTAGGATTGAGTCAGAAAGGAAAAAAAATGTGACGGGCTTAATTGTATCCCCCTAAAATTCATATATTGAAGTCCTCAACTCCAGGACATCAAAATGTGGCTGTATTTGGAGACAGGGTCTTTAAAGAGGTGATTAAGGTAAAACGAGGTCATTAGGGTGAACCCTGATCCAATGGACTGGTGTCCTCATAAGAGGAGGAGATGAGGACACAGACACACACAGAGGGATGACCACGTGAGGACACAGGGAGAAGATGGCATCTACAAGCCCAGGAGAGAGGCCTCAGGAGGAACCAGCCCTGCCCAAACCTTTATCTCCAACTTCCAGCCTCCAGGACTGTGCGAGAATAAATGTCTGTTGTTTAAGCCACCCAGTCTATGCTATTCTGTTATAGCAGCCTGAAATGGACTAAGACATCTCATTAGAAGAGGCAATGAGGACACAGACACACACGGAGAGATGACCCTGTGAGGGCCCAGAGAGAAGACGGTGTCTACGAACCAAAGAAAGAAGTCTCAGGAGGAACCAGCCCTGCCCATACCTTGATCTCACACCTCCAGCCTCCAAGACTGAAGGAGAATAAATGTCTGTTTCTTAAGCCCCCTGGTCTGTGGACCTTTGTTACAATGGCCTCAGCTGACTCATACAATGGTCTTGTGTGGCCCTGTACTCAGGACAGCTAGGGTCTGTGGTATCTTTACAGAGACAGAACAGTTTACAGACTGCATAGCCAGTTCTGAACACATTCACTGCTTTACTTAGGTTACTTGCCACTGTCTTTGTTTTGGGAAACAAAAAATCACAGAGGTGACTTTACTGAAACCTCAGTGCAAACTGTTTGCAAATAGTCTCTTACTGGGTAATTGACAGGACTCAGTATAAATGGGAAATAGAAAGTGTCTGACACATGAGCCACTTTTGGCTAACGTTTCTAGCTCTGGCCATCTGGGAATTCCAGGGGGCATCAGAATAATCTTGTGGAGGGTCCCCTTGTAGAGTAATTGATCTTAAATTAAAGTCTTAGCTGGGTCCTGAGAGACTTTAAAACTGGCAAGCCACCTAGATGCAGAATCTTTATTATAACACCGAAAATGGAATTAATTATCAATGGTATGCACTCAAGACATACTTAGAGTGCCCTTGAATTAGTGGCAAATATTTTGCTTAAATTTCTGTCCAAAACATGGATTGCTTTCTGGAATGTGGGAGGGATGAGAGTTACAAATGCGTAGTTGTGTCCATGCTCACATCCTACACAATCATTCATTGGACTGCCAGAGAATTAGCTTTCCAGACTTCCTAACCTTCTCAGCAGGACTCTAAAAATACAGAAAGCCCACATGTATTTTCATTCTTATGGAATGTTATCCTTTTGAAAAGTATTGCCCAAGAGTGGAGGCAGCAGAATGACTGACTTGTGGAAAACAGGTGCCTCTGGCAGGGTAATTTCTCATGGACTGTGACTTCTTCATGGCTGCTCTGGCTCCAGCTGGAATTCACGGAGAGCCCCCGTGACTTTAACTTCACCACCATAAACCATAAGGCACAGAGACACCTAATGCAGTCTCATCACATGGAAAAAACCATGTGAGAGGACAGATAGATTATATTTCTATTTTAATAATATCTATATGGATTCCATAACAGCATGTTGTAAACCTCACATACACACAATCAAATTTACTTAAGGAATTTTAAATGAGAACATTTGGTATTTGGTTTTCATGTGGATAACCTTTCCCTAGAAACAAAGGTGGAAAATATGACTTGAACAGACAAAGAATTCTGTGAGGCTATTTTGAAAAATAACTGAATGGCTGCATCTATTGCAACATCGTCACCTTTAACTTTATTGATTGTTACTTTTTTTTTTTTTTTTTGAGACAGAGTCTCACTCTGTAACCCAGGCTGCAGTGCAGCAGCACAATCTCAGCTCACTGCAATTTCCACCTCCTGGGTTCAAGCAATTCTCTGCCTCAGCCTCCTGAGTAGCTGGGATTGCAGCTGCTGGATACCACACCTGGCTAATTTTTATATTTTTAGTAGAGACGCGGTTTCACCGTTTTAGCCAGGCTGGTCTGGAACTCCTGACCTCGTGATCCACCTGCCTTGGCCTCTCAAATTGCTGGGATTACAGGCAAGAGCCACTACACCCTGCCACACTTTTTTTTTTTTTTTTTTTGACAGTTTCCCTCTGTTGCCCTGGTTGGAGTGCAGTGGTATGATCTTGGCTCACTGCAACCTTTGCCTCTCAGATTCAAGTGATTCTCCTGCCTCAGCCTCACGTGTAGCTGTGACTACAAGCACATGCCATCACGCCCAGAACATTTTTGTATTTTTAGTAGCGATGGGGTTTTGCCATGTTGGCCAGGCTGCTCTCAAACTCCTGACATCAAGTGATCCGCCCACTTCATCCTCCCAAAGTGCTAGGATTACAGGTGTGAGCCATTGTGCCTGGCTGATTAGTTACTTTTGAAGCTTGATATTCAAATGTATATACCATATGATACTTAGAAATAATAAAATACTTAGAAAAATAAAACAAAAAGATGAACTAAGAGAAACTGGCCGTTAGATGTCTACAAGAATTTGCAAACAGTCACAGCAGGCTCTGTAGCATTACTGGTTTGGTGACCATCTTAAATCAAGATATCCCAGAGGATGGAATGAGCTTTAATGGGGAATGCAGGTAGAATCTCCAAACCTAAAAAGTAATTTATCACTAACTTGAGAGGTCCTTTGTATCCCAATGGACATTTGGATCTCTCTGTGTGTGTGTATGTGTTTGTGTATGGGTGTGGGTGGGTAGATGTTATGTCTTGAGTTCTAGGGAGCAAAGATGATAACATGGATGGTGAAGGAACTTATTATGGGCTGAATTCTGTCCCTAGAAATTCATATGCTGAAGTCGTAATTCCTCGTGCCATGGAAGATAGTTGTATCTGGGGATTGGGTCTTTCACGAGGTAATTAAGTTGCTGAGGTCATTAGGCCAGACCCTAATTTAATACAACTCGTGGACTTATGATATCGTCTAAATGCTTGTGTCCTCCTAAAATTCAATGTTGAAATTCTTACTCTGAAGGTTTAAGAAAAGCCTCCTGAATGGAATGAGTGCCCTTACAAAAGGGACCTCAGAGAACTCCCTTACCCCTTTCACCATGTGAGGACATAGTGAGAAGGTGCCATCTGTGAATCCGGAAGTGGGGCCTCACCAGACACCAAATCCGCCATGCTTTTAACTTGGATTTCCAGCCTCCAGAAGCGCAAGCAATAAATTTCTGTTGTTTATAAGTCTCCCAGTCTATGGTATTCTGTTGTAGAAGCCTGAAATGGACTAATACACTTTATGAGAAGAGACGATGAGGACACAGACACACACAGAGAGATGACCTGGTGAGGACACAGGGAGAAGATGGTGTCTACAAGCTCTGGACCAAGGCCTCACGTGGAGCCAGCCCTGCTCACAGCTTTATACCAGACTTCCAGCCTCCAGCACTGTGAGAGAATAATGTCTGTTGTTTATAATCCACCCCGTCCATGGTATTTTGTGATACTGTGTCCAAAATTGGTGGGTTCTTGGTCTCTCTGACTTTAAGAACGAAGCCGCAGAACCTCCCAGTGAGTGTTACTTTTCTTAAGATGGTGTGTCTAAAGTTTGTTCCTTCTGATGTTCGGACGTGTTCAGAGTAATTTCCTTCTTGTGGGTTTGTAGTCTCGCTGGCCTCAGGAGTGAAGCTGCAGACCTTCGCAGTGAGTGTTACAGCTCTTAAAGGCAGCATGTCTGGAGTTGCTGGTTCCTTCTGGTGGGTTCCTGGTCTCCCTGGCTTCAGGAGTGAAGCTGCAGATCTTCATGGTGAGTGTTACAGCTCACAAAGTCCAGGGACCCAAAGAATGAGCAGCAGCAAGACTTAACTGTGAAGAGCTAAAGAACAAATCTTCCCCAACCAGGAAAGGGACCAGTAGCCTGCTTTTATTCCCTTATCTGGCCCCACCCACATCCTGCTCATTGGTCCATTTTACAGAGAGCTGATTGGTCAGTTTTACAGACTGCTGATTGGTGTGTTTACAATCCCAGAGCTAGACACAGAGTGCTGATTGGTGCATTTACAATCCTCTAGCTAGACATAAAAGTTCTCCAAGTCCCCACTAGATTAGCTAGACACAGAGCACTGATCAGTGCATTTACAAACCTTGAGCTAGACACAAAGTGCTGATTGGTGCATTTACAATCGTTTAGCTAGACACAAAAGTTCTTCAAATCCCCACAGACTCAGGAGCCCAGGTGGCTTCTCCTAGTGGATCCTGCGCCGGGGCCTCCGATGGAGCTGCCTGCCAGTCCCACGTGGCATGCCCGCACTCCTCAGCCCTTGGGGGGTGGATGGGACCAGGTGCCACAGAGCAGGGGGTGGCACCCGTCAGGGAGGCTCACGTGTGCGGGAGCCCATAGTGGGGCAGACTCCAGCATCCCGGGCTGCTGGTCGGGAGCCCTGCCCCGAGGGGAGGTTGCTGAGTCTCTGCGGGAATTTGAGCGCAGCAGTGGGCCGGTAATGCTGGGGGACCCACGCAGCCTCCGCAGCTGCTGGCCCAGGTGCTAAGCACCTCACTTCCCAGGGCTGGCCACCCTAAGTGTGGGGTCTGCCGAGCCAGCGCCTACACAGAACTCAAGCTGGCACCAGAGTGCTGCCCACAGTCACGGTTCCCGCTGGCGCCTCTCCCTCCACACCTCCTGGCAAGCAGAGGGAGCCAGCTCCACCTCTGTCAGCCCAGAGAGGGGCTCCCACAGTGCAGCGGTGAGCAGAAGGTCTCCTCAAGCACAGCCAGAGTGGATGCCCAGGCCAAGGAGGTGCTGAGCGAGTGAGGGCTGCTAGTACATTGTCACCTCTCAATAGCAGCCTGAAATGGACTAAGCCATCTCATAAGAAGAGGGGATAAGGACACATATATGCGGAGTCGACCCTGTGAGTACAAGGGAGACTGTGGTGTTGGCAAGCCCAGGATAGAGACCTCAGGAGGAGCCAGCCCAGCCCACACCTTCCTCTGGGACTTCCAGCCTCCAGGAGTGTGAAAAATAAATGTCTCTTTTTTAAACTTCCCAGTTTGTGGTTCTTTGTTATATAAGCCTGAGAAAAGTAACACAAAGTAATACAAAGCAGATGGTTTTGTGACACAAAATACTAATAGTAATGGTCTTGCTATTAATTAAGGGATCAGAAGGATAGGTATGATTAAAAAGATATTGTTTGATGGTTCAGCTTCCAGATATTACCAGCATGCAGATTTAGAGAACCGGTGTTTTCTTTAGCATTTTGGTCCCATCTTTTATAAGAGGCAGAGTTTCCAAAGAGGGATAAAGAGGATGAATGGGAGGAAAAAGAGGGGAGCATGAATAATTGAGAAAAAAGCTAAAGCTGACAGAAAGGAGATATAAGGATAATCTATAGTTCAACTCTGTTCTTAAAACTGGATAATTGAGCTATTTTCCAAATGCAATATTACTTATACATAATGGAGAAAAACAAGAAAAATTGTTTTCCAAGATTAAGTGGCATTCCTAATTGCCCATAAAAAATTACAGATCACTTTTGTAGATACCAGGATACCATACCACCCTTCACCCACAATTTGGGACATACTACTTATAATAGTTGACAGCTTTAATATCATTTCAGCTACCAGGATCTAATTTGTCCGCCTGGGATAATTTTTCCCTAGAGAACAGATGGAAAATGCGAGTTTCACAAACAGTAAATAATTCTGTGAGCCTCTTTGAAAACTCACTGAACTGATGCTTCCTCTGCAACATTGCTACCTTCAATTTTACTGATAGTAACTTTTGAAGCTGGATATTCAAACCTACATGCCATGTTATACTTTACATGGGAAACGTGGGGAGCGAATAATTTCATTTATAAGTTAATATTTACTGAAAAATGAAAATGTATGGTCCTAGGTCAACAATTGCTATCCTCAGTCTCACCTGCCATTAACGAAGGGATCAGCAGGATGAATACTATAAATATTGTTTGATGTTTCAGCTTCCAGATATTACTAGCGTGCAGAGTAAAATATTTTTTACTGTTATCTTTAACAATACATTTTTTAAAACTCTAATTTAAGTGTGCAATATGTTTTCAAACTTCTACTGCCAGTTTTTATGATGAAAATTTTACACTTAAATTTTATATCTCAGTATTCTATAAGAAGAAAAATAAGAATTAAAGATAAGGCAGATAAGAAAAGGCATAAAATCAAAGATTTGTGATTTACTTTACTTAAAACTGCTCAGGAAATGGAATTATACAAATACTAACATATATTGTCTTGTATTAGCTACTGTAACAAAATACCATAGACTGGGAGGCTTATAAACAACAGACATTTATTGCTCATGTTTTTGGAGGCTGGAAGTCCCAGATCAAGGTGTGGTAGATCGAGTGTCTGGTGAAGGATTCCTGGTTCCTAGATGGAGAGTTCTTGCTGTGTTCTTACATGGTGGAAGGGGTAAGGGAGAAGGGCACTCCCTTGGTTCACTTTTATAAAGGCACTCTTCATATTCATGAGGCCCCACCCTCACGATCTCATCACCTTCCAAAGGCCCCACCTCCCAACACCATTACCATGGAGGTGAGCGTTCAACACATGAATTTTGGGGAGATACATTCAGTCCATAGCATGTACTCACATGTTTATATGTGTATATGTGTATTCACATTTTGTAGATATATGGAATAAATGTTATGTATATGTGTATATCCTTATGTGTGTGTGTATATAATATATCTAATAAATGTTATGTATATGTGGATGCGCTTATGTGTGTAACATATATATGGTATATTCCAAAATATTGCCCAATTTTTATACATAAAAATTATACTGAATTTTACTGAATTATACTGAGTCAAATTTAAAGAATATTTTTCTACATTGTTTAGAATAAATTAAACATTTTACAATTAAAAGAGAGATACATTTTGGTTAACTTAAAATAAAATCTCCCCCAAAGGTGACCTGTATGTGATGTGGGCAGGCTTGTGGGAAAACACATATCTTTGGCACAGATTTTTCTTTCCACATGGTTCTGCATACACTGCCACTGAGCCCAGAGATACTTGGTCTTGCTGGTATACCAATGGATTATCTCTAAAAACTCCATTTCTCTAACTCTTTCCTTGAGAGCAAGGAAGGTCAGCTATCTGTTTTTCTGTTTGCTGGTTGCTTTTTCAGTTCAATGATACCATAAATAACCATGAAAGATCCCAGGGCTCATTAGTTGTTTGTGTGATTTGTAGGGCATTTAAAACCTCCTGCCTGCTATTCCTCCAGATTCTATTTTGGCTATTCTTGGAAGTCAGAAAGTTCGTTTTTCTCTTTTAGTGAAAAGCTCTATCAAAATCCTTTTACATGCAGTTTTCCATTGTAAGACCAATAAATGGTAGATTTATTATTCTATCCATTTTTTCCCAGCACAGCTTCAACACAAAACAAAGTTGTACCACAGTTAACATTAAAGCCACATGACTATTTTTGGGAAAACTGCAGAATATCTCTTTCAGACCTTATGGGTGAGATGGGAAGGGACGAAGTAGTTTTCTGTTTTGTCAAAGGGAGATTTTCTTTACAGAGACATTAGATCATTCAAATCAACCATTTTGGAACACTGAATTTCCTTTTAATGAAAAACAAGTTTTTGTTTATTTTCAATGTTAACTGATGTGGTAAATGAATGTTTTTGGCATCCCCTTTGGGCAAAGTGGAAGACTGGCACATGGTACCAGTAAGTGAATTAATAAATGATTTTTAAAATGTAAATAAGTAAATAAATTAATCCAGAAACATCATTATCTGTCAATGTTCCTGTTAATAAATCTTCAACAACCATATGTTAACTGAAGCCAATGCAGAATTATTCTCTGGGGAAATTTTTTTCCCCACCAGACATATCCGCACCCCCTTTTCTTGCAAGGTTGTGATTAGATGCAACATTTTGCTGGATAATTCCATATTCTTGAGAAGACACAATGCTAATTTTT
Organism: Homo sapiens; assembly: GCF_000001405.40. Classification (NCBI taxonomy): domain Eukaryota; kingdom Metazoa; phylum Chordata; class Mammalia; order Primates; family Hominidae; genus Homo; species Homo sapiens. The sequence goes on from NC_000024.10 coordinate 11,883,238, forward strand.
GCTGTCTTCATTGTCATCAATATCTGGAGTATGGTCTTCCTGAAGATGCTAACTTTGAAATTTCTACTCTTAAATCTTCTTTAGACTTCAAGGTAAACTACATCAGTAATGAAGGATTATATGAGGGATACTCAGCCCCTCTATATATGTATTCTAAATTTTACCCTGGAGTTAACTCATAGCATTAAAAAGCCTCAGAGCTAAGAAACAACTTCAGATATGGAATTCAATGTTTCTAAGACACTCTGGCACCAAATAAGACATTTGTTTTGCAAAGCTTAAGCTACCTGTAGTTGGATATTTACTTCAATTTGAAAAACATTATTTAAACATCTAAGGAACTTGCTGGTTTTGGGACAGGATTCATTAATACGCTGTATGCTGCAGCCTTGGACCATGTTTGCATACATATTATCCTTATATCTGTCTGCCTTAGGGTTTAACATGGTGTTCACTGATGACTTAAATGAGTCTACTTTCATGTCATGGAGTTATAGCCAAGCTAAATACAGAGACAAACATTTATCCTAGTGTTGGTGGAATTCTACATACCAGTGTGCCCATGCACACACACACACACACACCACTCTCCTTTTTAGGTACTCTGTCTTACAGGAATCTCTCTGTGACTTTGTCATTGTGGCAATTGGGAAAATAGAATAATTGATATGGTAATTTAGGAAGATCAACAGTAGCATCAGTTGATCAAAGTATCTCCCATTTCCAAATTAATCTTTGCCCTTGAGCAGAGAAGAAATGCTCCTTACTGTTTTCCAACTGCCTCATTCCCTGCCAGGCATAGCATAGAAGAAATGCTCTTTAGTGTTTTCCAACTGCCTCATTCCCTGCCAGGCATCTTGATCCTAAGTCATGGTATCTTGAGGAAAAACATGAGAGCTTGCTTCACGGGCTGAGGTCATACTATGAATAACACAATTATTAGGGTGAATGTAATTGGAGGTAAGAAATGCATTGAGAAGAATCATTTATCCTCAGACTTCCAAGGTGCAGAAGTGATAAAAATATGAGTAGTAGAACATTCTTCAGTTAAACATGGTCCCATACATAAGGAACCTATTCAGACATACTCATGCCCTGTGCTGTCTGAGTCACTCAAGCACATGTTTGCTTTTCAGAATCAGGAGAAGGAGCCAGAATGGAAACTCCTGAGGGATAGTTTCCTGTTTAACATTCTTATCCAAGACAATCTTCCTAGCTGCTAAGTCTGTAGATAGCTCAGCAGTTGTGGTGCTCATATCCATTCGTTCATGGGTAGGGGTGATGTGCCGATGCTCTTCCAGGCAGAATACTCAATGAAGGTGATAAGGGAGTGAACAAAATGAGCCAAGCAGGCTCCTGGAATACATGGTCTAGTGGAGGCAGATAGTTATAAAAAATCAGGCAAATAGCTGTATCATTATAGACTGTGGTAGATAGTATGAGGGAAATAAATATGATGCCAGCAGAAATTGTAACAAAGGGAATGAACTAGTTCAGGAGGTCACAGATAAATTCTACATGCTCCAAAAAGAAGACAGAGCAAGGCAAAGCATCTGCAGCAGGAGTAGGTAGGACTAGAGAAAATCTAGGTTTTCAGGGAAGGTGAAGAGTAGAGAGAAGTGTGAGCCAAAACCAGGCAAAGCAGGACATCTTGAGGGCCATCAAAAATGACATTCATTGTAAGAGCAATGGCAAGTAATTAAAAGAATGAGAGCATGCCTGTAATCCCAGAATTTGAGAGATCAAGGCAGGTGGATCACCTAAGTTCAGGAGTTTGAGACTAGCCTGGTCAATATGGTGAAATCCTGTCTCTACTAAAAAATAACAAAAAATTAACCAGGCATGGTGGCATGTGCCTGTAATCCTGGCCACTTGGGAAGCTAAAGCAGCAGAATCAGTTGAACCTAGGAGGTGGAGGTTGCAGTGAGCTGAGATTGTGCCACTACACTCCAGCCTGAGCAACAAGAGTGAAACCTCCTTGAGATGCAAAATACATACATAAATAAATAATAAATAAATAAATAAATAAATAAATAAATAAATAAATAAAATAAAAGGATGAAGGAAGGAGGAACACCATGAGTAGAGAAGAATTTGGAAATAATACTATGGCTACAGAGTGGAGAATATAGATCAGAGCTGGTCTACAGGTGACCACTTAGGAAGCAGATAAAGTGTCCAGATAAGAGGCCAAGGTAGTTTCCACCAGACAGATGGTGACAGAAATGGAGAAATGCAGTCAAATGAGAAACATCTATGAGTACAGGAGCTAGATTGATTACAAGGGGAAAATGAAGATCTCCAAGTTCCTGGCTTATGGAACTGGACATGAAAGGCTGGGACACAAGTTTGTTCTTTGTTCTTGTGTTAGTGTGTTTTATGTTACTACGGAGGCTGGATGGTTTAAAGAAAAGAGGTTCATTTGGCTCACAGTTCTGAAGACTACAAGAAGTTTGGCACTGACATCTACTTCTGGGGAGGACTTCAGGCTGCTTCCCATCATGCCAGAAGGCAAGGGGAGCTGGTGTGTGTACAGAACACATGGCAAGAGAGGAAGGCAGATATAGATACCAGGCTCCCTTAAACAACCAGCTCTCATATGAGCCAACAGAGCCAAAACTCACTCATTACCAGGGAATGGCACCAAGGCATTCATGAAGAATCCACTCCATGACTCAAACACCTCTCACTCAACTCTACCTCCAACATTGGAGATCAAATTTCAACATGAGATTTTGAAGGGAAAAATACCCAAAGTGTATCAGGCATTGATAAGCGTAATGATCTTTGAGATAGCTGAGAGGAAATGTTGGAAAGACTTGAATATATGGGTCTGGAGTATGTAGAGAAGACATGAACTGGAAACATACATTTGGAGTGACTGACCTGCACACATTGATAGAAGTCAGGGGCAGAGATGGAAAAACTTACAAAAGGTGCATAAAATTACAGGAAATAGTCCAGGGGAAAGTTTTGACGTGCTCCAACATTCAATTGTCTGTTGAACAGTGAAGGTCAAATGCATCCTACGGATTGAGTGATTTAATTGAATTATGGTGAGCTTGCAGAGAGCTGTAATTAAGGGAGAGTTATAGGATAAATTTCAGACTGAAATTGCCTTTGCAATATTATAACTGAGGAAATTGTGACAGTGAAAGAGATAGACCTAAATGACTCCATTTTGCTTCTAACCTCTAAGTTGTGCTTGTTCATTTCTCGGCATAGACTGAACTAATTTTGGGAAGGAATTTACTTCATGGTTTGACTCTGAAACAAAATTGAAAACAACCCTTTCCCCAAAAAGAAACACTTCTTGACGGGGACCAGCCTGCCTTTGCAGGAAAAACAAATTAGCTGCAAGATTAGAAATTATAATTTAGGAGTCATGCAGCAGTGGGCTGTAAGAGTCTGAACCTCCCCACATTGCTTCTGGGGATAACATTACTATTGTAAAACCTGAGATCAGTGCTTGAGATATTTTGCAGACCCTACACTTAATGAATCAGTTGATACCACCCAGACTAGTAATCTGGCTCAACCAGTTCTGCCCTCCCACCCAGGAACAGAAAACAGCAAGAAAACCTCACTTTGACCTGGTACAATTCCATCTCCAACCTGAACAATAAGCACTCTCCAATTCCCAAGGCCCAACCCACCAAATTATGTTTAAAAACTCTAATCCCTAAATGCTTAGGGAGACTGAATTGAGTAATAATAAAACTCTTGTCTCCCACACAGCTGACTCTGCATGAATTACTCTTTCTCCATTGCAATTCCCCTGTCTTAATAAGTTGGCTCTGTCTAGGCAGTAGGCAAGGTGATCCCATTGGGTGGTGACAGGATTAGAGTTAGTCAAAAATGAGGGAAATGGAGACTTCAAGTATCCACAACTCGAAGAATATTGCTGATATTCATTTCACTGGGCAACCCACTCAGGTCCCCTTCCTCACTGTGAAAGCTTTGTTCTTTCACTTTTCACAATAAACCTTGCTATTACTCAAAAAAAAAAAAAAATTCATTTCATCCATGTTTCCACATCACCTTATGTCATCTATATATGGTAACACATATCATCTTATATCATCAGAAAGACAATACTGCGTCTTATTACTTTGCTTACCTGTATATATTATTGATGAAAAGAGTCAAACTTTGTAAAATATTTAAAGAGATTTATTCTGAGCCAAATATGAGTGGACAATGGTCAGTGACACAGCTGTAGGATATCCTGAGAACATCGCCCAAGATGGTCAGGCTACATCTTGGTTTTATACATTTTAGGGAGACATGAGACATCAATCAATACATGTGAGATGTACACTGATTCAGTCTGGAATGGTTGGACAACTGGAAATTGTGGCTTCAAGTTTATAACAGGAAGATTCAAAGATTTTCTGATGGGCATTTGGTTGAAAGCACTTGCCTAAAGACTTGGAATCAATAGAAAGGAAATGTCTGGGTTAAGATAAGGGTTGTGCAGACCAAGGCTATTGTTATGCAGATGAGGACTTCAGATAGCAGGATTCAGAGAGAATAGATTGTAAATGTTTCCAATCAGACTTAAAAAGCTGTCAGCCTCTTAGTTGAATTTCTCCTGGATCAGGAAAAAGTCCTGGAAAAGGGAAAGAGATTCCCTATAGAATGTAGATTTTCCCTCATAGGAGACAGCTTTGCAGGGCTATTTCAAGATATTGCAAATAAACATATTTGGGATTAAAATAGTTTGATTTCCTTTCCCAGTACTTTAGGAGGCTGAGGCAGGTGGATCTCCTGAAGTCAGGAGTTGGAGAACAGACTGGCCAACATGGTGAAACCCCATCTCTACTAAAAATACGAAAAAAAAAAAAAAAAAAAAAAAAACACATTAGCTAGGTGTAGTGGTGGGCACCTGTAGTCCCAGCTACTTGGGAGGCTGAGGGAGGAGGATCACTTGAACCAAGGAGGAGGAGGTTGCAATCAGCCAAGATTGTGCCACTGCACTCCAGCCTGGGTAGCAGAGTAAGACTCTGTCTCAAAAAATAAAAAAAAAAGTATCTGTCTTATGATATTATGCCAGAGTCAGGTTGGAAAGTAAGCCATGTTTTATAGGGTTAAATAAAACCCCTCTTATGAGACTTTATGATTAGTAGGGCATGACTCCTAAGACCTCTAAGATAGGAATTTGTGGAAGAGAAGAGAAAAGGTCAGAGTTCATCCTCTATACAGTTTCAATTTAGTAAGAAATTGTACATTACATTTCACTGACTGAAGTGCCATGCACATCCATGTGAAGAGACCACCAAACAGGATTTTGAGTAATAAAGCTTTTTAATCACCTGGGTGCAGGCAGGTTGAGTCCAAAAAGAGTCAGCAAAGGGAGATAGGGGTGGGGCCATTTTACAGGATTTGGGTAGGTAATGCAAAATTACAGTCAAAGGGGGTTGTTCGCTGGTGGGCAGGGGCGGGGGTCAGAGGGTGATCAGAGGGGGAGCTTCTGAGCCAGGAGAAAGAATTTCACAAGATAATGTCATCAGTTAAGGCAGGAACTGTCCATTTTCACTTATTTTGTGACTCTTCACTTGCTTCAGGATATCTGGATGTATATGTGCAGGCTTGGGCTCAGAGGCCTGACATTCTTCTCTTCTTATATTAATAAGAAAAATAAAATGAAATAGTGGTAGAGTGTTGGGGTGGCAAAAATTTTTGGGGTGGTATGGAGAGATAATGGGCGAAGTTTCTCAGGGGTGCTTCAACGGGAATTGGGGGCGGCATGGGAACATACATTAGGAGAGATTAAGTTGAGAGAAGATTTTGTGGTAAGGGGTGATATTGTGGGGTTGTTAGAAGGAATATTTTTCTTATAGAATGATTGATGATGGCCTGGATATGGTTTTGTATGAATTGAGAAACTAAACAGAAGACACAAAGTCTGAAGAAGCGAAGGAGAAAAACAGATCTAAGAATTGGGAGAACCCAGGACATCCAGTCAGAGTGCCTAAGGGGATTCAGCATGATTATTTGCTTGGTTGGTGAGTTTTGGGCTCTATCCTTGCATTTTTTATGTTTTCATATTAGAAGACAGATTGATTTAGGTAAAAAAAAATACTCTTCATTTAAAAATATACGGAGTCCTCCCTTTTCAGCAGTGAGTAATTCATGGCCTCGGGAGTTCTGGAAGACAACGGCAGCTAGAAAGTCAACTTTGGCCTGAAGGACTGATAAAGTTAGTGATATGTCTGTGATGCTAGCACAGAAGTCATTAGAGAGGCTATGGAAAGTTGTGACAGAGATTGAAATGCCTGCTATTCCAGTACCGAGAGCAATAGTGGAGGCAGAAAGTCCTAAACCCACAAGCAAGGGAATTGGTGGAATAACCTTTTTGTAATGTCGCTGTCATGAAGGGAACAGGAAGCTCTTTGGTTCCATTTGCAAATTAAATTCTGGGAGTAAGAATAACTAGTGTGAATGTGCCTGTCCAATTAGGAGGTAGACACGTCTAGGTAGAGGATCCACAGAGGAAGAAGAGACCTTGTGCAAGGCAAAACTGGAAATACAAAGTAAAAAGATGAGAAGGAGAACTAAAAGAGGTGTCTTGTACCCAGACTTCTAGGGATCCAGCTAACGCGGCAGCAGTCAGAAGTTGTAATGGGGACTGATGGGGTAACTGTGTAAAGGGAGATGTTTGATTTTCATGGTGTATGAGAAAACATCAAGTGTTTACTAGCAACCTTTACTGTTATTTACAGAGCTGGGTATAAGTAAACAAGAAGAGGGCCTGGGAGGAGAGTCTGATGAGCAAGGGGAAGGTAGCCAAGGATGGAGTGAAATACAGTGTAAGTGTCTTCCTAAGCAATAATTACTGCTAATGTTTTTAAGTTTGACAGTATTTGATAGAGGGCTTATCGGTAATGTGGATACAGAAGGCTCCAATTGTTTCAGTGAAGTGTGTAGTTGGTCTTTGGAGCTGAAGAGTGAAGGAACATCAAGAAGGTGAAAGGTTACCCAGGGGAATTCCAGTGGGTCTTTGCTGAGAGATACATAAAGCAGTGTCCACAGGAATAGTAGTTTGTGTTGTGAGGGGTCCAAATATGTGTAAGGGGGGAGTAGAGTTGATATAAAGCGAAAGGTTTTTTAAGTAAGTGTGGAGGAGGGCGGCAGCTTGCTGATGTGAAATGTCTGGGGAGGTTTCACTGGACCTGTCTAGAAAGTAAAGAAGTTCTTCAGGAGGGTAAAAGTGAGGGCTGTTAAAGGAAGTTCAGAGTTATAGGGAGACAGGAGATGTTGTGCAGTCTGTATGTAATGTGGGGACAGCTGTGTAGGTACAGAAAGAAAGGAAAGTGCAAAGCCAGTAATTATTCACTGAGGGATTAGAAATGGCTAGAAGAGAGTGAGTGAGATTGATAGTGTGGTGGAGATAGCTGGGGAGAGGTAAAGGGTGACATAAGAATGGGAATAAGAGTGAGTATAAAAGTAAAGAATACCACTTCATCAGGGGGAAAGTATTGGAGGGTGCCCTGCCAGCAAATATCATCTATCCACTCTAAGAGGGAGTTAAGAGTGGCAGTTTGGGGTTAGCACCAGGAGATATCAGATGTGGTGGCTTGGAGGAACTGTGTAAACCGGCAGTGTAAACAAGAGCAGGACATTTATGAGTAGTTGAGAACAGTGAATAGGAGTATGACTAGACAGAAGATAGTAGGGATGACAAGCTTTTGGGGTGTAGTCGAAGTAGTGAGGGTGACAACATAAAGCTCTGTTGCAAAAAGTAGGGTAAGGAAGAATAGAATTAACAGAATGGAGGGACATATTAGACTCATGAGGGTTATTACTATTCTTCAGAAATGTGGGTGAGTTTAAGGGAAGTAGGGGAGAGTACTTGTGACTTCCAGGAGGAAGAGGAGAGATTAGACTGGCTGTCCAATGAACACAGCTTTTTCTGGAATGGTGGAACCCAGTGGGGAGTATCCTGAAGGCAGATGGCACTTGGGGTAATATAGGTGACTAAGTAGGGTCTGGTCTATCGAGGTTGTAGAGTTTGAGGGGTCAGATTCTTAACAAGAACTGACCGTCCAGCTAAGGTGTCTTCCTATGGCTGGGAATCTGAAGTAGGCAAGAGAAGATTAGCAGCCTGGTGAATTTCCTGTCTAGTCTGCTGGAGGACTGGAAGATAGTCACCTAGAGGGCTGGTGTCTGGGACAAAGTTGGGGCCAAGCAAGAAAATGCATCCATATAAAAGTTCAAAGGGACTGTACCCTGTAGCATGATGAGAGCAAGCTCTAATTCTGAGAAGGACAAGAGGTAAAAGTACTGTCCAGTCCCTTTTAAGTTGGAGGCTGATCTTGGTGAGGTGTGTCTTTAAAAGACCATTAGTCCATTCTACCTTTCCTGAAGACTGAGGATGGTAAGGGATATGAAGTTTCCACTGAATAACAAGAGCCTGAGAAACTGCTTGGGTGATTTGACTAGTAAAGGCCAGTCCGTTATCAGACTGTATAGAGGTGGTAAGGCCAAACCAAGGAATTATGACTGACAGAAGGGGAAAATTACCACAATGGCCTTCCCAGACCCTGTGGGAAGGGCCTGTACCCATCCAGTGAAAGTATCTCCCAGACCAAGAGGTATTTTAGTTTCCTGAGTCAGGGCATGTGAGTAAAGTCAATTTGCCAGCCCTGGACAGGGGCAAATTCTCGAGACTGATGTGTAGGGAAGGAATGGGGCCTGACAAATTCCTGAGGAGTAGTAGAATAGCAGATGGAACACTGAGAAGTGATTTTTTGAGGATAGATTTTTATGATGGGAAGGAAAAGGGAGGTTTTAAGAGGCGGGTTAGTGGCTTGTAACTTACATGGAAGAGGTTATGAAACGACAGAATAGAGTGGGCCTGTGAGGCTGGAAGGAGATATTTTCCTTGGTCTAAGAATCATTTGCCTTGTGTGGGAAGAGATTGATAGGTGGAAGTTTCAGTGGTGGAGTAGGTGGGATTGACTGATGAGAAGGAAAACTGGCCATGAGGGACAGAAATTGGAATACTAACTGCTTCTTTAGCTACCTTATCAGCATAAGTGTTTCCCTGAGCAATGGCATCCGATGCCTTTTGATGGCCCTTGCAGTGAATGACTCCAGCTTCCTTTGGAAATAAAGCTGCCTTGAGAAGAGTTTTTATTAAAGAGGCATTAATGATGGAGGACCCTTGTGTAGTGAGGAAACCTCTCTCAGCCCATATAACAGAATGGTGGTGCAGGATGTGGAAGGCATATTTAGAGTCAGTATAAATATTGATATGCAGTCCCTTTGGAAGAGTGAGGCCCTGAGTTAAGGCAATGAGTTCGGCTTTCTGAGAGGTAGTGGAGGGGGCTAGAGTAGTAGCCTCAATGATAGATGTGGAAGATACTACAGCACAGTCTGCCTTTGCTGGTGAGTGGTGATTAGGCCTGATGGAAATGCCATTAATAAACCAAGTGTGATCAGGGTGAGGAACAGGAAAGAATGAAATATGGGGAAATCAACTGAATGCCAGGTGAATTACAGAGATACGGTCATGGGGGTCAGGTGTGGTATCAGGAATAATGCAGGAGGCCATATTGAAGTCCAGGCCAGGAACAATAGTAATTGTGGAAGACTCAACAAAGAGTGAGTATAGCTGAAGGAGCCAGGGAGCAGAAAGTATATGCATCAGGTGTGAGGAAGAAAATAGCTTTTGGAAGTTACGAGAACTGTAGAGAGTGAGTAGCATAGTTTGTGATTTTTGAGGGCCTCTAAAAGTACTAGGGCAGTGGCAGCTGCTGCATGGAGACATCATGGACAGACTAAAACAGTAAGGTCAAGTTGTTTGCACAAAAAGCCTACAGGGCATCATCCCAGCTCTTGCGTAAGAATTTTGACTTCATAGTCCTGCACTACAGCTGTGTGTAATGAAAAAGGGTTGGGATGAGTTAGAGAGAGCTAGTGTGGGAGTAGCTTTAGGGCTGTTTTTAAGGAATGGAAAGAGGAGTGGTGACAGGATTTAGGATCTATGGCGTCAGCTAGGTTTGCTTTTGTGAGTTTATATAATGATTTATTCAGGATAGTAAAACAAGGTATTTAAAGGCAGAAGAAGCTAACCATCCCTAGGAAGGAAAGGAGTTGTTGTTTTGTAGTAGGGGTAGGTGTTTGGGAGATTAGCCAGACATGATCATCAGGGAGAGCACGTGTGTTCTTATGAAGAATTATGCCAAGATATATAATGGATAAGGAAGAAATTTGAGCTTGACTGAAGAAATGGGGGCTGTCCATGAAGCCTTGCAGCAGAACAGCCCAACTAATTTGCTGAGCCTGATGGGTGTCAAGGTCAGTCCAGGTGAAAGTGAAGAAAGACTGGGATGAAGCATGCAAAGGAATAGTAAAGAAAGCATGTTTGAGACCCAGAATGGAATAATGGGTTATGGAGGTATTGTGAAGGGAGGTATTGAGGATAGGAGAATATATGGGTTTGGCACCATGGGGTGGATAGGCAAAATAATTTGGTTGATAAGGTGCAGATCTTGAACTAAAGTGTAAGACTTGTCTGGTTTTTGGACAGGTAAAATGGAGAATTGTAAGGAGAGTTTATAGGCTTTAAAAGTCCATGCTGTAACAGGAGAGTGATAACTGGCTTTAATCCTTTTAGAGCTTGCTGTGGGATGGGATATTGGCATTGAGTAGGGTAAGAGTGATTAGGTGTTAACGGGATGGTAAGGGGTGCATGATTGGTCACCAAGGAGGGAGTAGAGGTGTCGCATACCTGTGGATTAAGGTGGGGAGGTAAAAGGGGAGGATGGGAAGGAGGCTTTGAACTGGGGAAAAGGGCAGCAGTGAGGTGTGGCTGTAGCCTAGGAATAGACAGGGTAGCAGATAATTTTGTTAAAATGTCTCAACCTAATAAGGGAACTGGGCAGGTCGGGATAAGTAAAAATGAGTGCATTAAAGAATGTTGTCCAAGTTGGCACCAGAGTTGGGGAGTTTTACATGCTTTAGAAGCCTCACCATCAATACCCACAACAGTTATGGAGGCAAAGGAAACAGGCTTTTGAAAGGAAGGTAATGTGGAGTTGGTAGCCTCTGTATTGATTAAGAAGGCAATGGACTTACTCTGTACTGTAAGTTACTGAAAGCAACTTTGATGGTCCAGGGAGCTTCCCAGGTGATCGGGCAGCCTCAGTCTTCAGTGGCTAAGCTGAGAAGATCTGGGAAGGAGTCAGTCAGAGAGCCTTGGACCAGAGTTCCAGGGGCTCTGGGAGTGGCTGCCAAATGAGTTGGACAGTCCAATTTCCAGTGGGGTCCCACACAGATGGGACACAGCTTAGGAGGAATCCCAGGCTATGGGCATTCCATGGCCCAGTGGCCAGATTTCTGTCACTTGAAGCAAGATCCTGATGAAGTAGGTCCTGTAGGAATGTTGACTGCTGTGGCTCAGGCATTTAGAAGTTTTTGTATGCCAGAGGTGCGGCTGGGTTTTGTCTCACATCAGAGGGAAATAATTGCAACTCAGAAATGTGTTGCAGTCTGGTTGCCTCCTCTCTATTATTGTACACCTAGAAGACGAGTTTGATTAATTCCCGTTGTTGGGTTTGAGGGCTGGATTCTAATTTTTGAACCTTTTTTTAAATGTCAGGAGCTGACTGGGTGATAAAATGCATATTGAGAATAAGGCGGCCTTCTGGCCACTCTGGGTCTAGGGCAGTAAAGTGTCTAAGGGTTGCTGCCAAACAGGCCATGAACTGGGCTGGGTTTTTATATTTGATGAAAAAGAGCCTAAACACTTACTGATTTGGGAGAGGATGGATAAGAAAAAGGAACATTAACCTTGACTATGCCTTTAGCTCCATCCACCTCTTTAAGAGGAAATGATTGGGCAGGTGAGGGAAGGCTAGTTGCAGAACAAAACTGTAAGCCAGACCAGGTGTGAGGAGGGGAGGTGATAGAAGGATTATAGGGTGGGGGAGTGGAGGCTGAGGAAGAATTGGAGCCTGATTCAGGCTGGTGGGGAGTGACCTGAGGAGGAGCAGTCTGGGGAAGAGGTGAGAGGTCAGATGGGTCGGTAGAAAAGGAAGATTGAAAAGACTAATTGACACTTGGGGTTGGACTGAGGGGACAGGCAGGAGGGAAAGAAGGATGATTTGGGACAAGCCACACTGGCAACAGAGTAGGGAGGGACCGATGTGTAAAATAATGCCTGGATGTCAGGCTCCACAGACCATTTGCCCATTTTATGACAAGAATTATCTAGATTTTGTAGGATGGAGAAATTGAAAGTGCTGTCTTCTGGCTATGGAACCATTGTCGAGTTTGTATTGGGGTCAAGTGGTGTTTTGGAAGAAAATAAAGCATTTAGGTTTCAGGTCAGGTGTGAGTTGAAGAGGTTTTAAGTTCTTGAGAACACAGGCTAAGGGCAAAGAGGGAGGAATGGAGGGTTGAAGTTTGCCCATAGTGAAAGAGGCAAGCCCAGAGAAAAGAGAGGGTAGAGATATGGAGAGAAGGGGTGGTGGGTACTTGCCCCCCAGGAAAGTGGTACTTGTCACTAAGGTGGAGGATCAAGGTAAGTGCCCCTGGGGTGATCAGACGCCTCTGAAATGTGGGTGAATAATCAGACAAGTGTCCCCACAGTGATTAAACACCAAGGGAAGACTGTCTTCCTGAGTCCATGACCAGCGCCAGAGTTTTGGGTTCACAGATAAAACATGTCTCCTCTGTCTCTGCCAGAAAAGAAAGGAATTGAAATTAAGAGAAGGGAGAGATTGAATGGTGATGCCAAGATTGAAAGGAGAAAGAGGTTTAGGGATAGTGAGAGAGGTTGTAGAAGAGAGTAAAAAGAGGCCGCTTACCCTATTTAAAATTGGTGAGACGTTCCTTAGGCTAGTTGGTCTTAGGACCAGAGGTTGTAGGTGGATCTTTCTCACAGAGCAAACAGCAGGAGGACAGGGGTTTGACCTCCCAAGGGAGGTCCCCTGATCTGAGTCACAGCACCAAATGTCACATGCATCTGTGTAAAGAGACCACTAAACAGTCTTTGTGTGAGCAATAAAGCTTTTTAACCACCTGGGTGCAGGTAGGCTGTGTCCGGGTTTCAGCACCAAATGTCATGTGCATCCATGTGAAGAGACCACCAAACAGACTTTGTGTTAGCAATAAAGCTTTTTAACCACCTGGGTGCAGGCGGGCTGAGTCTGAAAAGAGAGTCAGTGAAGGGAGATGGGGTGGGGCTGTTTTATAGGATTTGGGTAGGTAATGCAAAATTACAGTCAAAGGGTGTTGTTCTCTGGCAGGCAGGGGTGGGGGTCACCAGGTGCTCAGTGGGGGAGCCTCTGAACCAGGAGAAGGAGTTTCACAAGGTAATGTCATCAGTTAAGGCAGGAACTGGCCATTTTCATCTCTTTTGTGATTCTTCACTTGCTTCAGGCCACCTGGTTGTATAAGTGCAGGCTTGGGCTCAGAGGCCTGACATGAAGTACAATCTAGATATCTCTTATCTTCCCCCAAAAGAGTTTTTTTGTTGTTGTCTTTGAAAGCCTGGAACAGAGATAATTAATATGCAAAGACAGATAATGTCAGTTTTCTAAGAATTTCCAAAAGTCACCAAGCCTATGAAAAGCAGAACCATTCCTGAAAACACATGTTCAAAATGTTGGAAAAAGAATTATAATAGATTCCAGAAGAAGTCAGAAGAATCCCCCATGAGCAAAACAAGCCTGTTCAGCTGCTCAGCCTGCATGTGGGACGCAGTTTTATTTCTCTGGATGTCAGCATTTCTCTGCACATAGGCCTAGCTGCAAAAGACATTTCCACCCTCAGCTGGATGAAGGGGCCAGACCACATTGTAGGACATCTCCTCCAGATACTCTGGCCACTGTCCTGGGTGTTCAGTGTGTGGTCAACAGTCAGTCTTCCTGGACAAGGAAAAGGAGAGAGACAGTGTGACCTAGCGAGGTGATAGCAGGGAGGAGTCCCACAGAAGATGGTTACAGACTCTTCTTTCCTGAAGGAACACAGCTAGGTTGAGATTTTACCTAGTGGTCTGTTGGTTTCTCAGAGGCCAATGGAAATGTTGCAGGTGAGAATTTAGCTGCTGCTGGAGGGAGCAAGTTTCTGGAGAGGAAATTGGCCTCCCTTGTGGGGGATAAAGGATGGAAGGAAATGGATCAGAAGTCCCAGGGGCTGGCTGAGGAAGAAGAACTCTAACAGCAGGGCAGGAAATCTGCAGTCAGAATTGCAGTTGGTTTCTCCATTATCTCCTCTCTCTTCCTACTCTTGTTCTATCACTTCCTTGGCCCCAAAGCATCTCTGCCCATCTTTTCCCATCCTTCCCTCCCATGCCCTCTCCTCCCACAGTGCTTGCTCAACATTCTACCCATCCTTGCCTTTCCTTCTCAGAAAAACACTTGTTATGGTTATTTCTTGATGACATGTTAAACAAAGGTGGATTATTCATGCCTCCCCTTTTTAGATAATATAGGGTAACTTCTGGAGGTTGCCATGGCATTTGTAAACTGTCATGGCACTAGTAGGAGTGCAGCAGTGAGGACAAGTAGAGGTCTCTCTCGTGGCCATCTTGAGTTTGGTGGGATTTGGCTGACTTCTTTACAGTAAACTGTTTCATCAGCAAGGTCTTTATAACCTGTGTCTTGCGCTGACCTTCCATCTCCTCCTGTGACTTCTAAGTCTGGGAATACAGCCCAGTAGTTCTCAGCCTCATTTTATCTAGCTCCTATTCAAAATTGATTTGCACTGGGTCACATACCTCTGATAGACTGTAGAAAGTTGAAAAGTTCCTTTTCAAAGCTCATATTGGTTTAAAAATGAAATAATAGATGTTAGAAATAATAGTTCCTTACTCTAAAGCTTCCTATCAACTATTAGTTCTTATGCTTTAGCCCAGTTAATTGCTTTGGCTTAGTCAGGCATGACCAGACAGGCACAGGCAAATCTTAGTTTATAGCTTATGTCCCTTCCTTATTTGAAAATGTTATTGTTTCCTTAAACCTTTGTAAGCAACTTCCTCTCCTACTTTGTCCTCCCTTGCACTTACCTGTTTAGGAAAGTTTTAGGCTATTAGCAAACTGGGTATCAGTTTAAGACTGTGAGGTCCACCTCCAGCCAGTGGACGCAGGACACAGCAGTAAAGACAACCCAAATGTGTAAGGGTTAAATATGTCTGCTTTTTCTTTGCAAACGTGCTCTTGCCATTATTCCATCTGTGATTGAACACCCTTTCTTCAGAAAGTAAAAATTGCCTTGCTGAGAGATCCTTTTTCTCCATGCTGACTTTTCTTTATGGTGCTAATTATCTATTTCTAAACAGACTTATCCTCGGTGAAGTGTCAAGACTTCACAGCTGAAGGTTGCCTGTTCACTCTGATGGTAGTTTCTTTTGCTGTGCAGAAGCTCTTTAGTTTAATTAGATCTCATTTGTCAATTTTGGCTTTTGTTGCCATTGCTTTTGGTGCTTTAGACATGAAGTCCTTGCCCATGAATGGGAGAAAATTTTTGCAATCTACTCATCTGAAAAAGAGCTAATATCCAGAATCTACAATGAACTCAAACAAATTTACAAGAAAAAAAACAACCCCATCAAAAAGTGGGCAAAGGATACGAACAGACACTTCTCCAAAGAAGATATTTATGCAGCCAAAAGACACATGAAAAAATGCTCATCATCACTGGCCATCAGAGAAATGCAAATCAAAACCACAATGAGATACCATCTCACACCAGTTACAATGGCCATCATTAAAAAGTCGGGAAACAACAGGTGCTGGAGAGGATGTGGAGAAATAGGAATACTTTTACACTGTTGGTGGAACTGTAAACTAGTTCAACCATTGTGGAAGTCAGTGTGGCATTTCCTCAGGGAACTAGAACTAGAAATACCATTTGACCCAGCCATCCCATTACTGGGTATATACCAAAAGGATTATAAAACATGCTGCTATAAAGACACATACACACATATATTTATTGTGGCACTATTCACTATAGGAAAGACTTGGAACCAACCCAAATGTCCATCAGTGATAGACTGGATAAAGAAAATGTGGCACATATACACCATGGAATACTATGCAGCCATAAAAATTGATGAGTTCATGCCCTTTGTAGGGACATGGATGAAGCTGGAAACCATCATTCTCAGCAAACTATTGCAAGGACAAAAAACCACACACTGCATGTTCTCACTCATAGGTGGGAATTGAACAATGAGAACACATGGACACAGGAAGGGGAACATCACACACTGGGGACTGTTGTGGGATGGGGGGAGGGGGGAGGGTTAGCATTAGGAGATATACCTAATGTTAAATGAAGAGTTAATGGGTGCAGCACACCACCATGGCACATGTATACATACGTAACAAACCTGCACATTGTGCACATGTACCCTAAAACTTAAAGTATAATTTAAAAAAAAAAGAAAGAAAAAAAGAATTCACAGCTGAGTAGAGAGGTTGTGTGGACTTAGGAAATGTTTCTGGGCAGCTTAAAGGAGCCAGAATAAATGGCCCCCAAATTGCCCTGAGACTCGGGGCTGGCTTTTGAGCCCCTGAGTAATGTTGAACAGATTTTTGCATAGAGATCAATGTCGTCACTTCTTCAGGTTGGTCAAAGGTGAGGAGGATTAGAGGATGAATGCATTTCAAGTCAGAGTCACAGCTCTGGAAGTTTTAATCCTATGAACCTTTAATCTAACTAAGGCAACAGACCCTATTGCTTTAAGACACGGCTCTGAACCCCAATGTTCATGTATGTGCTAGTCTTCTGGGGCTGCCATAATGAAGTCCCACAGAATGGGTGGCTTAAACAAAAGGGATTTGTTTTGTCAGGGTCTTGGAGCCTGGAAGTCCCATATGAAGGTGTGGGCAGGGCTGGTTCCTCGTGAGGCGTCTCTCCTTGGCTTGTAGATGCCATCTTCTCCACGTGTCCTCATGTGATCATCCCTTTGTGTGTGTCTTTTTTCCAATCTCCTCTTCTTACAGGATGCCTTAGTCCATTTTAGGCTGCTGTAATGGAATACCATAGGTTAGGTGGTTTTTAAACAATAGACATTTCTTCTCTCACAGTCCTGGAGACTGGAAGACTGAGATCCAGTTGTGGGCATGGCTGGTTCCTCCTTAGGCATCTCTCCTGGGCTTGTAGACACCATCTTCTCCCTGTGTCCTCACAGAGTTATTCCTCTGTGTGGGTCTGTGTCCTCATCTCCTCATCTTATGAGGTGTCTTAGTCCATTTCAGGCTGCGATTACAGAATCCCATAGACTGAGTGGCTTGTAAACAACAGACATTGATTCTCCCACAGTCCTGGAGGCTGGAAGTCCAAGATCAAGGTGTGGGCAGGGGTGGTTAGTCCTGAGTCCTCTTTCCTGGGCTTGGAGACACCATCTTCTCCCTGCATCCTCCCAGGGTTGTCCTTCTGTGTGTGTCTGTGTCCTCATCTCCTCTTCTTAAAGGACCCCAGTCATATTGAATTAGGGCCCAATCTAATAACCTCATTTTACTTTAATTACCTCTTTAGATACCCCATTTTCAGATATAGTCACACTTTGAGGGTTAGGGCTTCAACATATAAATTTTGGAGGGACTCAATTCAGCCCATTGCAGTGGACTAATGCCAGCTCAGTACTTCCCAAGCTCTGCAACCCTGGTTCGTTGTATGCATTCTCAAAGCCCCTTTTTCCTTATTTGTAAAATGAGATTACTCATGTCAATGAATTTAACTCCATAAAACTGTTTGGAAAATTCCTGGATATTAGCAAATGCTCAATATATGTTAGCCTTTATTACATTATTAATCAATATCTTCCACCACTTACACGAGCTTGGTGGGAATGTAAATTAATACAATCTCTGTAGAAAACAGTATGGAGATTTCTCAGAGAGCTAAAAATAGAGCTACCATTTCATCCAGCAATCCTACTACTGGGTATCTACCCAAAGGAAAATAGATCATTATATCAAAAAGATACTTGCACTCATATATGTTTATCACAGCACTATTGACAATAGGTAAGTCATGGAATCAACCTAAGTGTCCATCATTGTAGGACTGAATAAAGAAAATGTGGTACACATATATTATGGAATACTATTCAGCCACAAAAAAGAATGAAATCATGTCTTTTGCAGCAACACAGATGGAATTGGAGGCTACTATCTTAAAGTGAAATAACTCAGAAACTGAAAGTCAAATGCTGCATGATCTCTCTAGTAAGTGGAAGCTAAATAATGTGTGCACATGTACATGAAGATGAAAATAATAGATACTGGGGACTCCAAAAAGGGTGAAGGTGGGAGGGGAGTGAGGGTTGAAAAACTACCTGTTGGGTACAATGTTCACTGTTTGGGTGATGGGTTCACTAGAAGCTGAACCTCACCTTTGCATAATATATCCATAAAAGAAACACAAACATGCACCACCTGAATTTAAAAAATTATAAAGGCAAAAAAAACCCCACAATATTGTATTTTAGTTTGTTTCTTTTTGAAAACATAGTTAGATGCTTTTTCCTAAAATGTCACTGGATTTCAAAAACTTACCACACACAGAAAAAATAAAAAATTCTTCCAAATGCAAGTAAGTCAGCTTCTTCCTGGTGAAACAAGCTTCTACCTGGTGAAAGAAGCTTTCTCATTGGAATTTTCCTTGTAGCTATCTATCCGGAGAAGAGTTTTGGTGTATGATATGGTTTGGATCTATGTCCCCATTCAAATCTCTTGTTGAATTGTAGTCCCCACTGACTGCATGGTCGCATCCCCTGGAGGGTTTAAAAAAGAATCCAGTGGCAGGTTCTGCTCCTGGAGATTGTGACTTACGTGCGGTGGGCTGGGGCACAGCTCCTCAGTGTGGTCCATAGGCTCATAGCATCAGCACCACGTGGGAGCTGTTGGAAATGCAGAATTTTGGGTCCTAGCCCCAACCTCCCACACCAGAATCTTCATTTTAACAAGATCCATATATACATTGAAGTTTCTGAAGCATTGGTTGTGGGTGATGTCTCATATCTTTCTAGTTTGCTTTTTCTTTATGAATAAAGCCATACATACTGAAATTAGAAAGTATAAATTTTATATTAGGACACCCTTCACAGGCAATCCATCCATGAAACACATTCACCTCAGAAACTCTTCATATGCCTAAATATGACATACACACTTAATGTTTGAAAAAAGATTTATTTAGTGGCTACTTGCTCTCATAGGCCTTTAATTTAATGCTGGATAAATTTGGAGCCAAAAAGGAAACTTAAACCTCCTTTAAAGTAAATTCTCCACCTGCTCATCATTTTTTGTTGTTGCTGTTAATTCTAAACCAAAGCTAAGCCCCCAAAGAATGTCTCCTCTAATTCCAGGGGCACCATGTGGTATCTTAGAAAGAAATTATATGTTAACAATTTGCAACCACAGATTCCCAGATAACCAGTAACTGGAAGAATAGGCATAACTCACAAAGAATGAAGAAAAATGGAGATGTTCTTTCAGCAAAAGCTTTATTTTTTTATTTTGGAAATTGGCTTCCTTATTTTGGCATTTTTCTTTCTAGATGTGGAGCAGCAGAATGATGGCTGCTTGTCACGTGCTTCATTCAATTTTAAATGCTTCTGATCATAATATTTGTGTTTAACCACCACTATTTTCTTCTTTTAATCTACCTGCATAATGACAGCTCAAATATGCATTTGCTCTAAATTGTTGCAGTTTTCAAGGTCTTCGCTAAAATTATGTAAGTAGGTACACTTGCTCTTCTTTATTGGTTACTTTAAGAAGATAACAGTCTTAGGCACTGACATACTATAAATCATGTTTATCTTCTTTTCCATTCACCTCTCTTCCCTTTGGAATAACCATGCATCATTTGCCTACTCAGTTAAAATGCTATATGCTTGCACTGATGGCATATTCTGTTATAGTAAAATAAATGCAGATTTTTCTTCTGTAAGAAGAGTTCAAATAAAAACATCTTTAAAAATGTCGATTTTTTTCCCCTTGGTATATAGTTGGATAAAAATCCAGAGGGTTTATAGATCACCAGAGGTTACTTCTGACTTCAGAGTCAAAATAAGGAAGTTTGAATCTTTTGAATTAATGTCACTTTTATTTCCCAAATGTGAGTCATGTAATAGTTTGCAAATGCAAAGAAATGTATTCCAAAACCACCAGAAAACATGAAGCTGCAAGTGATCAAAGGAGGATAAGATTAATACTTTAGCATACCATATGTTGATGAATTTCTAAAAATACATTCTGTCTGCATTTCTAATTTCAAATAAAATCTTCTGTTTCCTGTGGGCACAAGGGATCATCTGTGAATCTTCTGACCCAGGGAAGAAGGAAGACGCAGCTCATGGCTAAAGCTCAGGAATCTCACTTGACCTTGTTAGCAGTTCCTAACAAAGTGGGATTTGAAGAAAACAGGAAAGTCATCCCAGTAATATATACTGTTCAAATATTGTGACCCTACCTATCCAATTTTATTATTCACATAAGTTGGTTCACACACTTCTATAAAGCAGTTCAAGTCTTTAATGAATATCTACAGCTACATATATCTATACATACACACACATACATACGTGCATCTACATCTAGATGAGTATAAATGCATGCACATACATGACAGATAGATGGTGGATAGAGAAGTAATAGGTATATAGATAATAGATAAATTGATAATAGATGATAAATCGATACACACATGATATAACAGAATACATGATAGAAAAATAGAGGATAGGTAGAGAAAAAATAGATGAATGGATAAATAGATGATGAATGATATATAGATAGAAAGATAGATAATACATGAATGGATGCATGGAAGATAGCTGAAGAGATGGAATAAATATATAATGGATAGCTTGGTAGATGGATGTGATAGATACATAGATGATAGATAAATAGAAAATGGATAGATAGATGAGAGGTAGATAATAGATAAAGAAATACATGATAGAATAGATACACAATAGCTAGATGCATAGACACACAGTCACACATATATGTATACATACATGAACACACACACACATATAGATGCTAAAGGGGCAGATATTTGGAGTCATAGGAATCCACGTATCTTTTACTTCTCAAAATGAAAATGCTCTATATTAGGATTGTCAGGTCTAGCAAATGAAAATACAGAATGTTCAATTAAAAGTGAGTTTCAGATTAATGGTGGATTATTTTTAGTAGAACTTATTAAATATGTAGGATGTACTTACAATATATTTTTTAAATTATTTTTTATCATAAATCCTAAGTTAAACTGAAGTCTTATATTTAGTCCTGCAACTCTAATACATACAGGCATGGTGAATCTTCAATGCCTCAGAAGGCAGGTGTTGGAAAGCAAGGTGGCTCATGCCTGTAATCCCAGTACTCTGGGAGGCCAAAGTGGGTGGATCACCTGAGGTCACGAGTTCAAGACCAGCCTGGCCAGCATGGCAAAACTCCATCTCTATTAAAAATCCAAAAATAATTAGCCTGATGTGGTGGTGCACACCTGTAATCCCTGCTACACAGAAGGCTAAGGCAGGAGAATTGCTTGAACCTGGGTGGCAAAGGCTGCATTGAGCCAAGATTGTGCCACTGCACTCCAGCCTGATGACACAGCTAGATTCTGTTGAAGGAGAGAAAGAAAAGAAAGAAAGAAAGAAAGAAAGAAAGAAAGAAAGAAAGAAAGAAAGAGAGAGAAAGAAAGAAAAAAGAAAGAAAGAGAGAGAGAGAAAGAAAGGAAGGAAGGAAGAAAGAAAGGAAGGAAGGAAGGAAGAAAGGAAGGAAGGAAGAAAGAAAGAAAGAGAGAGAGAAAGAGAGAGAGAAAGAGAGAGAAAGAAAGAAAGAAAGAAGAAAAGAAAAGGAAGGAAGGGAGGGAGGAAGGAAGGGAAGGAAGAAGGAAAGAAAAGAAAGAAAGAAAGAAAGGGAAAGAAAGAAAGGAAAAGGGAAGGAGGGAGGGAGGGAGAGAGGGAGGGAAGGAGGGAGGGAGGGAGGAAGGAAGGAAGGAGAAAGAAAGTAAGAAAGAGAGAGAAAGAAACAAAGAAAGAAAGAAAGAAGAAAGAAAGAAAAAGAGAAAGAAAGAAAGAAAGAAAGAAAGAAAGAAAGAAAGAAAGAAAGAAAGAAAGAGAGAAAGAGAGAGAGAAAGAAAAAGGAAAGAGAGAGAAAAAGGAAAGAGAGAGAAAAAGAAAGGAACAGCAGGTGTGTATAGGATGGCACATGCCTGGGAGGAGAGATGAGTAATTGGAGACTTAGAACTGCAGGAACAGGCTTGGTGTGGAGGAACCGGCTGTCCCCACAAAGGACGAGGTAGACATTCTGGGAACTTTTGCCCACCTGGTCACTTGGCCCAGAGCTGGGCTTGCTACTGGAGCCATGTTCAGCGGATCATGGCTGTCTCTCCACTTGCTAGAGAAACAGTCGCTGTAGAATAAATTAATGAGTGTTTCTTGATTCCTAAGGACAAGTGCGTCTTGACTAGTTTATCTCTGGGTGTCCTGCAGCCCTATTTTTTTCTGTCTACCTTTTCTTTCTAAGCAGGCCTTTCCTTTTGTCACCTGCCTTGCCTCAGCAATCTAGTGCTCTTCATGCATTTGCTTATTTAGAAAAACAAAGTTAAAAAAATTTCTTATGAATGGCTTCCACTATTGCAAACATGCTCTCATTGAGTTTTGTTGGGCTTACCATTGCTGTCTTCTTCCCTTTTCCCTTGTCTCACACATCTAAAAGGATGATAGATAGACAGAATAGATACCCTAAAGGCTAGATGGATGATAGATGATAGAGAGTAGATAAATAGATGGATGATAAATAGTTAGGTAGATAATAGGCAGATAGGTAGATGAATTTGAGTGGAGAGTAGGAAGCATTAACATATGAGGAGTGAGTTAATATGAAATTGGGTCACCCCCTCCCATAATTTAGAGAATATCTGATATACACAGAGCCCAGAAGTCCAACAAGGAGACACTTTTGTCTCCCGCACTTCTTTGCATTAAGTATTTGGCACATAACATTGCATTTTATTTGAATATCTATCTATCTATCTATCTATCTATCTATCTATCTATCTTTTGTCTATTATTTATCTGTCTACATTTTGTCATCCATTCATCTATCTATTATCTATCTATCTATCTAGGTATTATTTATTCATCTGTCTATCCATTTATCTATTATCTACCTATCATCTATCTCTCTGACTACATATCATCTGTTTATCTGCTATTTATCATCCATCCATCTAGCTATTATAGCTATAACTGTTCTATCATCCATTTATTCATCTATTATCTACCATTTATCTATCATCTATCTATCCATTATCATTCCATCTACTTATGTATCCATCTTTCATCCATTCATTCATCCACTATGTATCATCTATGCATCTATCCATCTATTTATTACCTACTTATCTGTCCATTATGTATCTATTTATCAATCATCTATCTACTATCATCTATCCATCTAGCTATAGTGTATCTATTCTATCATGTATTTATTTATCTATTATCTATCTATCCATCTTCTATGTATCTATCTCATCCATCTATCAAGCTATCTGTTATATATTTATTCCATCTATCTTCCATCCATCCATTCATTTGTTATCTTTCTATATATTATCCATCATCTATCCATTCATCTACCTATCTACCTAGCTATCATTTTTTATCTATCATGCATTCATATAGGTATTATGTATCCATTACATCATCTGTGTATCAATCTATTATCTATTTATTATTCATCTATTATCTATATACCTATTACTTGTCTATCATCTATCTGTGATATATGTGCATGCATTTATGCCTGTCTAGATGTAGATGCATGTATGTGTGTGTGTGTATGTATAGCTTTGTGTAGACGTAGATATTCATTAAGGATTTGAACTGCTTTATAGAAGTGCGTGAACCAACTTATGTGAATAATAAAATTGGATAAGGTAGGGTCACAATATTTGAGCAATGTTGAATTCTGTGGGTGACTTTGTGGGGGGAGAATAATATTTCTGCTCTGTATATGTGAAAATGAATTTTGCCTCAAGAAGTTTGTAACCTAGTAGGGTAGAGATACACATGCTAATTCATATATATACATGTACACACATATACACATATATGCATATATACACACATACACATGTATGTGCATATATACACACATACACATACATACATACACATACACCCCATGATCCAAAATGCTCCACCTATTCTGACCCTACCGTATTGTGAATTTTATTTCCATATAAGCTGCAAATCGCCTCTGAGTGCAGACCACAAGCTCCAATATTTCACAATCATGTCATGGCTGGTCTCACAGCTAACACCTTACTTTGGGTCCCACATTCTTCACTGTGCAAGTCATTGCATTCTTTAATTCCCAATTATTTTGGCTTATCAGATGTTCACTGCAATTCTTAAGGTGCGGAGGCTGCATCACCTTGTTTTGGAACTGAACTGAGGTCTGCTCACCCAGTGCAGTAAGACCAGATGTATACAGTGAGGTTTGCAGTGGGAGAAAGGAGGGTGTTTATTTGCAGGGCACAAAACAAGGAGAATTGGGCAGCTCTTGATTAAACCCTGGCCTTCATGATGGCTTCAAGGTATGAATTCTTTAATTCATGGAGGCAGAGGTTACAGGCAAAGTCATAAGTCAATGCATGGAGGTTATATATTGGTTTGACCTAAAATGATGAGAAACCCCAAAGCAGAGGCCTATGGGTCTTAGGTGGATTTAAAGCCTCTCTGATTGTAATTCATGAGCAGGAAAAGCTTTGTCTTAAAATTTGGGATCAGCAGGAAAGACAGTTCATCCTAACCCAGGGCTGTGACACCCAGGCCCTTCGGGAAGAAATTGAGAACAAGGAATGGTGCTCAGAGTGTAACCCCCAGTTCCCCTTATTTGAAGTCTGGAGAGAGGGTGGTAGATCTATTGGGTGGGGGTCTGGGTTTCTGGAAACACAACTCAGAGACACATGCTAAGATGTTATATTTAGTTCTTGTAGGGGAGCCAAGCATCTTGTGACTCTAACTTCTTCCTTGGCAATTGTTTTAAGCTACGATTACCTTCTTGCTTATCAGGCTGCTCATTGACTTCTCAGAGCCAGCTAGATGCCTGGAATTTCCCTCCAAGGAACTCAAGATTTTCCTTCATTTCCATGTCTGGGGAATCCCACAGGCTCCAAAGAGAGGGGTCCTTACTCCATCTCAGGCTCTTCTCTTCTGTGTCTTTCTTGCTTGGTTGCAAAATCTGCAGAGAAGGAAGGTGGCAGGAGGAGAAGGTGCCACCCAGACACCCGAGACAGGCCAGCCACGAGACACCTGAGAAACATAGCAGAAGCTGCAGGCAACTGGCCATGGTGGCGTTGGAGTACAAAGTGCAGTTTGCAGGATTGAGTGTGGAGCACAAGTGTCCTACATAGAGGCGTATATACAAGCAAAGAAATTGCACGTTTGCAATACAAAACATTTTAAAATTTAGAGCAAGGGTTAAATTGATGTGACAGTGTGGTGAGCTCATGGAACACAAGTATTTGGTCAATCACTAGTCTAGGCATTGTCATGCAGGTATTTTCTAGATGAGATTAATGCTGAAATCCATAGACTTTGAGTAAAGCAGATTGCCCACCATGAGGTATGTGGGCCTTGTCCAATCAGCTGAAGACCGAAGGACAAGAAAAGACTGTGGGCCCTGGAGGAGAAAGGAATTTTGCCTCCACACAGAGGACTTTGGGCTTGAGCTGCAGCATCAGTTTTTCCCTGGGTCTCCAGCCTGCTGCTGGTCTACCCTGCAGACATTGGACTTACCAAGTCTCTTTAATCACATAAGCCAGTTTCTTCAAAACTCTGTGTACATGTGTGTAAATAAATATATATGTGTGTGTGTATAAAATATGTATATGTGCATTTATGTGTATATATAGTATATGTGTGTATATATCATATATAGTATATATGTGTATGTATATGTAAATGTATGTAAGTGTATGTATATGTAAATATAAATATATGTATATACATGTATTTATATATTTATATGTATATATTTACATGCATATATATTTATATATACACAAAGACATATATACTTATTTATATACATATACACACAACACATATATATTTATATATGTAACTGTTTATATAGTTATACATATAAACATATATGTGTAAAATATGTATACTAGTATAAACATTTGCATATGTATATGTATACTTATATAAAAGCATATATAACTATATATACAGTTGACCTTTGAACAACGCAGAGGTTAGGGGCACTGACTCCCCGCAGCACAGTAAAAAATCCACCTATAACTCAGTTGGGCATGGTGGCTCAAGCCTGTAATCCCAGCACTTTGGGAGGCCAAGGCAGGCAGATCTCTTGAGCTCAGGAATTCAAAACCAGCCAGGGCAAGATGGTGAAACTTTGTCTCTACTAAAGTACAAAATTAGCTGGTGTGGTGTGCACATCTGTGGTCCCAGCTACTCAGGGGCTGAGTCAGGAGAATCACTTGAGCTGGGGAGGCAGAGGCTGCAGTGAGCTGAGATCACGCCACTGCATTCCAGCCTGAGTGACACAGTGAGAATCTGTCTCAAAAAAAGAAAAAAATCCACCTGTAACTTTTGACTCCTCCACGACTTAACTACTAACAGCCTAATGTCCACCAGAAGATTTAATGGTAACATAAACAGTTAATTTACATAATTTTTTTACATTATATGTATTCAATACTGTATTTTTTTTTTTTTTGAGATGGAGTGTTACCCTGTCACCTAGGCTGGAGTGCAATGGTATGATCTTGGCTCAGTGCAACCTTCACCTCCCAGGTTCAAGCGATTCTTCTGCATTAGCATCCCAAGTAGCTGGGATTAAAGGCATGTGCGACCATGCCCAGCTAATTTTGTATTTTTAGTAGAGATGGTTTTTGCCATGTTAGCTAGGCTGGTCTCGTACTCCTGATGTCAAGTGATCATCTGCCTTGTCCTCCCAAAGTGCTGGGATTACAGGCATGAGCCCCCATGCCCGCCCTCAATACT
Organism: Homo sapiens; assembly: GCF_000001405.40. Classification (NCBI taxonomy): domain Eukaryota; kingdom Metazoa; phylum Chordata; class Mammalia; order Primates; family Hominidae; genus Homo; species Homo sapiens. The sequence continues at coordinate 11,910,260 of NC_000024.10, forward strand.
GTATTCTTACAACACAGTAAGCTAGGGAAAAGAAAATGTCATGTAAGGAAATCATTAGGACGAGAAAATACATTTACTAGTTATTTATTTATGATGTTAGCAAGTATATTCTTTTTTTAAACTTTCATTTTCAATGGATCATCCTAAATGTTTACGTTCTTTTTGTCTTCACATGGAGGAGGAGGAGGAGGATGAAGCAGAGGGGTTGGTTTTGCTGTCTCAGGGATGGCAGAGGTGGAAGAAAATTCACATATAAGTTCAAACCTGTGTTGTTCAAGGGTCAACTACATGCACACACAAACACATTCTATTAGTTCTGTTTTATCCTGAGTAATACATCAGGCAACAGGTGCAATGCACATTAATAGTATAAATTCACATTTCCACTCACTGAGTATCCTTGCAAGTGGTGAAATTACACATTGCACAATTGTTGACCATGCCACATAGGACATGAACATTTATGTCTGTTATAAAACTTATGAGCAGAGAGTGCAAACTGTAAAATGAAACCATTTTCAGAGCTCTGAGTAGCTGGGTTATGCATGTATATGGAAAACCTCACACTGTCAAAGTTAGTAGAAACCCAGGTAAGTAACCAAATGGTCTGAGCCACCAAAACTGTTCCAAATTGGAGGGCAGTTTGTGATTGTAGTGATTCTTTTGTTGGTTGTCAACTTACAGGCCATGCCTTGTCTCTCTTTTTTTTTTCTTTCTTTTTTCTTTCTTTCTCTTTCTTTCTTTCTTTCTTTCTTTCTTTCTTTCTTTCTTTCTTTCTTTCTTTCTCTTTCTTTCTTTCTTTTTCTTTCTTTCTTCTTTCTTTCTCTCTCTCTCTTTCTTTCCTTCCTTCCTTCTTTCTTTTTTTCTTTCAGACAGGGTCTTTCTCTGTCTCCCAGGCTAGAGCACAGTTGTGCAATCATAGCTCACTGCTGCCTTGACCTCCTGGGATCAAGTGATTCTCCCACCTCAGCCTCCCAGGTAGCTGGGAACACAGGTGTGCACCACCACGCCAGGCTAATTTTTTGATTTTTTATAGACAAGGTGTCTTGCCATGTTGCCCAGACTGATCTTTAAACTCTTAGGCTCAAGCTATCCTTCCACCCCAGCCTCCCAAAATGCTAGAACTACAGGCATGAGCAATCATGTCTGGTCTTGCCTTGTCCTTTGAAAAGAAGGAGGAGGCTTCAGGCAAGAAGAAACAGAATAACATAAGATATACAAAACGCAACTGAAAATAGGTTATAAGGAATACAGATTATAAATGAGTGATAGAAAACCAGGGTGATATGATAGTGAGGGCTGACAATGAAATTACATGGATGTACACAGATGGTGATGTGTCTGTACTTTCTGGCAGTCTAAATAAAGAAAGAACATAGTCCTTGACAGTTTTCAATATTAAACAGAAGAAAGAGTGGTGCTATTTAAGAAGCAAACCCTTTTTTGATTCTGGACTCCCATTTTCTTGGGACTTCCTATATATAGAGGAGAGATATATAAAGTGGACACAGCCTTTCCAGGTATTTCAGGATCTGACTCAGTAATCAATTTCACAAGGATGTTTATCAATGCATCATTTGACAGCAGTTGCTGGCAGCTCTTGAAACACAAATACCAAGGCATGGCAGTAATAATCAAATTATCTACAGCCTGGGTGACAGAGCGGGACTCTGTCTCAAAAAAAAAAAAAATAGCTAGTCTGATTGGAATAAGAAGATATGTAATTATGGTTTCAATTTGCTTTTCTCTGATGATTGGTCATGTTGAGCAAATTTTCATATGCTTGTTGGCAGTTTATATGTCTTCTTTTGAAGATTGTGTGTTCATGATTTTTGCGCATATTTTAATACGGTTATACGCTTTTTTTTGGTTGTTGTTATGAGTCACTACCAAGTATAATATATATTTAACCTTTCTAAAGTGTGTTTTATCATTGAACCTGTTTTGAAAGAACCATCCTGTGAGGTTAGGATTCTGTGGACTACCTACTCATGGAGCGAAATTCTGTCCCAGAGTGTGCAGGAAGTTTTTTCATCCTGGAAAAATATACATAGGCAGTAATGAAAAACCTGCCGCATTATTGCTAATAATAATGATAAGTATTATTAGTATTATCATTACTTTATGTTACAGGATATGTATTCATGAAGTACTGGTTGTCTACCAAGTCAAACCTTCTCAGTCTTTGTTCTTTCCCCAGTCAGGCTTCACCAGAATTCCAGGGAATCCAGGCTGGCTGAACTCACTCAATTCTTGGAAGAATTCCTTCAGCTTTCCAGCACTCAGTATCACAAGAGAGAAAGAGCCATCGTTCACCCATAGAGCACGGAAGGAGATGGAGAAATGGCTTCCTTTCTCATCTCCCTGGTGCAGCCTTACAGTTATCCTAAAATCCTCACAAGGCTTCCAGGGTCAAATGTCAGTTGCCACTTTGGCGGCAAACCCAATCATAAATCCTCAAATGGGCTTTTTCTCTTTTCCTGTTTCACGTCCTTCCCTCCACTTCCTGAGCTCTTGCTCCAGGGAAGGAATGGGCTCCAATTCCAAATAAATAATTGCACAGAAACCTCAGTCTCCTCTTCTGCCCTGAGTGCTTCTGTGAGTATAGGTTACCTACAAGATGAATTCTTGGAGACATTAAAAACAAACAAAAAAGAATGCACAGTGTTCTTGGAAACCAGTTCATTGTATTTCTGTAACATCTACAAAATAACATCATCTTTATTCTTAAAATAATAATTCATAGGACCTTTCTGGCTGTTTCTTAACTAGTCTGAGATGAAAATTATAGAAAGAAAAATAGCAACTAGATGTATTCCGGTTAAACATTTGAATTGTGAGAAGAAAGAAAAATGCCTTAGAAATACCTGTCAGAAAAGTGCACACACACACACGCACATACACACACACACACACAAACACAAACACACACAAACACACACATGCACCTAGACATACACATACGCACATACACACATGCACATACACGCACACACACACATACACATGTACACACGGGCACACGCACACACACATGCACATACACACACAGTATCAAACTGATGAGGGGCTAATACCTAAACGATACAAAGTATGCCTATTTTTTAAAAATAATCTTTCTACCCTTTTTTTTTTTGAGACAGAGCCTCACTCTGTCACTTAGGCTGGAGTTCAGTGGTGCTATCTTGGCTCACTGCAACCTCTGCCTCCTGGGTTCAAGTGGTTCTTGTGCCTCAGCCTCCTAAGTAGTTGGGATTACAGGCGTGCACCACCACACCCAGCTAATTTTTTTGTATTTTTAGCAGAGATGGGGTTTTGCCATGTTGGCCAGGCTGGTCTGAAACTCCTGGGCTCAAGCGATCCTTCTACCTCAGTCTCCCAAAGTACTGGCATTACAGGCATGAGGCACTGCTCCTGGCCAGTATGCCTATTAAGATGAAAATAAAATCCAAGAAGAAAGGAAAAATGGGTAGGAATAATAATTCTCAGAAGAAGAAACTCGAATAGTTTGAATGCATATAGCAGACAGGGTGTTCTCTCCCGTCCTAAAGATGTCGTGTCCTACTTCCCAGAACCTATACATGTGTTATGCACCATGGCAGTAGGAAATTCAGGTTGTAGATGGAATTAAATTTTCTCTCATCAGTTGATCTTAAAATAAGGGGAGTATCCTGAGTAACACAGGTGGTCCCTTGTGACCACTAAGGTCTTTAAAAGATTGTAGGGAGGGAGAACTAGAGAGGTGGCAACTTGAGAAAGACTAGACCCGGTGGCTGTGGCTGGCTTTGCAGATGGAGAAAGGGGCCATGAGTCAAGAAACGTTGGTAGCTCCCATTAAACCAAAAGTAACTGAGAGAGATTTCAATCAGTTCAGAAAGTTTATTTTGCCAAGGTTAAGGGTGTGCCCATGACACACCCTCAGGAGGTCCTGATGACATCTGCCTAAGCTGGCTGGAGTACAGCTTGGTTTTATGTATTTTAGGGAGACATGACACATCAATCAATACATGTGGGATGTATATTTGTTTGGTCCAGAAAAGCAGGACAACTCAAAGTGGCAGGCAGAGGGGCTTCCAATTGGTTGAAAGAGTTATTATCAGTAGAAAGGAATATCTGGGTTATGATAAGGGTTGTAGAGACCAAGGTTTTATGATGAAGATGAAGCATCCAGGTAGCAGGCTCCAGAGAGAATAGATTGTAAATGTTTCTTATCAGAGTTAGAGAGTCTGTTCTATCAGTGATTCCAAAAGGGAGGAGGGCATGATGAGGCATGTCCAGCTTCCACTTCCCATCATGGCCTGAACCAGTTTTTCAGGTTAACTTTGGAGAGCCCTTGGCTGAGAGGAGGGGTCCGTTCAGATAACCGGGGGGCAGGGAGTGGGGGGTGGGGAGGAAGCATTAGAATTTTATTTTTAGTTGACACTCCTAAAAGCTGGAAATGGCAAGAAAATAGATTGTCCCTGTATAGAGCCACCAGAAGGAATGGGGTCCTACCAATACATCAGTTTTATCCCAGGGAGACTCATTTTGGACTCTGACTTTCAGATCTGGAAGATACTCAATGTGTGTTGTTTTAAACCACTGAACTTGTGAGAGTGCATTGTAGCATCCCTAGAAAACTCATTCAATGAGTACGAGGAGATGCCAAAATCAAAATGTAGTGAGAAATAAAAATGAAGATAATAAGATATCACTTTATACAATTAGAGGAGAGGGAGGAGGAATAAGAAGACAGAGAGAAAGAGGAAAAACATGTTTTGTTGCATTTTTTCAGGCAGTGTTATTATCAAGTCAGTGTTTTTCCTGTTCTATAGGAGTACATGTTAATAAGGCAGCCTGTTATTGAAACATGGTACGGAAAAGGCCAGTTTCAGTCTTGCAAATGGATGAGAGAAAGCCTGGAATATTCCTGGCTGGTTTATCAACCTACTGTCCTCAAATGGGGCACTGAACTATTTGACTAAAATGTTCTCATTTTATCACCCTACAGACCCATGTGACAGTAGCCACAGGAGACTCACACACTCATCATCCTGCTGTTCAAATTTCCCTACAAGACAAATGCCCCTGGGCCCTTTGCACCTTCTGGCCTCTCTGCTTGGAAGCTTCTTTCTCCAAATACTGAATGATTTATTCGAAAACCACCTCCTCAGAATGACTCTTCATCTCCCTTTCCAAAATTACCTTCTCCTTCCTCTTTGCCCTGATTCAGTTTTGGAAACAGTTCCTATGTGAATTGAGTGTTTATTGTACTGTGTCTGACTCTCTGTCTAGAACGTGAACTCAGTGGAAACTTCAATGTTCCTACTCATGGCCCTGTCTAGGGTTAGGGGTAGAGGTAGAGTTAGGGTTAGGGTTAGGGTTAGGATTAGGCATCCTGGAGCCATCAATAGCTATTGAATGAATGAAAGAGCATGGCCAGGTCTACATTAAGCAGTGAGGAGGACAGCAAGAGCCATCAGGCTGTCATAAGAAAAGAGTAGAAGCATACCTATTACCAGTGGAAAATCAGAGTTAGGGGACACTACCTGGGTCTCTCAGATTCTGAGACACCTGCCTACATCGTAAACCTCCTTCCTTGAGTGGTTCTGGACCCCAACTACACAGTGAAGTTACCTGTGATGGCCTTTAAGGTGACTTTGGAAGTCACCTATGAGCATCCAGAAATACCTGAGCCAATGGTTCTGCCTATAGGCATTGAACTTCGTCGATCCTGGGTGTAGTCTGGATTCTGGGTGTGCAAATGTTCCATGGCCAAAGGTCCATGGCCAAATCTACATCCTATATGTCTGTGGTCTTGGGATACTTAGAAGTCTTCTATACCTATTTTTCAAAGAGTTGTTTTAATAGAGAGGCAGCATACCTCCAGCCTTCTCTTTCTCTTTTCCCCACACTATTTCTCAGTAGAAGATTTGATGTCTACTGCCAATTGGAAAACACTCACTTGGCACATTGCACATCCTTTCCCCTATGTAATTCTATATGCGAGACACAATGTTCCTTCTTGTATCCCTTCAACTTCCCCCCTGGTCTTCAAATTGCATCATACATTGTGTGCTGGCACTACCTACCTTTGTTATGGGTCTACACTTTTGTTCTCATGGCGTCTCTTGGGGAATTCCATGAGTTCCTACACTGCTTCTGAGAATGAATGACAGGCATTCCTTAGGGTCAAAAAATATTGGCCATTTTCTTTGGGAGCTAAAAGGAAAATATTGCCCACTCAATCACTTTCTCTTTATTACTTTCCATTTCTATTCTTTATGATACTCTTGGAAAATTAAAATATGGCCAGTTCCAATTATGGCTGAACACATGGCCAAAAAAAGAAGACTTAGCCTCAAAGAAAAGAAAACTGTGGCATTTTTCTCCCCGTAGAGAACTATATTTATGTCATAAATATAAATGGATAGTACAATGACTCTCAAATCCTAAGGGATAGACACCCATGTGTAGACACATGTTTAGTCTAAATCAAGTTTAAAATTGGGTTTGATTTACTCTTCTGAAGAAAATATGACCTTCTTTATAAGAAAGATTGGCAAATTCAGGATCTCCCATTTTCCCTGACCCATGACATCGTCTGCCTCCCACATCCCAAACCAATTTGATGTTCACTACACATTTGTTTCTCTCTTGGGGTCTAGGCATCATCATATCCATTTACAGGTTGTTAGACTCACAAGAAGAACATTTGCACTCCCAGAATTCAGACTACACCCAGTTCCAGTGAAGTCAAATCTATGTAGTTAGAACCATAGGTGCAGGTGTTTTTGGTAGCTCACAGGTGACTTCAAAAGTCACCTTAATGGCCATCACAGGTGGCTTCACTGTGTATCTGGAGCCAAAACCACTCATGGAAGAAGTCTGATATGGTTTGGTTGTGTCCTCACCCAAGTCTTATCTTGAATTCCCAGGTGTTGTGGGAGGGGACCAGTGGGAGGTAATTGAATCATGGGGACAGGTCTTTCTTATGCTGTTCTTGTGATGGTGAATAAGTCTCATGAGATCTGATGGTTTTATAAAGGGGAGTTTCCCTGCACAAGTTCTCTCTTTGCCTGTTGCCATCCATGAAAGACATGACTTGCTCCTCCTTGCTTTCTGCCATGATTCTGAGGCCTCCCCAGCCAAGTGGAACTGCAAGTCTATTAAACCTCTTTCCTTTGTAAATTTCCCAGTCTCAGCCATATCTTTGTCAACAGTGTGAAAACAGACTAATACAATGTCTCACCATGCAGTCAGGTGTCTCAGAATCAGAGAGACCCATGGAGAGCTCCTAACTGATTTTCACTCACAATAGGTGTGCTTCTACTCTTTCCCTATGACAGCTTGATGGCTCTTGCTGACTTCCTCACTGCTTAAGAAGATATTATGTCCCTGTCCAGAAGTTGACCCTATAAACATAGACCTGGCCATGGTCATTCATTCAATAGCTATTGATGGCTCCAGATTGCCTAATCCTAACCCTAACCCTAGACAGGGCCATGAGTGAGAATGTTGAAGCTGCCATGCAGCTCACATTCTAGTGAGAGAGTCATATGCAGTAAAATCAACACCAAAGTCACATAAGAACTGTTTCCAAAAGTGAATCAGAGCAAAAGGAAAGGAGAAGGTGATTATGGAAAGGGGTAGGTGAAAAGCCACTCTGAGGAGGTGGTGTTGAAATAAATCATTCAATATTTCGAGTTGGAAGCTTCCAAGCAGAGGGGCTAGCAGGGGCAAGGAGCCTGGGGTTAAATTTGTCATTCAGGGAAGGTTGAGCAGCAGGATGATGAGTGTGTGAGTCTGTGACTGCAGTCACAAATTATCACCGATGCCACAGCTTAAAACAACACCCATTTATTCTGTTACAGTTTTGAACATCAGAATAAAATAAAGATGTCTGCAGAGCTGTGTTTCTTCTGAGTATTTTAGGAGAAAAACAATTTATTTCTGTTTCTGGCTTTTAGAGGCTGCCTGCATTTCTTGGCTCATGGAATCTTCCTGTATCTTCAGATTACATCATGCCAACCTCTGCTTCCTGCAGCCTGTGTCTTTTCTGTAGCTTTGACTCTTCCACTTCCCTTTTGTAAGGTTCTCTGTGATGATAGCAGACCCACCTGGATAAGGCAGGTGTTCTGAACCTCTCCAAGCTATACCTGATGAGCAGAGATGACAGAGTGGCTTGAAAAATGTTTAGGAATGTCTACAACTGGTTGAATGTAAACCAAGACTGACAAATACCTGTCCAAATCAAACAATGTGCTGATATATTCAGCTCCAATCAGCTGAGGTGTAGGCACCAACACTCATCCCAATCTGGTCTCCCTGGATAGCCACAGTGTGGAGTGCTCCATTTTGAAGGCATATAGTAGAGTGAATGCTGCTATAAGAAACTGTATCCCAGTCAATTCAGACTTCTGCAACAAAATACCTTAGATTGCATGGCTTACAAACAGCAGACATTGATTTCCCATAGTCCTGGGGCTGGGAGTCTAATATCAAGGAATGGCAGATTCAGTTTCTAGTGAAGACTCGCAACCTGGTCTCATCCAGATACTCCTGGCACTGAGTGCTTGAATTTGAAGAAATATAGAAAAGCGAAGGTTGGTGTAAGGAACCGTATTCTAGTCCACTCAGACTTCTTTAGCAAAATACCATAGCCTGGGGGACTCACAAACAGCAGGCATTTACTTTTTTTACTTCTGGAAGCTGGGAGTCCAAGCTCAAGGTGGGGCACATTCAGTGTCTTGTTAGGACCCACTTCCTGGATTAAGATGGAGCCTTCTCGCTGTGTCCTTATATGGTGGAAGGGGCGAGGGAACTCTGAGGTCCTTTTTCTAAGGGCACTGATCCCATTCATCAGGCTCCACCTTATGACCTCAACACCTCCCAAAGCCCCTACCTCCCAACAACATCACCTTTCAGGTGAGGATTTCAGTATATGAGTTTGGGGTGGGACATACACATGCAGACCATAGCAGACTCATAAACTCAACATGCATGAGTGCATATTTATTCTAAACCAAATTAAGAGACAGGAAGCACGATAATTTTTGTGTGTATGCCATTTAAGATTTGAAGGGCTGCTGTGTAGTTGAAATATCACAGACATTCTACAGGGTCCCTAGGGATGTACCTGTGATCCATGAAACTTACCTAAAGGGGGATTTTTGTCTCCCAAAAAGGAAAACCCACACTATATAGCTGGTGGAATGTGGAACAAACCTACACTAAATGAATTGAAATATCATGCCTATTGCTGGAGGCTGGGCAGGCCTTCGCAAGGGTGTTGCAAGTTTAACTTAGTCATCAATTGGGCTATACAACTACATGGCAATTATATAACCAGACAGGAAACTGCAGCCATTGAATTTTATTTCTTTTGAAAACATACTGATATCTGTTACCTTAATTATTCTTAAAAATGAGTTAAGCTCATTAGCTATTGTTTCCTGCTTTTTATAGCCTTCCTAATGAATAAGGTGGATGCAACTTCAGATCTTCTGACCTATTGTGGATCTGTTCATTCTCCTTCTATCAAGGTTACACTCTATTATTGCTACTGTATCTTTGTTTGCAATTAATTTGGCCACCCAGCTTATATGCTTGGACTATTGTTTCCATGTGTGGACAATATGCAAAGTGTATCTGTCTTCCTGCAAAACAACAAAAAAAATGATATCATTTTCCAAGTGTCTCATAGGTGTTCACAGCCAGCGGCAATGTTTCTGTAGGAACATCTTACTTGCATTTTATTCCCTTAACAATCATGATATGTTTAGTCTCTCTAGCAAGCTGCTACATAACAGCAACAGGCTGTGAGTCACTTAGGAATATAGGGGATTCTGCTAAGTAAACAAAATCAGCTCCTTTTTGTTACTTCTTCATAACAGGTATGGAAACTGTGGGTGGTTCATTTAGAACAAAGGTCTCATATTTAAAGATTTGAATTCAAGGGCACTAGTGCTTTTTCCTAGGACAGACACAAGGTAGGAGATAAAATTATTTTATTTTATTTATTTTATTTTGAGACAGGGTGTTGCTCTATTGCCCAGGCTGGAATGCAGTTGTCTGATCCACCTCCTGAGCTCAAGTGATCCTCCCACCTTAGCCTCCCGAGTAGCTGGAACTACAGGTGCGCACTACAACACCAGCTAATTTTTTTGTATTTTTTGTAGAGACAGGAGTCTCATCATGTTGCCCACCTGGTCTTGAAATCCTGGGCTCAAGTGCTCCTCCTGCCTTGGCCTCCCCAAGTGTTGGGATCACAGGCGTGAGCCACCGCGCCCAACCTGAAAAGCTCTCATATTTTAAGACTCTAATTCATGTGTATTTACTGCTTTTTTCTAGGACAAACAGAGAGTAGGAGGTCAAATTATGTTGTTCAATTCAGGTATTTTTAAAATGTATCCACTTACATAGTCTAACTTGCAGTAAGCATCTTAATAAACCATTTTAATGAAAGGATGGTGGAAGGTAAAGTCCCTAAACTGGAGCTGATGATCATGAGATATACGTTGTGATAATTGTGGTGATACAATTAGACGGGGAATACATAACCCAATTGGAGCCAGTCAGGGCAGGGGGTTGGGGTAGCTCCCTGCAGGCAAGACTCCAGGTAATGGCTAGATGTGAGAGACCAGGATCCCACTGGCTAGGAGAAAGCAGCAGGAGCCAGAGGATGCGGGGAACACAACAGGTATTCTGTGTCTTCTCCCCACCTTCCCCACTAAAAAAATTCCATGTCCACTCGAAACTTTGAAATAGGACCTTATTTGGAAATTCAGTCTTTGTAAATGTAATTAGTATGGGATGTCAAGATGAAGTCATGCTGGATTCAGGACCCTAAATGCAATGACAGGTGTACTTGTAAGAGACAGAAGCGGAGACACAGACACAGAGGAGAAGGCCACCTGGAAACAGAGGCAGAGACTGGAGTGATGCAGCCACAAGCCTAGGGACACCTGGAAACCCCAGGACCTGGGAGAGGCAGGAAGGATCCTCCCCTAGAGCCTCCAGAGGGAACTAAGAACACCTGTAGTGGCTTAAACTGTGCCACAAGCCCAGGGGTTCCTGGAGCCTCTAAGATCTGGAAGAGGCAGGACGGATGCTCTTCCTAGAGCCTCCAGAAGGAACTGAGTACAACTGTAGTCGATTGAACCATAGTCTCCCAAAAAGATATGTCCACATCCTGACCCCAGAACATGTGAATGGGACCTTATTTGGAAACACGGCATTTGGAGATAGAACCAAGTCAAGAATCTCAAGGTGAGATCATCCTGGAATAGGTTGGGCCCTAAATGCAATGTCAGGTGTCCTTCTATGAGACATAAGAAGAGACACAGATACAGAGGAGAGGTTCACAGGGATATTTAGGCAGGGACTGCAATGATTCACCTAAGGTCCAGGAATGCCAAGGATTGCTGCTGGCTACTGGAAGCTAGGGAGAGGCCAACAAGAGAACTAGGAGATCAAAAATAACTTACTTTTACATTTAAAAATAACTAAAAGAGTATAATTGGATTATTGGCAACACAAAGGGTAAATGCTTGAGGGGCTGGATACCCCATTCTCTGTGATGTGATTGTTATGTATTGCATGCCTGTATCAAAACATTACAGATATCCCATAAACATATACACCTCCTATGTACCCACAAAAATTATCAATAACAAATTCTGAAAAAAACAGAACTGGGAGTTAATACATTTATGTTGCTTTCAGCCACCCAGTAGGAGGTAATTTTTTCTAATTTTTTTTTAATTGTCATTTTTGGACAGGCACGGTGACTCACGCCTGTAATCCCAGCACTCTGGGAGGTGGAGGCAGGCAAATAACCTGAGGTCAGGAGTTCATGACCATCCTGGCCAAGATGGTGAAACTTCCTCTCTACTAAAAACACAAAAATTAGACAGGCATGGTGGCACATACCTGTAATCTCTGCTACTTGAGAGGCTGAGGGATGAGAATCATTTGTACCCAGGAGGTGGAGATTGAGTGAGCCGAGATCAAGCCACTGCAACCCAGCCTGGGTGACAGAGTAAGTGTCTCAAAAAAAAAATGTCATTTTATAGCTCTCCACTGCAGCTGTCCCCCACCCTTCCCTTTGATGATCACTTTTGCAGGCTTCAGCGGTACCAGGGAAAAAGTTGGGGCCTGGCAGCCCCACTATACTGCCAGCCAGGGAGAACAAGTCACAATTACGAATTATCACAATAATTAGTGTCTGTTCTTGGGGTATCTGCAAAGTGTGCAAAGTGAGGAGGCCCCAGCTCCCCCTCACGTAGGTGCCCATTTGGCAGGGAGCTTGCTTTAGAGACAATGATATTCCTTCAGCCTGATGGAATTGATGTTGATGAACCTGGTGGCATTAATTGGCTCCTAATCGCCCTGCACATTCATGCTCACCAGCTCCTCATTTTAGAGAGACAGTGGGGACTCCTGTCTGAGTATGTCCACCTGGCTCTTGAAGACAGGCACCTGCACTTTCCCTTCCACTCACTCCTGGGACTTGGTGATGCAGTGGTGGACAAATTCACATTCAGGGCTGTGCCAGAAACTGGTGTACACCAGCTCAGCAAATTTCACGCCCAGGCCTTGTTTGATTTTGCACTCTTCCTGATTCATGGTGAAGGCCTCGATGTGTAAATGAGCATAGTAAAGGATGATGCCAGCTAGGGTCTTGTAGATGCCTCAGGACTTCATTGCAATGAAATGGTTCTCCACGATGTCAATATGGCCCAGGCCATGCTTGCTCGCAGCTTCGTTCAGGTACACGCAGAGCTCCTAGGAGGTCTGGTGGGTGGCGCCATCCTTGACGTTGGTCACCTTCACGGGGACCTCTTTTTTGAACTCAATCTAGAGAATGTCAGGGGTGTTGGGGGCTTTGGTCAGGTCCTTAGTCTTTGTGTAGAGACCTGGAGGTGCTTATGGTACTTGTGTTTCTCCAGGATTCCAGCCTCATAGCTGATACACATGAGGTTCTCGTCCATGATCCACGGGTTCTTGAGAGTGACTGGGATGGGAATCCGATGTTGCTTTGTGTATTCCATCAGATCATTGCAGCCATTGAGCCAGTAGTAGAACTCGGGCATCCTCCAGGGAGCAATGACCTTAATCTGGGGGCCAGTGAGCAGGTGAGCTCAAACTGGACCTGATCGTTCTCCTTTCCCATGATGCCATAGGATACGTACTTGGCCCCCTCCTGCTGGGTAATTTCCACTTGTTTGTGGGCGATGCAGAGCCTAGCCAGAGAGGTGCCCAGGAGGTAGTAGTCCTCATACAGGGCGCTGGACTGGATGGCCGGCCAGATGAACTCCTCCACAAACTCCCTGCTGACTTCCTCAATGAACACCTTTTTGGCCCCAAGCTTGCATGCCTTCTTCCTGTCTTTCTCGAAGTCTTCCTTCTGGCCAATGTTGGCCAGGTAGGCAATGACAACATGTCCTTGTTCCTTCAGCCACACAAGCATGCAGGAGGTGTCCAGGCCACCACTGTGGGCCAGAACCATGGATCCTTTGCTGGACATAGCATCTGGGATTGGAGGTGCGAGTTCCCTGCATCTGAAATCTGTCTTCACGGTGCAGTAAACCACTTGCGCCCCGTGCAACAGAAGCAGGTGACAGAGCAAGAGGAGGTAATTTTTTTACAGCAGCTATACCAAACTAATACTGTTCAGTTTAGCAGCAACACCAAAATCAATGAGGAATATCAGGATGGTTAGCACACTGACCAGGAGTTTGGGTCAGCACTGACTCCAGGCCCATGAGCCATGCTCAGACACTGTGTGGAGAGTGTTGTGGTGTACACTGAAGGAGTTTTGAACTCTCCTTTGGAGCACCAGCCTTGGTGTGGCTGTCAGATGTGCTTGGATTCAGTGCCTATCAGCTGAGGAGCTGAGCCTATTGAGAATTCTGTGTGTCAAAATTGGTCAGCATTTGAGGCAGTTCTGGGCTATCAGGGGGAGACAAGATTCCATGGCAGACACGAGCCAGAGTCGAAGAGAGAAAGTCATAGGAGGCAAGATAATGGCCTCTGAAAGAGGGCCACATCCCAATCTCCTATGAATATGGTACCCTGCAATGGAGAAAGGGAATACAGGTTGCAGATAGAATTAAGGTGGTTAACTCACTCGACCTTAAAACTGGGAGATTGTTTTTGATTATTCAGGCTGGGCCCAATCTAATTGCAAGAAGTCAGGCTGGATTCAGGACCCTAAATGCAATGACAGGTGTACTTGTAAGAGACAGAAAAGGACACACAGACACAGAGGAGAAGGCCACTTGGAGACAGAGGCAGAGACTGGAATGATGTGGCCACAAGCCTAGAGATACCTGGAGCCCCCAGGACCTGGGAGAGGCAGGAAGTGTCCTCCCCTAGAGCCTCCAGAGGGAACTAAGTACACCTGTAGTAGTTTAAACTGTCCTTAGAGTCCTTAAAAGTAGAGAAAATTCAAGGCCAGCCTGGGCATCATAGCAAGACATTGTCTCTACTGAAAAGAAAAAAAAGAAAAAAAAAGAAGCCAGATATGGAGGCGCACACCTGTAATATCAGCTATTCTTGATCCCAGGAGTTGAAGGCTGTAGTGAGCTATGACCATGGTGCTGCACTCCAGCCTGGATGATAGAGCAGGACTCTATCTCAAAAAATTTAAAAAGCTGGGAGCAGTGGCTTATGCCTGTAATCCCAGCACTTTGAGAGGCTGAGGCAGGAGGATCGCTTGATCCCAGGAAGCTGAAGCTGTAAGGACACCACTGCACTCCAGCCTGGGCTACAGAGTAAGACCCTGTCTCAAAAAAATAAAAAACAGCAGAAGAATCAGAGATAAGTACGGTTGTCTCTGGAAGCTGGAAATGAAGTTTCCTGTTTATAATCAGCTGGAAAGGGAGACCTCAATTCTACAACCACAGGAAACAATTCTGTCACCATCCCTGAAAAGCAAGGAAATGAATTCTTCCTAACATCTTCTCTATTAAAATGCAGCCCTACTGATACCCTTTTTTTTCACTTTTGTAATTATCACTTTAATTAGTAACTTAATATAAAAACCAGGAAAAAAATCTACATTTGTATCAGACCAAAGATCAGGTTTAAAAAATGAATACACCATACTTCTGTTCAAAATAGATTCCAGAAGGAAATTCACAAGTATTTTTCTCTCTTGGCGAAGGTGTTTACTTTTTAAAATAATGTGAACTTGTACTTGTGATTAAGGGGTACATGTGCAGGTTTATTACATTGTTACGTTGCGTGACGCTGAGCCTACCAACATCTTGATTTTAGCCCAATGAAGCTCTTGTTGAACTTCTCACCTCCAGAATTACTGAACTGTAGAAGTGTAAGAAAATAAATTTGCATCGTTTAAGCAACTAAGTTTATAACAATTTGTGACAACAGCCATAGAAAATTAATAAGCTGGCAAATGGGTGAGGGCCTGTGAACTCTGTATCTTCCCAGGAGGGAGCCATTTATCCAGTAATAATGCACTGTACATCAGGAATTACTGGGCCACAACGTGAGTCATTTCTAGTGGTAGGAATTGACTGCCGATCCCCCCCTGCTGTACCTTGGTCTTCTCACCTGTGAGCCATTGGGCACCCTTGTGCGTAACTAGGAAGGTTAACAGAAGAGCCAGTGTCCCTGAACTACTCTTTCTCAAGGTGAAATTGACCTGTCATGGGCCCCGTCAGGGTTATCACTCAAAAAAGCCAATGAGCCAGTGTAAACAGGAGATTCCTTCAAATCAGAGTATCCTCTGGGAGATGCACGATCCATATTCTACTTGCTTCAGAAACAACTCGGGTGTTCGCCAAAAATGCGCAGCCCCAGGTCAAACGCTCGGATTAGCTCAATGAAGGTTTCTGGAATGGGGCCTCCACTGTCTCATTTTCTGGTTCTCCGATGGGTCCTTCCTGGTGTCACCTCCCCATAAACACCTTACCCTCAAATCCTAGTCTCTGCTTGTGCTTCTAGGGGGAACTCAGTTCCCTACATTTAATTCTGCTTAAACCCCTACCCCAATAACCCCACCATAACCTTACCAATAACTCTTTCAAGTGATCCATGTAGGTCGTATGAGACATAGACAGATAAACTAAGTGTAAGAAATCTTTGAATAAACAGATCAAACATTTAGATTTTAACTCAAGTTTATTTATGTTTTTTTCCAGTTGAAAAAGAAAGAAAACTTATAAAGAATAACGAACTCCCTAAAGGCAAAGGGAAAATGTTTGTATACTTATCTAATTCATATTGAAATCTGCATAAGATATTCATACATATTTAACTGCATAACTTAAATTTATACATGTTTTAATGAATATCAATTTATTGTATTGTAATACATAAATATTTTATAACATACATTATATTGATGACACATTTAAATGTATTGATATATTATAAAATATAAATACATAATTTATATAAACAAATTTTAATTAGATGTTATAAGTTAATTAGATAACTTGATTAGGTAAACATTAGATATTTTAAAATGAATGTATCATATATAATATACAAATATATAAATATAATATATAATATATAAATGTATTATAAATATATAATGGAATGAATATATCATTATAACAAATATTACATAATATAGAAAGATATTTATATTATGATGTCTGTTATATATTCATATGTAACTTTTTTTTTTTTTTTCAGATGGAGTCTCACTGCATTGCCCAGGCTGGAGTGCAATTGCGAGATCTCGGCTTCACTGCAACCTCTGCCTTCTGAGTTAAGTGATTCTCCTGCCTCAGCCACCCAAGTAGCTGGGATTACAAGGGTGCACCACGCCCAGCTAATTTTTGTATTTTTAGTAGAGATAGGGTTTCACTATGTTGGCCAGGATGGTTTCAATCTCCTGACCTTGTGATCTGCCTGCCTTCACCTCCCAAAGTGCTGGGATTACAGGCATAAGCCACCACGTGCAACTTATGTGCCATATTATATATAATAGAATATAGTGTGTATTTTATTAATATGATATAATTTTATAATATATCTTATATACCCATATAATGTATAATATATCTTATACACCCAATAATTTATGAAATATACTTACAGACCCATATATTTATATACTATATACTATTTGCATTATTAACCATAAATATTATAATTACATTAAATCATTTGTAATACCATTATTAACAAATATACACAAGATAAAATTGCTTTAATAAGTTTTAAAGAAACCAATGATACAACACGATGTGCCTGGAAATCAAGAAATCTCTTATAGTTGTTATAAGATGTTGAAAATGAGGGCCAGGCATGGTGGCTCATGCCCGTAATTCCAGCATTTTATGAGGCCGAGGCAGGAGGATCGCTCGAGCCCAGGAGTTTGAGACCAGCCTGGGCAACATAATGAAATCTTGTCTCCATAAAAAATATGAATGTTAGCTGGGCATGATGGTGCATACCTGTAGTCCCAGCTACTCAGGAGGCTGAGGCAGAAGGATTACCTAGGCCAGGAGGTCGAGGCTACAGTGAGCCATAATAGTACCACTGCACTCCAGCCTGAGTGACAGATTGAGACCCTGTCTAAAAAAACAAACAAAACAAAACAACAACAAAGAAAAAGATGTTCACTTTCCTTTAAGGTTTCCATATTGCTTAATTAGGAGATATTTACAAAAGAATCTATTATCTTTATTTCAGGAAATAAATTGACAGAAAGGTTTTTTCCTGGAAAAAGCTGTTAGAAAAATCTTTAAAAATTAAAGTAAGATATTCTGTGTTAAAATTAGGTTTTAGTAAGCTGGAGAAGCACATTCCTAAAACTACACAGGCAAGCATGTTACCAATGTGATATGGTTTGGCTGTGTCCCCACCCAAATCTCATCTTGAATTGTACTCTTTGTAATTCCCATGTTGTGGGAGGGACCCAGTGGGAGATAATTTGAATCATGGGGGCAGTTTCCCCCATACTGTTCTCATGGTAGTGGGTGGGTCTCATGAAATCTGATGGTTTTATGAGGGTTTCTCTTTTGCATCTTCCTCATTTTTTGTTGCTGCCACCATGTAAGAAGTGCTTTTTGCCTCCTGCCATCATACTGAGGCCTCCCCAGCCATGTGGAACTGTAAGCGCAATGAAACCTCTTTTTCTTCCCAGTCTTGGGTATGTCTTTATCAGCAGCATGAAATGAACTAAGACACAATGCAGTAAGAGTTTGCACTGAAATAGCATTCAGACTGATGAGGGCAGGTGTGCTAATTGAATGCCCCCTGTGTCATCCTTTCTCCCAACACTTGGCAGACATCAGTGATTTCTCTAAGTGGTTTTCTCTGCTCAGCCCACACACATCCCCAGACCGGTTCTCTATTTGCACTTCAGGCAGGTTGGTACAAACCTATTAAAAGCAGACAGGCAAGACAGCACACACTGTTCCCTGCTGAGATGTGGAATCCAGCAAGTGGGATTAACACAATTTAGGCCCTTGTGGAGTTCGGGCTATATCAATACACTCAATATTTTTGGATTTATTAACTAGACAAATGATGAAATCAATAAATGAATTTTTTTATTGCTTGACTTTTTAAATGATGACTTTTAGAAGCAGTGTAATTGGTTTTTTAAAAAATGTATGTTAATTTATGGGGTACACATGTGATTATGTAACCTAGACAGATTGCGCAGTGGTGAAGTCTTGGCTTCTGTATCCATCACTGGCATAATGCATTTGTGCCCATTAAGTAACTTGTTATCCCTCAGCACCCTCCTACCCTTCCCAGTCAGCAATGTCTATGATTCCGCACTTTACTCCTATGTGGTAACATTATTTAGCTCCTACTTATAAATAAGAACATGCACTATTTGTCTTTTTGTTTCTGAGTTGTTTTACTTAAGAAAATAACCACCACTTCCTTCCATGTTGCTGCAAAAGATATGGTTGCATTCCTTTTTGTGGTTGAATAGTGTTCCACTGTGTACATATACCACATTTTCTTTATCCCATCATCCATTGATGGACACTTAGGTTGATTCCATATCTTTGCTATTGTAAATAGGGCTTCCAGTACAGGAGTCTTTTCTTTTCATTTTTAGTTGGAGTCTCACTCTGTCTCCTAGCCTGCAGTGCGGAGGCACCATCTTGACTCACTGCAACCTCTGCCTCCTGGGTTCAAATGATTCTCTTGCCTCGGTCTCCAGAGTAGTTGGGGCTACAGGAATGTGCCACCACCACTGGCTAATTTTTGTATTTTTACTAGATACAGGGTTTCACCATGTTAGCCAGGCTGGTCTCAAGCTCCTGACCTGTTGTGATTCACCTGCCTCAGTCTTTCAAAGTGCTGGGATTATAGGCATAAGCCACCATGCCAGGCCAGTGCACATATCTTTTTGATGTAATAATTTCTTTTCCTTTGGGTAGATATCCAGTAGTGGGTTGCTGGATGGAATGATAGTTCTATTTTTGGTTCTTTGAGAATTCTCCACACTCTTTTTCATCAGATTGTACTAATCTACATTCCCAAGAACAATGTATAAGTGTTCCCTTTTCTCTGCATCCTCACCAACATCTGTTGTTTTTTCAATAATAGCCATTCTGACTGGAGTAGGATGAAATCTCATGATATGTAATATCTATCTTGCTAAAACGTGTTTAAATGTACTTTGCTGTGGGGTTCACTTTACCATGAAACAAAATCACAGCCCATCATGTCTTCTAGTGGCAATCAAAGTGCTCACATGAGGCCATGCAGGATGGCTCATGCCTGTAATCCCAGAAATTTGGGAGGCTGAAGCAGGTGGATCACTTAAGGTTAGGAGTTCAAGACTAGCCTGGCCAACATGGCAATACCCCATCTTTACTAAAAATACAAAAATTAGCCAGATGTGGTGGTGCATGCCTGTAATCCCAACTATTCTGGAGGCTGAGGCAGAAGAATCACTTGAACCCGGAAGGTGGAGGTTGCGGTGAGCCCAGATCAAGCCACTGCACTCCAGCCTGGGCAGCAGAGCAAGACTGTCTTAAAAATAAACCAACAAAAAGTGCTTACATGTTAAGATCTACCATAAAATTTGGTATGCACATAGAGGTTCAGATAGGTCTAGGCTGAGTGTACCCCATGAATCTACGTAAAAATCAGTCATCTACTTTTTCATTTACAGGACTGTTCATATGGAAGGGGGGCAGGGAAGTGCTGGGTAGAGGAGGGTGTGGTCCCTGGCTAGGGCTCCACCTGTGGGCCTGTGCCCATGGACCTAAGTGAGTACAGGCACTCCTGTTTTCCTGCCCACATGTTGCATTTTCCAAGACCTTTCTGGCCTGCTCTGCCTCCAATCTGTGCTTATAAAAACCTCGAGACTGTAGCAGGCAGACACACAATTACCTGGACATTGAGAGGAACACATAAGTGGAGACGACACAAGCAGCCGGACCTCGAGGGGAGCATGCCAGTGGAAGAGTGCACTGGCAGACACTGGCAGGCTGGCGGGCCATTGACTGGCAGAATGGCATGGAGTTCGGCAGGAGAGGTCAGAGGAAAAAAGCCTGGGCTGCTGAGCAGCCAGCAACTCCAGGGGAAAACCATCTCCCTCTGCCTCCCCTATCTGCTGAGAGCTACCTCCACTCAATAAAACCTTGTACTCATTCTCCAAGCCCATGTGTGATCTGATTCTTCTGGTACACAAAGACAAGAAACTGGGGATACAGAAAGCCCTCCATCTTTGTGATAAGGCAGGGGGTCTAATTGAGCTGAGTAACACAAGCCGCTTATGGATGGCTAAACTAAAAGAGCACTCTGTAACACACGCCCACTGGGGCTTCAGGAGCTATAAACATTCACCCCTAGATGCTGCCGAGGGGTCGGAGCCCCACAACCTCCCGGTCTGCCTGCACCTCTGAGGGGTTTGCGCAGTGGGGCACTGAAGGAGTGAGCCACACTTCCATCGCATGCCCTGTGAGGGAGATGAGGGAACTTTTCCCATTTCACTGTGGCTGAGATAGTCAGATACCTACGTGACACTCATTTTCCCTTACTTCTTTACTGAGTGTAACAGGCTGCATACAGGTGCTCAGAGATGTCCACATCCTAATCCCTGGAGCCCATCAATATGTTATTTCATGTGGAAAAAAATGGCTTTGCAGATGTGTTAGGTTGGTGCAAAAATAATGGCAAAAACCGCGATTATTTTGGCACCAACCTAATATTAACGGCAAAAACCGCAATTACTTTTGCAGCAACCTTATAATTAAGTTAAGCATCCTGAGATGGGGAGATGAGCCTGGGTTGTCCAGGTGCACCCTGATGTAATCACAGGGTCCGTAGAAGAGGGAAGGAGGAGGGTCAGAAAGAGAAAGATTGGAGGACACTAGGCAGCTGGCTTTGAACATACAGAAAGGGACCACAGATTTCACTCAAGAGCCTCCAGAAGGAACACAGTTCTGCCAGCACCTAATTTTAGACTTCTGAGCTCCAGAACTATAAGATAATACACTTATGTTCTTATAATCTACTAAATTTATGGTAACTGGTTACAGTAGCTCTAGGGGAAAAACACTCACATACCCACACACTATGCAATATGCCCAACAGAAAAATCTATTCTTTTCTGAACACTCTTCAAATTGACGTTTTGTAAGTTCAGTGATGCTAGGAGCTCCTGGAGGGGGTCTTGTTTTGTTTGCTTTTCTTCCTTCCTCCTGTTCTCCTGATTTATGTCCGGAATACAGATGGGGTGGCTGAAGAGTCAGCAGTTTGTTTTTGTTTTTGTTTTTGTTTTGGAGACAGAATCTAGGTCTGTCCAGGCTGGAGTGCAACGGCACAATCTCAGGTCACTGCAACGTCCTCCTCCCAGGTTTAAGTGATTCTCCTGCCTCAGCCTCCTGAGTAGCTGGGATTACAGGTGTGAGCCACCATGTCTGGCTAATTTTTGTATTTTCAGTAGAGATGGAATTTTGCCATGTTGGCCAGGCTAGTCTCGAAATCCTGACCTCAAGTGATCCACCTGCGTTGTCCTCCTGAAGTGCTGGGATGACAGGCATGAGCCACCATGCCTGGCCAGCAGCTTTTGTTAAATGTGGGAGTCCACGTGCTAAAGGAAGAAGGTGCTGGCATCCCAGAACTCTAGCCCTTGGTTTTCCATCTCCAGAATTCTTATATGTGAGGGAGAAACAAATGGTGCTCTTGTTAAGACACTATTTCTGCCAAACAAACATAGTATTTAAATTGTACAAGCACTTTCAAGTCAAGTTTTTTATTTTTCTTAACACCCTGCCCCTTAGGAAACAGGAGAATGTATGGACTTTGAAGGATTGACTAAAAGAAAGAACTGGAAATCACCATTTTTCTACACATCTCCAATATGTCACTCATCAATTAAGTCCCAAGAATTATATAAAGCCTGCATGATGAGAATGAAACAAATATTTTTGTTCTTTGATTACCCACACTGCAGCACAAACAACAATAACAAAAACCAGACATACGTACATGCAAAAAGTTTATATAGTGTTTTAGGAAAATCTTACACACTTGCCAAGAGAAAAAAAATAAATGAAAGGATTACAATAAAGTCACTTTTTAAAGAATTTAGACTGTATTTTATTACAACTGCATTTTATTCTATGGAAGAAAAAAATGATCAAACATGATTCTAAGCTAACCTTTGAAGAAGCCTATATTTTTAGGAAATTAATAAAAAAGAAGATAAATTTAAAATTAAATGAAAATAAATAATAAACTTAAACAATGAAGATAAATTTAAAACAATGAGATAAATTTAAACTTATTCTCAATTATAGGTAGGTGGATACAAAGATAGATAGAAAATAGATAGAAAGATAGACAATAGAGATGATAGATGATGGATAGACCAGCAGTCCTCAACTTTTTTGGCATGAGGAATCAGTTTCATGGAAGACAATTTTTCCATGGACTTGGTGGGGAGATGGTTTTAGGATGATTCAAGGGCATTGCATTTATTGTATACTTTATTTCTATTACAATTACATTATAATATATAATGAAATAATTATACAACTCACCATTATGTAGAATCAGTGCAGCCCTGAGCTTGTTTTCTTGCAACTAGATGGTCCCACTAGGGGTGATGGGAGACTGTGACAGATCATCAAGCATTAGATTCTCATAAGGAGCACGCAGCAAACTCTAGATCCCTCACATGCACAGTTCACAATAGGTTTCTTGCTCCTTTGAGAATCTAATGTGGCCACTAATTTGACAGGAGTTGGAGCTCAAGCAGTAATGCAAGCGCTGGGGAGCAGTTGTCAATACAGATGAAGCTTCACTCTCTCACCTACTGCTCACTTCCTACTGCTTTCAGATGTGCCAGTTCCTAACAGGTCACTGACTGGTACCACTCCAGGCCTGGGGGTTGGGAACCGTGGGATAGAAGATAAACAATCAATAGGTGATAAATTAGACAACTGATAGAGGTTAGGTACATAGATATACATACACAATTTATAGACTGATAGAAATATAGATGGATAGATAGAGGATGGATAGATAAGTTTACCCATTAAGAAAAAAATAGAGTATGCTGAAAGTTCGTAAATAAGAAGTCTGTGCTTGCCGTGCAAGTATTGTCCATATAAGGTCTCTGTCATAACACCCCTGGAGAAACATGGGAAGAGTGGTTTCACGGTGGCTTTCAGATGTTCTGCACGTCATATTCATGGGTGCTCATTTCATGATATGCAGATTCTGTTCTTATTTCACTAGACCGAAAATGAATGTTAACATCTTTGGCTTTTTTCTAAAAAGTATTACAGGCTGGGCATGGTGGCTCACATCTGTAATTCCAGCACTTTGGGAGGCTGAGGCAGGAGGATCACTTGAGGTCTTGAGTTTGAGACCAGCCTGGCCAACATGGTGAAACCCCATCTCTAGTAACATACAAAAAATTAGCCGGACATGGTGGTGTGCACCTATAGTCCCAGCTACTTAGGAGGCTGAGGCAGGAGAATTGCTTAACCCTGGGAGGTGGAGGTTGCAGTGAGCCCAGATGGCACCACTGCACTCCAGCCTGGGTGACAGAGACTCCATCTCAAGAAAAAAAAAATATTACATATAATTTTACCTACCCATCCAAGGATCAAGGAATAAACAAAATATGTTCAATATGTTCAATTCATACAGTCTAATATAATTCATTTATGAAATGGAATGAAGGTCTAATACAGGCTATTATATGTACGAATCTTGAAAACACCATGCTTAGTGAATGAAGCCAGTGTATCATTATGTTTATATTAAATTTCAAGAATAGCTAAATCTATGGACAGAAAACAGAAAATAACTGGTTTCCAGGGACGAGGATGAGGAGAAAAGGAAAGGAGAGGAGACGAGGAGAAAAGAAGAATGGAAAGTAACGCACTCCTCAGCAAATGTAAAAGAACAGAAATAATAACAAACTGTCTCTCAGACCACAGTGCAGTCAAACTAGAACTCAGGACTAAGAAACTCACCCAAAACCGCTCAAATACATGGAAACTGAACAACCCGCTGCTGAATGACTACGGGGTACATAACGAAATGAAGGCAGAAATAAAGATGTTCTTTGAAACCAACGAGAACAAAGACACAACATACCAGAATCTCTGGGACATATTCAAAGCAGTGTGTAGAGGGAAATTTATAGCACTAAATGCCCACAAGAGAAAGCAGGAAAGATCCAAAATCAACACCATAATGTTACAATTAAAAGAACTAGAAAAGCAAGAGCAAGCACATTCAAAAGCTAGTAGAAGGCAAGAAATAACTAACATCAGAGCAGAACTGAAGGAGATAGAGACACAAAAAACCCTTCAAAAAATTAATGAATCCAGGATCTGGTTTTTTGAAAAGATCAACAAAATCGATAGACCACTAGCAAGACTAATAAAAAAGAAAAGAGAGAAAAATCAAATAGATGCAATAAAAAATGATAAAGGGGATATCACCACCGATCCCACAGAAATACAAACTACCGCCAGAGAATACTACAAACACCTCTACACAAATAAACTAGAAAATCTAGAAGAAATGGATACTTTCCTGGTCACATACACCCTCCCAAGACTAAACCAGGAAGAAGATGAATCTCTGAATAGATCAATAACTGGCTCTGAAATTGTGGCAATAATCAATAGCTTACCAACCAAAAAAAGTCCAGGACCAGATGGATTCACAGCCAAATGCTACCAGAAGTACAAGGAGGGGCTGGTACCATTCTTTCTGAAACTATTCCAATCAATAGAAAAACAGGGAATCGGCCGGGCGCGGTGGCTCACGCCTGTAATCCCAGCACTTTGGGAGGCCGAGGCGGGCAGATCACGAGGTCAGGAGATCGAGACCATCCCGGCTAAAACGGTGAAACCCCGTCTCTACTAAAAATACAAAAAATTAGCCGGGCGTAGTGGCGGGCGCCTGTAGTCCCAGCTACTTGGGAGGCTGAGGCAGGAGAATGGCGTGAACCCGGGAGGCGGAGCTTGCAGTAAGCCGAGATCCCGCCACTGCACTCCAGCCTGGGCGACAGAGCGAGACTCCGTCTCAAAAAAAAAAAAAAAAAAAAAAAAAAAAAAAAAAAAAAAAAAAAAAAAAAAAACAGGGAATCCTCCCTAACTCTTTTTATGAGGCCAGCATCATCCTGATACCAAAGCCTGGCAGAAACACAACCAAAAAAGAGAATTTTAGACCAATATCCTTGATGAACATTGATGCAAAAATCCTCATTAAAATACTGGCAAACAGAATCCAGCAGCACATCAAAAAGCTTATCCACCATGATCAAGTGGGCTTCATCCCTGGGATGCAAGGCTGGTTCAATGTGCATAAATCAATAAATGTAATCCAGCATATAAACAGAACCAAAGAAAAAACCACATGATTATCTCAATAGATGCAGAAAAGGCCTTTGACAAAATTCAACAGCCCTTCATGCTAAAAACTCTCAATAAATTAGGTATTGATGGGACGTATCTCAAAATAATAGGAACTATCTAAGACAAACCTAGAGCCAATATCATACTGAATGGGCAAAAACTGGAAGGTTTCCTTTTGAAAACTGGCACAAGATAGGGATGCCCTCTCTCACCACTCCTATTCAACATAGTGTTGGAAGTTCTGGCCAGGGCAATTAGGCAGGAGAAGGAAATAAAGGGTATTCAATTAGGAAAAGAGGAAGTCAAATTGTCCGTGTTTGCAGATGACATGATTGTATATCTAGAAAAACCTATCGTCTCAGCCCAAAATCTCCTTAAGCTGATAAGCAACTTCAGCAAAGTCTCAGGATACAAAATCAATGTACAAAAATCACAAGCATTCTTTTACACCAATAACAGACAGAGAGCCAAATCATGAGTGAACTCCCATTTACAATTGCTTCAAAGAGAATAAAATACCTAAGAATCCAACTTACAAGGGATGTGAAGGACCTCTTCAAGGATAACTACAAACCACTGCTCAATGAAATAAAAGAGGATATAAACAAATTGAAGAACATTCCATGCTCATGGGTAGGAAGAATCAACGTCGTGAAAATGGCCATACTGCCCAAGGTAATTTATAGATTCAATGCCATTCCCATCAAGCTACCAATGACTTTCTTCACAGAATTGGAAAAAACTACTTTAAAGTTCATATGGAACCAAAAAAGAGCCTGCATTGCCAAGTCAATCCTAAGCCAAAAGAACAAAGCTGGAGGCATCATGCTACCTGACTTCAAACTATACTACAAGGCTACAGTAACCAAAACAGCATGGTACTGGTACAAAAACAGAGATATAGATCAATGGAACAGAGCAAAGCCCTCAGAAATAATGCCTCATATCTACAGCTATCTGATCTTTGACAAACCTGACAAAAACAAGCAATGGGGAAAGGATTCCCTATTTAATAAATGGTGCTGGGAAAACTGGCTGGCCATATGTAGAAAGCTGAAACTGGATCTCTTCCTTACACCTTATACAAAAATTAATTCAAGATGGATTAAAGACTTACATGTTAGACCTAAAACCATAAAAACCCTAGAAGAAAACCTAGGCAATACCATTGAGGACATAGGCATGGGCAAGGACTTCATGTCTAAAACACCAAAAGCAATGGCAACAAAAGCCAAAATTGACAAATAGGATCTAATTAAACTAAAGAGCTTCTGCACAGCAAAAGAAATTACCATCAGAGTGAACAGGCAACCTACAAAATGGAGAAAATTTTTGCAATCTACTCATCTGACAAAGGGCTAATATCCAGAATCTACAATGAACTCAGACAAATTTACAAGAAAAAAACAAACAACTCCATCAAAAAGTGAGCAAAGGATATGAACAGACACTTCTCAAAAGAAGACATTTATGCAGCCAAAAAAACACATGAAAAAATGCTTGTCATCACTTGCCATCAGAGAAATGCAAATCAAAACCACAATGAGATACCATCTCACACCAGTTACAATGGCCATCATTAAAAAGTCAGGAAACAACAGGTCCTGGAGAGGATGTGGAGAAATAGGAATACTTTTACACTGTTGGTGGGACTATAAACTAGTTCAACCACTGTGGAAGTCAGTGTGGCAATTCCTCAGGGATCTAGAACTAGAAATACCATTTGACCCAGCCATCCCATCACTGGGTATATACCCAAAGGATTATAAATCATGCTGCTATAAAGACACATGCACATGCATGTTTATTGTGGCACTATTCACAATAGCAAAGACTTGGAACCAACCCAAATGTCCAACAACGATAGACTGGATTAAGAAAATGTGGCACATATACACCATGGAATACTATGCAGCCATAAAAAATGAAGAGTTCATGTCCTTTTTAGGGACATGGATAAAACTGGAAACCATCATTCTCAGCAAACTATTGCAAGGACAAAAAACCAAACACTGCCTTTTCTCACTCATAGGTGGGAATTGAACAGTGAGAACACATGGACACAGGAAGGGGAACATCACACTCTGAGGACTGTTGAGGGGTGGAGGGAGGGGGGAGGGATAGCATTAGGAGATATACCTAATGCTAAATGACAAGTTAATGGGTGCAGCACACCAACGTTGCACATGTATGCATACATAACAAACCTGCACATTGTGCACATGTACCCTAAAACTTAAAGTATAATAATAATAAAAAGAAAAAAAAGAAAAGGAGAATAGAGAGTGACTGCTTAATGAATATAGGATTTCCTTTTGGTATTTTAAAATGTTTAGGAACTAGATAGTGATGATAATTGCACTATATCAGGGGTTTCTAACTCCTAGGTCATGGACTGGCTCCTGTCTGTGGCTTGTTAGGAACCAGGCTACACCCCAGGAGGTGAGCGGCAGGTGACCAGCAAAGCTTCATCTGTATTTAGAGCTGCTCCCCATGGCTCACATTACCACCTGAGCTCCACCTCCTCTCAGATCAGTGGTGGCATTAGATTCTTATATGAGAGGAAACCCTCCTGTGAACTACACATGTGAAGGATCTAGATTGCATGCTCCTTATGAGAATCTAAGGATGCCTGATGATCTATCACTGTCTCCCATCACCTCCAGATGGGACGGTCTAGTTGCTCCCACTGATTCTACATGATGGTGAGTTGTAGAATTATTTCCTCATGTATTACAAGGGAATAATAATAGAAGGAAATTGCACAATAAATGTCATGTACTCGAATCATCCTGGAACCAACCTCCTCAACCCCACCACCACCATCAGTGGAACAATTGTCTTCCACTAAATCAGTCCCTGGTGTCACACAGGTTGGGTACCACTGCACCAAATGTCACTGAATCATACTTCAAAATGGTTAAAATAGTCCATTTTATGTTATATGAGTTTTATCCCAAAATAAAAAGTGAAACTCATGAAATTGCTAAGCTTCAGATGCATTTTATTTAAATGAGAAATATTTCTTTTTAACAGATTATTTCGGCTGGCTGTTGTGGCCCATGCCTATAATCCCAGCATTTTGGGAGGTCAAGGCAGGTGGTCACAAGGTCAGGAGTTCAAGACCAGACTGACTAATATGGTGAAATCCTGTCTCTGCTAAAAATACAAAAATTTGCCAGGCATGGTGGCGGGCGCCTATAGTCCCAGCTACTTGGGAGTCTGAGGCAGGAGAATTGCTTGAACCTGGGAGGTGGAGGTTACAGTGAGCCAACATCATGCCACTGCACTCCAGCCTGGGCAACAGAGTGAGACTCCATCAAAAATAAAATTATTTTAGAGTTAAAGAAGAAAAAAAGAAAAACGAGGAGATGAAAAGCACTATGTGCCCTGGGTGTTTCGGGAGTTTAACTAGGTTAACCTCATATTCCTTAATGGCTTTAAGTTTAAACGTCAAGGCAATAAAACATTTAGTGGTCCTTTTAAACATAAAAATCAGAAGGCATTCTTTCTAAACCAAACAAATGGCTCTTTTGCGTATAAAACCAAAAATGCATAGAGTAAAAAAAAATTAATACTAAGCTTTTTGTCTATCCCTTCTCTCTTTTTCCAGTCTTAAACACAAAGTGGCCTGTAGGAATTTCTTTTAACTTCTCTGAATTTTTATATACAGTGAATCATCTATTAATAAATATTGTTGTGTGCCATTTAAAATATTTTACATAATGAATGAATAACACTCATACTTAATTAAGCCTATCTTTACAATGTTTATGTCTGAGAAATAAATGAGGAAAGACTGATCATAAACAATTATCTTATAATAATTTAGTCTTATCTAATATCATTAGATAAGAATATTATATTATTAGATAATAGTAATAATGTGATCTAATAATTTTCAAAATAAAAATCCATGGGTAAAATACTCTGTCTCATAATAAAAATACAATATAACATAATAATAAATACGAAGCAAAACTTACCTTTATATGTTGGTTCTTCCTTCTTTCCTATAGTTCCTTATCAGAGGAGTAGTGGATTTGGTAATTTAAGAGGTGTTGAATCTTCCCTTCAGCAACCACATGGCTGCACAGGGAGTCAGCTCACAAGTCATGCATCAATTATGAGGACAGATGATAGACCCATCGCTTTTAGTAAAGAGAAGGGCCCTGTGATTCAGGAACACAGATTTTTTAAAAAATGGAGTGAGATAGCTACAACATTTTTGGACAGCTATTGTTTTCTTTAAGTTTCCAATTATTTTTCACCAGTCTGGTATCCATCAGGAAAATACACATCACCCTCACTTCATTTCAAGCAAGAAGACGTTCTCTGCAGAGCCCTGGGTCCTTGCACTATTATCTGGAATTGTTTCTTTCCAGTGCTGTTGCCTAGGGGAACATTTCTTCTCAATGCATCCTTGATTATTTCTACTGCTCTTTTTATTCTGTTTTATTCTCCCCAGATATTCTTTGTTTTTCGAGGACTGTGTCATTGGGTGTTTATTTTTTCCAGGAAGCATGCTTGGGATAAAAATTTTGGCAAACATGCATCTTTCTTTCCTTTTCATTTTTTTTTTTTTTTTTGAGACGCCGTCTCGCTCTTTCTCCCAGGCTGGAGTGCAGTGGCGCGATCTGGGCTCACTGCAAGCTCCTCCTCCTGGGTTCAAGCCATTCTCCTGCTTCAGCCTCCCGAGTAGCTGGGACTATGGGCGCCGGCCACCATGATCGGCTAATTTTTTGTATTTTTAGTAGAGATGAGGTTTCACCGTGTTACCCAGGATGGTCTCGATCTCCTGACCTCGTGACCTGCCCACCTCAGCCTCTCAAAGCGCTGGGATTTCAAGCGTGAGCCACCGTGCCTGGCCCGAACGTGCATCTTTCTAATTCCAAGTAGTTTTATTATAAAGTAATATTCCTTCAGATGTTTGAAAACTCTGCTTCATACTTTCTGATACATTGTGTCTTTCTGATAAGAAGTCTAAAGCTGGTAATAGCTTTCTTTTTAAATTTATAGATAAAGGCCTCTTTCTTTCTCCTCTGATTACGGAATGTATCTAGTGTCTGTCTCCCTTTTATTTTCCCCTTGAAATACATGTGTAGTAGACCGCACAATCATGTTCATAGCAGCTTTATTCTCCACAGCCAAAAGGCAGAAGCAACCCAGGTGTCCATCAACAGGTGAATTTCAACGTGGTAAAACCCTGCTT
Source organism: Homo sapiens (assembly GCF_000001405.40). Taxonomy (NCBI): domain Eukaryota; kingdom Metazoa; phylum Chordata; class Mammalia; order Primates; family Hominidae; genus Homo; species Homo sapiens. The sequence goes on from NC_000024.10 coordinate 11,941,301, forward strand.
CTACAAAAAAAAAAAAAAAAAAAAAAAAAAAAAAAAAATAGCCAAACAGGAAATGTGTTATATACAAAAAAGGAATATTTAGCCTTAAAAAGGAAGGAAAATCTAGTAAGTGGTACAACATGAATGAATTTCAAAGATGTTTTGCTATGTAAAATAGGCCAGAACAAAAAGACAAATAGTGGTGGGGTGCAGTGGCTCATGCCTATAATCCCAGCATATTGGGAGGCCAAGGTGAGGGGATGGCTTGAGATCAGGAGTTCGAGATCAATCTGGGCAACAGAGTGAGACCCCATCTTTACAAAAAATAAAAAAGTTAGCTGGGTGTAGTCATGTATGCCTGTGATCCCACCTACTTAGGAGGCTGAGGCAGGAGGATCGTTTGAGCCCAGGAGATTGAGGCTGCAGTAAGCTATGATCACATCACTGCATCCCAGCCTGGGCAACAGACTAAGATCTTGTTTCAGAAAAACAAAAAACAAAAAACACAAATAGTGCATGATTCTATTTATATGAAGTAACAAGAATAATCAAAGTCATAGAGAAAGTAGAATGGGGGTTCCAGGGGATTGAGGAAGGGGGAATGAGGAGTTAGTGTCTATTGTGGACAGAGTTTCAGTGAAGAAGGTGAAAAAATTCTGGGATGGATGGTGGTGATGGTTGCACAACATGTAAATGTCCTTAAAGCCCCTGAAATGTATATTTAAAATGGTAAGTTTTATAATGGGGAAATTTCAAATTTTATTAATATATAATATTATATTTATGTATACACACACAAGCACACCACACACACACACACACACATATATATATATATACACACATATATAGCGACATTAAAAAATAGGTATGTGGTGGGGTGTGGTGACTCACAGATGTAATCCCAGCAATTTGGGGGGCTGAGGTGGGTGGATCTCTCTAGCCCAGGAGTTGAAGACCAGCCTGGGCAACGTGGGAGAACCTGGTCTCTACAAAAACAAAAAATAAAAATTAGTCAGTTGTGGTGGCTCACACCTGTAGTCCCAGCTACTTGGGAGGCTCAGGCAGGAGGATTGCTTGAGCCCAGGAGGTATAGGCTACAGTGAGCCATGTTTGCACCACTACATTCCAGCCTGGGTGACAAAGTAAGACCCTGTCTCAGATAGATAGATAGATAGATAGATAGATAGATAGATAGATAGATAGATAGATAGGTAGATAGACAGACAGACAGGTAGATAGATAGATAGATGTGCAACTGGGAGGAACTTTGGCATTGTACTTTGTAATGAGTTTGTCATCACCCAAAACATGTAGTAACAGATCATGGGCACCATTACAAAGAGGTAGCTCAGCAGTCATGTGGCTTGCTGCTCCTTTGCGACCTCAGCTCTGCATCTGGTCTTCAGAGTGTCATCGAGTCAAAGCACAAATAATATTTATTCCATTAAAACCAATCTGTTCATGATACAGGGGTGTTCCCACTAGTTGTCAACCACTTTTTACAGAGCTTACTGGAAAAGTTGCTTTGGAATCCAGCAGAATGAATCAGAAGGTGCTTTGTCTAAAGTGAACTTCATCTTGAAATATTTCCAAATTCATGCAAAAGTAATATTTTCAAAGGCAAAGCAATTGCCTGCCATCTGCCTCCAAGCTTTGAGATAGAAATGAAAATAGTTAAGAAAACCATGCCACTCTATTTCCATTGAATAATATACCATACCTAAGAGACTAAAAGATAAACAAAATCTGTAAATTTTCTAAAACAGATTAACATTAATGGAAAAAAATAATTTTGCCTGTGTGCAAATTTTGCTTGCAGTTGTAAAGTATAGTAGAAGTTATATAATAACAAAAGTGGTTTCCTTTAATGTTTGCTTTTTAGCTTTCTGGATGTTCTATTGCATTTGACAAAGTCAACCCACTTCTTGAAATTTCTTCACACTTGGTTCCATAGTGAAATGTGACCTCATTTCTTCCCGCTTACTTCTTCTTAGCTGTATCAAGTCCCCTTTCATTCAGCTCTTCATGGAAACACCAACAGAAATCCATCATGGACCTTTTGTTCTTCTAATTCTCCAGACTTCTTCTGCACAATCCCATTCCTGCCTCAAACTTCAATCATCGTAGGTCCTTCCATAATTATGAAAGCTACGAAGTCCCACAATCACCACCAGGTTAATACTGAAAATTCCCTTTTGTTTTACTGCCTCTGTTACAAGCAGCTCCATCAGAATGTCAATAAGAAATTGCCATTTATTTTTTATTATTTTAATTTGAGACAGAGAGTCCTGGTCTGTCACCCAGACTGGAGTGCAGTGGCACAATCTCAGCTCACTGCAACCTCTGCCTCCCAGGTTCAAGTGACTCTCCTGAACCTCAGCCTCCTGAGTAGCTGGGATTACAGGCATGTGCCACCATGCCCAGCTAATTTTTGTATTTTAGTAGAGACAAGGTTTCACCATGTTGGCCAGTGTGGTCTCGAACCCCTGACCCCAAGTGGTCTACCTGCCTCAGCCTCCCAAAGTACTAGGATTACAGGTGTGAGCCACCACACCTGAACTAGAAATTGCCATTTCTATTTAATAATAAGGATAGAGACCACTAACATGTATTGAGCACTTATGCTATGCCAGAGACTGTTAAGTGCTTTACACAAATTAGCTCATTTCATTATCATAATAACTGTATTATTATTCTCAGTACATCAGAGAAGAAACTGAGGCACAGTACAATCAATTTACCAGCCCATACAATCAATTTACAGGCCCGTGATTATGCAGCTAATGGCGTACCTGGGAGTCTTACCCCCAAAATTTGGCCCCAAAACCAGTATGTCAGGCTGGGAATCATGACATACCAGAAATTCAACATGAATGACATTCACCCCACTCCCTAAATCTCTCTCTCCTCCCTAAAGTCCCTAAATCATACATTCCAATCTCATCCTCTTGTTTTCCCAATCAGGAATTTGAGAACTATCCCAGGGCTGCCATCATCTTGATTCTCATATCCAGTGTGTCTATGGGTCCTTCCAAGCTGATTTCTTACATGTGTATTTCCTTTCATTTCTGTAGCCACAGAGATAGTTGAAACAACATAAATCAAAGTGAGAGCCACAGCTAATGAGAAAGAAGTCAGAACAAAAACTAACAGCAGCCAAGGAGAGATCTTAACATGAAGGGAGGGCATTCTGCCGCGGGGTGAAGATCAGAATCCAGTCATCTCGACATCAGACATTCTAACTAATGAGTTGAGACTATGTCTTGAGATTTAACGTGACTGTGCAAGAGCTCTGTATGAGTTTCCTGTGGCTGCTAAAACAAATACTAAAAATGCTAGGTGAAAACAATACCTATTTATTCATGTGCAGCTCTAGAAATAAGAAGTCCTAAATGGGTCTCCTGGGGCTAAAATCAAAGTGTCAGCCAGGTTGGTTCCTTCTGGAGGATGCAGAAAAGAATCAATTTCCTTGCAATTTGTACCTCCTATAGGCTGCCTGCATTCCTTGGCATGTGGTTTCCCTCTTCATCTTCAAAACCAGCAACAACAGCAGAGACCATCTCACATCTCATCATTCTAACCTCCATTTCTGCCTCCCTCTTCTATTTTTAAGAGCCCTTGCAATTACTTGGATAACCCAGAATAATCTCCTCATTTTAGGATCAGCTGATGAGCAAACTTCATTTTCCCTCCAACTTTGATTCACTTATTGCCATATAAGGTAACATTTTCGTAGGTTCTGGGAAAGAGGATGTAAAAACATTTAGTTAAGGATCTTGAGATGAGATCATCCTGGAGTAAAGTCAACCCTAAATGCAATGACAGGAGTCCTTCTAAGAGACAAAAGAGGAGATGGTACACACAGAAAGGAGAAGGCCACATGGAGACAGAGGCAGAGACTGGAGTGATGCAGCCACAAGCTCAGGAATCTCTGGAGCCCCCAGGTGCTGGGAGAGGCAGGAAGGATCCTCCCTTAGAGCCTCCAGAGAGACTGTAGCCCTGCCCACACCTTGATCTCAGACTTCTGGCCTCCAGAACTGGCAGATCATAAATTGCTGTGGTTTTAAGACACTCAGTTAGTGGCGATTTGTGTGGCAGTCCAGATTGCACCCATGTTTGAAGGCTAATTAGGAATCATTACCAAACCACACGGTTTCTGTTTAAACTAAGTATTCTTTGCCTTTTTCTTCTTTGTAAGGTACTCAGGGCAACATTTAGAGGCTGAATTTTCTGATCCAGGCTTTCTAATGGCTTTGAGTTATTTGTTTCCTTCACTTTATTCATAAGATAGTTATATTTATATCTTTAAAGAGCATGTTCCAAAGTGTTATAATACTTCTTTAAAATACATTAGTGCTCCTTTGAATTTAGTCTGAGTTTTAGTGAATTTCTAAGCTTGTCCACTTACAAACACACACCTATATTTATAATCAAGTAAATCTCAGTATGTTTTGATCTCATGATTACACAGGGAATCAAAGATCACTGGGTTTAAGAACTAATTTCCTCTGCTGTATTTTAAGAATAACTTAAACCTTGCTCCATGATTCACCCCTGGTCTGTTAATTAAGGCCGCTTCTTCTAATTCATGAAAGAGACATCTTACCAAAAGGGAAAGCATTTCATGTGGTGTCCTATAGAATTTTGAGTATTCATCATTTATAGGAAGTCTTTCTGAAATGAATAGTTTCATGCTGAAGGAGAGACCATTTGCCATTTTTATTTTGAAAAGTGAGGTGGGTCTTGGAATCTATCCACATGTAAGAAGAATGTCCTAGGACAGGGGTTTGCAACCCCAGGGGCCATGAACTGCTACCTGCCTGTTAAAAACCAGGTTGCACAGCAGGAGGTGAGCAGCAGGGCAGTGAGTGAGGCTTCATCTGTATTTATAGCTGCTTCCCATCCTGAGCTCCACCTCCTGTCAGATCAGCAGCAGCATTAGATTCCTACTGGAGCAGAAACCCTATTGTGAACTGCACATACGAGGGATCTAGGCTGCAGGCTCCTTATGAGAATCCAATGCCTGATGATTTGTCACTGTCTCTCCCATCACCCCCAGATGGGACTGTCTAGCTTCAGCAGAACAAGCACGGGGCTCCCATGGATTCTACATCGTGGTGAGTTGTAGAATTATTTCATTACATATTACAGTGGAATAATAATATACATAAAGGACACAATAAATGTAATGTGCTTGAATCATCCCAAAACCACATGTCCCACCCCCATCCTGCTCCATGGAAAAACTGTCTTCCATGAAACTGGTCCCTGGTGCAAGAAAGATTAGGGACCGCTGCCCTAGGAGATTTCTAGACCATGCCACTTGAGGGCAACGTCTCCACCAGCCAGTAGTGCTGAGAACTAGCTTCAGTGACATTCTATCCTCCTTCGTCACAAGCTTCTAGGGCAGCTTCCATGTGGAATCCCCTAGAAGCCATTTGGTTTTTATTCCAAGAGGCCGCTTGTCTGAAAGAAGACAAGTCAGCAAAAATGTAAGCCAAAACAGTTTGGAGGAAGAAAAAGGGTTTTGACTCTTTAAATATAGAATTTTTAAAACTAGACTTTATTTTTAGAGCAGTCTAAGCTGCGAAATTGAGCAGAAGGCACATAAATTTTTATATATCCCTTTCCTACACACACACACACCCTCTTCCATGATCAATATCTCTCAGCAGAGTGAGACATTTGTTACAACAGATGAACTCACACGGAGACATCAAAGTCACCCAAAGTCCGTAGTTTTCATTAGGGTTCCCTCTTTATGTGAACTCCAGAATTATGAGTATTTATCATTTATAGAACATCTTTCTGAAATGAATAGTTTCATGTTGAAAATGTGCCATTTTTATTTTCAAAAGTGAGATGGGCCGAATGTGGTGGCTCACGCCTGTCATCCCAGCACTTTGGGAGGGCGAGATGGATGGATGACCTGAGGTCAGGAATTTGAGATCAGCCTGGCCAACATGGTGAAACCCCATCTCTACTAAAAATACAAAAATTAGCAAGGCGTGGTGGTGCACACCTGCAGTGCCAGCTACTCGGGTGTCTGAGGCAGGAGAATCGCTTGAACCCGGGAGGTGGAGATTGCAGCGTGCCAGGATTCCATCACTGCACTCCAGCCTGGAAAACAGAGTGAGACTTCATCCCCCTACAAAAAAGTGAGCTAGGTCTCGGTTTCTCCTGAATTGCCCATCTAGGATTGAGGTCTTTGAAGGGATTAATTAATAATTGCTGACATTTTCTTGCCTTTCCCTGTCGGCAATTCACTGGCCTGTGTGGTCTGGGTCAGGGAGGAAGCGGGTAACCTTCCATACCTTCCATGATCTCATCTTCTGCAGCTGGTTTTCTTTTTTCTTTTTCTTTCTTTTTTTTTAAGACGGAGTTTTGCTCTGTTGCCCAGGTTGGAGGGAGTGCAGTGGCGCGGTCTTGGCTCACTGCAAGCTCCGCCTCCCGGGTTCACACCATTCTCCTGCCTCTCCCGAGTAGCTGGGACTACAGGCTCCCGCGACCACGCCCGGCTAATTTTTTGTGTTTTTAGTAGAGATTGGGGTTCACTGTATTAAACAGGATGGTCTCGATCTCCTGACCTCAGGTGATCCGCCGGCCTTGGCCTCCCAAAGTGCTGGGATTACAGGCCTGAGCTACCTTGTCTGGCCTGCAGCTGGTTTTCTACCGACTGAAATTTTAGGGATCCAGAGCGGAGAAGGCTGTGTCTGTGAGTTCCACTGTTCTTGGTGCTGCTGGTCCGGGTAAGACACAGTAGTAGATAAACAGCTTTCATTTTGCCCAGAAATCCCCATCAGCACATCTGCCCAAGCTGGGTCAGGCTCGTTCACTTCTCCACGATGTGTTTTCTCTGTAGGGTGATATGCACCATGCTAAGCAGAATTTTCTCCAGCCTAATCTGCAGAGATAACTCAACTGTGCTCAGGAGAGCTAGAGGGTTTCTCTGACGTGTTCTTTGTATTTATTTACTTATTTTCCACGCTGCTGTTCTATTTTAAAGTATGCTGTTGAGAAAATCTGGAAGCATTTTAGTACATGCAAGAGAACAGAGTATTCCTACCGACTGTGCTATGAGGATAAGAAGGAAAACAAAAATACCCCCTCATTTTCATTGAGGTGGCCAGTAGCCCGTATTTTCATTGAAGGTTTACCCTAGACAGATGAGGGCAAGTTCTCATGGAAAATTCCTAAAAGTCTGTTTCTGCTGAAATAAAGATACAACCCCACTAGCTATTAGTCTGCCCCTGGGATTTCTGAGCTATGCAAGCCCATGAGTTTGAAGTAGAGATTTCCTGTGTCGATTTTTTTTTCCCTCCAGTCATCCAAGGGTATTCACTAGGTCAGCCTTTCTCTTGATTATAGAGCTTGCGAAGCAGTAGGGTTTGCACTCATGTGACTCAGAAAGTTACTTTTACAATCTCTGTTAAGAAAATTACATAGTGATCTACAGAGTCCTTTAGAATATTAGAGTTTCACATTGAAATCAGAAACTCCAGGAACTGCAGTTCATACATGAAACAGCCAGTGTACTTCCAGAGACCTTGCCTTGGGGTAAAAGATGGATATGAAGATGAAAGACAGCAATAAAGTTGAAAAAAATGACTGTAGGTTCGCTGGATCCTATGTATAAATATTCACTGCAGACGTGGTGCATGTAGTATGTTCACTTCTCTCTGTACAACATTGCATTCTGTCCTTATGACACCTCCAAGAAGTAAAATTACCCTTATTGTACCCTTGAGAAATCTGGTTTTAGGAAGGGAGAATAGTGTGTTCTAGGCCCTCTGGTCAAGAAATGGCGAGTAGTAGGAGGAGGTGGTTTGAGTTCTACTGTCAGACTCGATCACCTATGGCTCTGCTGTTGGTCAAAGGCTTGCAAGAAAAGTGGATTTTAAAGATCTTATGACTGAGGCAGAGGGATGATGGCTCCCCAGTGGTAAGGGCCTCCTGGGTCTCCTGGGCTGCAAGTTTCCCTATCTCCACATTTCTAAAGCAAAAGGGGTCTCGATGGAGGATCAGGGTTGGGTGATGGGAAGTGAGCTAGCAAACCTGTCTGGATTTCCTTCTGAATGCATGAGTCTAGGGGGTTGAATTTAAAGGGCTGGCACTTCTCAATCATGTCTTTTCCATGCATCACTTTTTAAAACTGGGATGCCATCAGCCTGCTTCAGGAGCATCTCAGCAAACAGGATTTGTTACACAAGGAAATGGTACCATTAGGCTTGTAAAAAAAAAGCTCTATTTTTTTATATTCACTGATGTCTTTTGTAGATCAAAGACAAAACAGGCAAATGTTGATAATAAGGACATGTTGTCAAAATGCTGGTTCAGGGAGAGAAATGCTGCTAACCAGAGGAACAGTAAAAAGCAGTGGCTAGTAAGTCACTGGTTCATCTGCAACAAGCCACAATCCATCAGGTTCCATGGCATTTAGCAATTAGGAGGGCTCCAATCTTTTGTTAATCACTGAGCTCAGTATCATTCTTTTGCTTGAAGTACATTCTGTAGCTACAAGGACTGACCTGCCCTTCATTTGATCATCCTTCCTCACCCTCCACATGGTGGAATTATTAGCAAACAGATGAATTTAATTTAACTGACATGTACTGCAAACCTCCTGTATTTAAGGAACTCTCTTGGCACTTCAAGGGATTCAACAATTAATCAAACATGGTCCCTGCTCTAGGAACACATCACCAAGCAAGCAGGTAACATTAGCAGGACAAATGTCAAAATAAAAAAGACTACATACAGCAAACTATGCATTTTACTTAACAAAAAGGATGGAATGACGAGATTCCATAATACTTTCTTTGTGGATATATTGTACAAGTTACATCCTGGGACTTTTCTACTCTAGGCATTTCCTTTTTATTAGTATGTGTGTAATTAAAAAATAATTTATTGAGGTTAAATTCACATCATAAAGTAAACCATGTTAAAGTAATAATGTAATGGCATTTCATACATCTCAGTGTTGTGCAGCCATCACCTGCGCATAGTTCCAGATTTTTGTTGCCCCAAGCTATAATTCTGCATCCATCCAGAGGTTTCTTTCCACTGCTCACTCACCGTCATCCAATGCATGAAATTTTCAAAGCAGAATTGAATTAGTTTACCTGATATTTTATTTACTTCAGACTTGTAGGGCATTAAAACCATTATATTTGAGTTACCTATCTAATTTCCGTAAACCTCTGTCTTTCACTGCACTTCGATAAACCAATTTTGGGGTGCAGATTGTCCAGGTAGCACAAGTATTTAGAGGTATGAATATATATTATCTATTAAGTGAACCAATAATATTCCCTCTGAATAAGCTAGTATAAATAGATTTCCCCACTGCAGGGAAAACCCGACTTTTTTTTTTTTTTTTTTTTTTTTTGAGGCAGGGTCTTGCTCTGTCACCCTGTCTGGAGTGCGCTGGTGCAATCTTGGCTCACTGTCTCAAGTGATTCTCACATTTCAACCCCCAGTATGTAACTGGAACTACAGGCATATGCCACTATGCCTGGCTAGTTTTTTTGTTTGTTTGTTTGTTTGTTTGTTTGGTGCGTGTGTGTGTGTAGAGATAGGGTTTTCCCATGTTGCCTAGGCTAGTCTCAAACTCCTGGACTTAAGCAGTCTTCCCACCTCAGCCTCTCAAAGTGCTGGGATTACAGGCATGAGCCACTGCACCTGGCCAAATCTAGACATTTCTTAATAGAATTCAACCTTAGTCATGTATTCTTTCATTCATTCATTCACCTATTCATTTATTCAATTGAACACTTGGTGTATGCCAAGCTCTGTGCTATACTCCAGGTGTCAAGAAGCTATGACAGCATAAAAAGAAGGTGAGCGATTGTCCACAATGCAGGAAAAAGCCCACATTAGCAATGGGCACAGAGGCAAGGTAATGCTGTACAATGGAGATTGAGGAGAAGTTTGTCAAAACAGTGGCATAAACCAACAACAACAATAAAAATCAGGGACGTGCTACCTGTTCTTGACAAGCCAGACATATCGGTAAAAGGTAGAGCCCAGTGACAGGCTGGGAAGCACAAGGCGTGTCACCGGCCACCCATAGAAAACTTCAGCCTTGGGTTTGAGGATGATAGCACCCCTCTAAATCTCAGTTATCAGCTGGAAGGGACAAATTAAGGCATTGATGGAGGAAGAAGTTGTCAAAATCTAAGACATACCCATGCAACTGTAGAGTGAGAGGCAGAGAGAAGAGCACATTGGGCCCAGAGATTGTTAGGCATCAGGAACTAAACTTGGCAACCAGGTGACTATGAGGAAGGTGTGAAGGATAGGCAGAAGGCAAGGATGGCTTGAGTTTCTACTTTACTGACTAGATGGGTGGCAACATCATTAACAAGGATAAAGAGATGTTCAAGAGACAGCTGTTTTTTGTTTTGTTTTGTAATTTAATCAATGGGTTTGGGGCATGCCCAAGAAAAGGCCTAAGGGCATTATTTGACTAATCCCTGCAACTATGTCAACACATGCTGAAAACTAAAGCTAGAGAAGGAATGAATTCCCATTTATGAACCAGTGTTTCCTGACTATCAACTCTGTGGAAGCCACCCTAGGTGTGGGCGGCAGGTGGTGAGGAATTCCTAGACATTGTGTTTCTTAGGAGGAACTAAGACAGTCCATGCTCCATGCAGGGGAAGCAACTTATTTCTTAGGCTTATTCCTTCCTTCTTCCTGACAGCCCCTGAGAGAGTGCTGGATGTAGGGCAGGGCATCAAATCTAAAGAGCAGGCACTTCTCAATTATACTTTTTCCATGCATTGCCTTTTAAAAACTGCATGCCTGCTGGGTGTGGTGGCTCATGCCTGTAATCCTAGTGTTACATGAGTCCGTGTGAAGAGACCACCAAACAGGCTTTGTGTGAGCAATAAAGCTCTTTAATCACCTGGGTTCAGGTGGGCTGAATCTGAAAAAGGAGTCAGCACAGGGACATAGGGGTGGGACAGTTTTATAGGATTTGGGAAAGTAGTGGAAAATTACAGTTAAAGGGGGTTGTTCTCTTGCAGGCAGGGGCAGGGGTCACAAGGTACTCGATGGGGAGATAATGAGACTCATTTTCCAGAAAAAGGAATGCCACAAGGTTAACTGATCAGTCAGGGTGGGGCAGGAACAAATCACAATGGTGGAATGTCCTCAGTTAAGGCAGGAACTGGCCATTTTCACTTCTCTCTCTTTTTTTTTTTTTTTTTTTTTTTTTTTGAGTTGGAGTTTTGCTCTTGTTATCCAGGCTGGAGTGCAATGGCACCGGCTCACCATAACCTCTGCCTCTGGGGTTCTTTTGTGGTTTCTTAGTTGCTTCAGGCCATCTGGATTTATATGTGCAGGTCAAAGGGGATATGATGGCTTAGCTTGTGCTCAGAGGCCTGACACCCAGCACTTTGGGAGGCTGAGGGGGGTAGATCCTTGAGGCTAAGAGTTCGAGTCCAGCCTGAATAACATAGTGAGACCCTGTTTGTACAAAAATAATAACAATAATAATAATACAAAAATTAGCCCAGCATGGTGGCAAATGCCTGTAGTCGTAGCTACATGGGGGACTGAGGTGGGAGAATCGCTTCTGCCTTGGAGGCGGAGGTTACAGTGAGCCAAGATCACACCACCGGCACTCCAGCCTAGGCAACAGAGGGAAGCTCCATCTTAAATAAATAAATAAATAAATAAATAAATAAATAAAAATAAAAGCCGCTCACCTGCTTCAGGGGCATCTCAGGGGCATCTCAGCAGACAAGATTGGTTGTACAAGTACACGATACCATTGGGCTTGTAAAAAAATTTTTTTCTTTTTATACTCACAGATGTCTTTTGTAGATCAAAGAACACAACAGGCAAACACTGTCCCTAAGGATATGTTATCAAAATGCTGGGTCAGGAAGAGGATTGCGACTAACCAGAGGAAGAGCCAAAAGCAGTCGCTGGTGCACCCTGCAAGAAGCTGGTGCCGTGGTGCCTTTCCGGGCCCTGCACACTGGTCTGAGCACCATGTTTTTACCCCAGGTGGGCTCTGCTGACCGAAGATCCTGTCCTGACCTCTCCCCACCATTCCAGGTCTGACTTATCCAAGAAGCCAGGCAGCCACCTCCTCCTCGTCCTCTGCCTCCTGGAATAGGGAACTACCCTCTGTACCCTCTACTTTTTGCCTTGTCTCCAGGTCACTGCCACCCTACCCCCACACCCTCCCCAGATAATACCATTAGACCATTAGACTCTCCCAACTTCCCAGCCCTCGCCCTTCCCCTCGAAGGCTCTCCACGCCGGAGGGCAGCCGTTCCATCTTTCCGGCAGGAAGACTGGCAGGGGGAGGGAGGCGTGCGCCCGGGAGTCCTGGAGAAGCGGGAGGGCGTGGCGGCGGCTCTCACGTTGCAGCCCTGCAGGCAGCTCCCGGGATGCTTGCGAGGCCAGTCCGCTCCTGCCTGCACAAGGGCTAGGAAGAGCTGCCAGAGGAAACGCTGTCTGACCCGGAGAAGCGCAAACTCTGCTCCTTCTCTGTCCCCTGAAAGGAACGGAAACGTTGCCAGCGCTGCTTAGGCGTTCTCCAAGCGCGGACTCTGTTGCGGCTCCCACCGCGCTCCCTGCATCTCGCCCTTTCCTCCTGGGTCCCGGGACTTCTCTCTGACATAGAGCCCTCCTTCCCAGAGCCGCCTGCGGTTCTTGCAGCTGGAGTGGGTGAGGCATACGCACCCGGGCCTAGGCGTAATGAAGACGCGAGAGGAAGGCTGAGCGCAGAGCGGCGCGGCCAGGGTCCCTTGGCTTGGGACTGCGCCCCGTCTCCCCGGGGTGGGGCAGGGTAGGGGTGTGCAGAGGCGTGGACTTGGGGAAGCCTAGCAGCGCCTGAATAAAAGGGCGCCGGCGCGCTGTGCCGCGCTGAGCCGCGCTGAAAAGCCGAGCTGCCTCGCTCCCGGCCCGGGAAAGGGCATGGCCCCGGCAGACTCCTGGCCTTGACTTGAGCACCACGGCACGGTGGATGATCCGCGCTCTGCGCTCCCGTGTGCGGCGGCTTCCCAAGGATAGGTGAGGACCCAGGGTGGCCAGGGTGCCCGTGGGCTGCTGTGTCTGCTTGCAGGGAGTGACGGGATTTGAGAGACACCCAAGGGAAAAACAGGGTAAAGGGCCCGCATGCAGGCAGATTGCACTGTTCCCCAGCACTGTTTGAAGTTGCTAAGAAATCAGGAAACCTGAATTCCTCCAATTTTAAGTAGCTGAGGATCAGTTAGGGAGGACAGCCGGATCTTGAAGGAGGATGCATGCAGGTCTAATTAAGCCCAGACAACCCATGCCTCCTTTCCTCCCGCTTCCCAACTCGCCCCTCATCCCTCTGTCTCTCTCTCTGGAGACCTACAACCCCGCCATCCGGCGTTTCTAGGAAGCTGCGGACGGAATTCTTGAATGAAGCCCACTGTGCTCTTGCAATCGGTGGGGGAAAGGACGCTTGAGGGGTCTCTTTTCAGGTTGCTCAGGCTGCGACTACTTCATGTCTCCTATTCCTCCTCTCTTCCCCAGCTCCTTCCCTGCCTCTTTCCTCCTACTATTACCCAGGCTTTTCCTGGAAAGGGGACAACCCAACGCCTAGAGTGATCTGAGCCATGGAAAAAAAAAAAAAAAAAAAAAAAAAAAAAAAAAAAAAAGGGACAGTCATCCCCGCAGAGAGAAGGGGTTTGATGTCCGAGTCCCGAGCGGCGACGACTCGCGGGGCCACCCCATCCGCCTTCCAGGAAAGCGCGTAGTTCACCCCGCAGCCAGCTCGACGCAACCCAACGTACTCTGGAAGCCGGCCAGGGGCGCAGGGCCTCCAGCGCGGCCACTCTAGGTTGTCCGCCCAGGGCCAAGAAGAAAGCAGACTGCCTCACCACCCCTGCTTCCCTGCAGGGTTCGCAGACCGTATCCGGCGGCCTAGCTGGCGCAGGGCCGCTTTCTCTGCGGCAGAGACTTGACCCCGCGTCCCGGGGATTAGGGTTGGCTGGGGGCGAGTTTCCTGGATCCCCCGGGAGGTTGGTGCCGGGGTGGGAGGGTGGACAGGGAGCGGGGGCTGAGGAGTCCTCTGGAACGCCTGGGCCAAGTCCGCCCGCAGGCACAGGACGCTGGGGACTGGCGCCCTCGGCTGCCCTTGGGACCAACCCAGCACCAAGGTCGGGCGCGCTGGCAGGGGCGGGGACAACCTGGGCTCTGACGAGAGAGAAAAGTCCGAGGACTTGCAGAGCTGCGGGAGTCAGTTTGTTCCAGCCCTCAGAGGCGAAGCCAGACTTGCTTTTTTGCAAAGCTACCAGTGCACCATCAGTCCTTGATGGGCAACTGAAGGGAGACGAGCCCCCGGGCTTAAGAGAATAACCTTTCCTAGGTCACTCAAAGGCAGGGAAAGCTACAGGTCTGGATGCTCCTCTCTTATAGAAAGGGTTTTAGAATTTTTATTTACTCTTATTATTACTTTTGAGACCAAGTTTCTCTCTTGTTTCCCAGGCTGGAGTGCAATGGCGCGATCTTGGCTCACTGCAACCTCCATCTCCCGGGTTCAAGCGATTCTCCTGCCTCAGCTTCCCGAGTAGCTGGGATTACAGGCATGCACCACCACGACTGGCAAATTTTGTATTTTTAGTAGAGACGGAGCTTACACTTATTGGTCAGGCTGGTATCGAACTCCCGACCTCAGGTGATCCGCCCACCTCTGCCTCCCAAAATGCTGGGATGGCCGGCTTGAGCCACCGCGCCAGGCCTGGGTCTTGGAACTTTTAGTTAGCAGTTCGTGGTCGTTCAGAACCCGGGCGAATGGGCAGGCTGTCGTTTGTTGTGCATCCCTATTTACTTTCCATGTGTGCCACTGTTTTTAAGTGAACGCCATTCAAGAGATGACAAAAATGTTAGATGACATAGACATTGCCAGGGCACGAAGAAGATCACTTCTAAATGAAGTAGCTGATGCAATCTAGGTTTTCCATTTTTTTAGTGACTCCATTTTTTTTTCTGTTTGCCTGAATGTATTTCATTAGCAATCCCTTCCTGTTTATTGAATGATCAGAGGTTCCCCCAGACTTCCTCCCCGATTAACAGCAACTCTGTATCATCCAGAAAACTCTCTAGCTTTTCCAAGACAAAAAAATAAGGATAGTAAATACACCCAGAAATAACAGGATGAATCTCCTTCTAGTGAATACCTCTTTAAGCTCTTCAAGAAGCTAGAATTAAAGGTTTGAGAAATATCATTAAAGGAAAGAATCAAAATAAATAGTTTTCTTGGGAAGTAATTTTGTATTTTTTAGTAGAGACGGGATTTCTCCGTGTTGGTTAGACTGGTCTCTACCTACAGACATCAGGTGATCCGCCCGCCTCGGCTTCCCGAAATGCTGGGATGACAGGCGTGAGCCACCGCGCCCAGCCTGGGTTTTAGAGTTTTTAATCAGCAGTTCGCCCTCCTTCAGAACCTGGGCGAATGGACAGGCGTGTGTTTGTTGTGTATATAAATATATAATGGCTTAGTTGTTGTTGGATGCAGAAACACAACATTTTATTATTTCTTTTATTATGGAAACATAAATACAAACCTCTCTTTTTCTTGTTCTCTCTCTGTCTTTCTGTTTCCCCCACTACCCCCCGCCAATTTCATACCCACAATTACAGAATGCAAGACAGATTTCCAAATCATAGTATCCAAGCCAAGAATCAAGACTATATTCTATAGTCATGATTAAAGTGAATGGTGAAAAGTTTAGAAAAAAACCATGTTTCATCTTTCTCAATTCCCATGGTTTAAGCGTCACTACAACACATCGTGTGAAGTCCTGGGAAGCTTGAAACCCTGATGCACAATTCAAATTTAAAAATTGCCCACAGTTCGTCGGTGCTACCTGTGAATAAGCGCATCTCTTCGTTGTTCTACCTCAGGTATCCGAGAATCAGGCACCCCGACAAGATGCCCAAGCGCGCGCACTGGGGGGCCCTCTCTGTGGTGCTGATCCTGCTTTGGGGTCATCCGCGAGTGGCGCTGGCCTGCCCTCATCCTTGTGCCTGCTACGTCCCCAGCGAGGTCCACTGCACGTTCCGATCCCTGGCTTCTGTGCCCGCTGGCATTGCTAAACATGTGGAAAGAATCAATTTGGGGTTTGTACCACCTTCTTCCCGAACCATCCCACTGTCAGTGCGTGCGTCTTGATCTGGTTTTGCAATGAGTGTATGTGCATTTACTTAACTTCATTTGTGCATTTCCTCTGTGTAGCTCTGTCGACAATTATGGAGCTGCAGATGGGTAGAATAGAGAGGAAAAGTTTTAGTTATGCTAAATA
Source organism: Homo sapiens (assembly GCF_000001405.40). NCBI lineage: Eukaryota > Metazoa > Chordata > Mammalia > Primates > Hominidae > Homo > Homo sapiens. Next base: position 11,957,578 of record NC_000024.10, read on the forward strand.
CAGCTTTTTTGATGATTATCTGACTATATCCCTTAGCTGCCACTGCTGTAAGGTCTATTAACAAGCAGCATGAACAACTTTAGAGTCTGTTGATAAATTGCCTTGATAGCATTTCTTTAATATATTGTAGAGGTGAATGCATGAGAAACACACTTAAACATACGAAGATGATTTAAATAGACTTCAGCAACGATTTAAGAATAATAAAAATAAGCAGAACATCTGTGCCATTTTATAAGTCATGTAGATGATAGAATTGTGACTTTAAGGCAGGAAAAGAATTCCTGCAGATTTTGGCTATTAAAAATGTCAACATCTTTTTTAAAACATATTTCGATGTGGTGTGCCAGGTAGAATTTTAATATATTGGTGTCATTTTATACGCACGAAGGTTGTGTGGACCTAAGTGTTAGGTGCTATGAACTACAGGTGCTCAACTGCAATTTTAATAGTCAACAATCATTTAGAGTACTTCAACAAAATGTATTAGCTACTTTCTAGCATCTATCCCCAGAACAACTGATTAAATTAGTGTCTGAGAAATATCCACCATGGAGATCTTTTAATAAAAATAAAATGTCCAGATTTGAGCAAATGCAAAATAACTGTAAATGTACCTGGACATCTTATAGAACAAAGTTAAAAAAAAACTTTCCTCTATTGACAGTGGTAGAAAAAGAGAATGAAACACTGAGATAATAAGATGGAAATTTCTCTATCGACAGTGGTAGAGTCAGAGAATGAAACGTTGAGGGAGTAAGGAGGAAACTTCCCTATTGACAGTGGTAGAATTAGACAATGAAACGTTGAGGGAATAAGATGATAATTTCCCTAACCCATGGCAACAGACCATTAAATAGCTTTCTCAATGAAATGCTGTTAGAGTTTATGAGTTGACCACCTGAACATCCAACCACAACGATGATAGCTCATTGGGGAAAACAGCTTGGCATTGCCAGAGGAGGGAATAGTAACATGTAAGCCAGCTTCCCTTTTTACAGTCTTGTAATTTATCAGGACACATTTCTTGTATAATTAAGTAAGAAAAACGGAAGAGGTGCTAAAGCCCATTTGTTTTATTTATTTATTTATTTAACTTTAAGTTCCACGATACATGTGCAGAGTGTACAGGTTGTTACATAGGTATATGTGTGCCATGGTGGTTTTCTGCACCTATTGACCCAACCTCTAAGTTCCCTCCTCTCACCCCTCACCCGCCAGCAGGACCTGGTGTATGTTGTTCCTCTCCCTGTGCTCCTGTGTTCTCAATGTTCAACTCCCACTTACGAGTGAGAACATGCCACATTTAGTTTTCTCTTCCCCTTGTTAATTCACTGAGGATGATGGCTTCCAGCTTCATCCAGGTCCCTGAAAATAACAAGATCTCATTCCTTTTTACAGCGCCATAGTATTCCATGGTTTATATGTACCACATTCTCTTTATCCAGTCTATCATTGGTGGATATTTGGGTTGGTTCCTTGACTGCTAAAGCTCATTTGAATCCTGAGAGATAGCACATGTGATATATGAAAGTGAAGCTTTAACTGTAACTTCTTTTTCTTCCACCCTTGGTGTGCAAAATGGCTCTGTCTAGGAATTGTTTTTTATACATGAACCATTTTAACACATGGTCCCACTTGCTGGGATTAACCACCTCATCTCTCAAACCTAGCACCTTGGCAGGTCCCATGCTGGGGGTACCATCAGCCAGTCCTTGGTGGAGCCTTCTAAAAAGTGTGGGGCTGATGCAGATATATATATATATATATATATATATATATATATATATATATATATATATATATATATGGCGGTGCTTCCTGCACAGCAGGTTTGGGTGTTTGTGTTGTGTGTTGGGAAGGGGGATACCAGGCTGGAAATGAGGGTGGGGACAGTCCCTGCATACAACCTCCCCAAAGAGGTGATTTGTTTAATGGCCGGAGACTTACAGCACCAATAAGACTATTACTTCTGAAGTTGTTTGCATCTCATTTACAGTTTCTGGGATGCTTTTCTTCCTGTTCATTTTTAAACTGAAGTACTTTGTAAGTGCAAAACATAACTAACCTCTAAATTACAACACCATTTCTGATGGTTTCATTTTAAACAACTCACAATAAAGATTGACTTTAATGGGGGAATAAAACAGACATACCAACATGTTAATGTTTCTTTTTCCTATTGATACCAGTAATATCTAGAGATAGTTTTCTGTAATATTAAAAAGAAAAGAAAAATTTTAAGACCCTAGAGAATTACTTCACTGCATCAACATCTATGCCTTCCATCTGGTTTAATCTGTAATAGGAACTAATATACTATTGGAAAAACATCACTAATAATATTATAATAGCATTGTTTCAGAAAAATCAATCTCAAATTAGGTAATGAGTCCAGCATCTTGGACTTTGTTGGGGAAAAAACCTGAAGCAAGACCAATGTCTAACTGATAACACTCAGAGATTGATTTGTGTTTTAGCAGTCTGGAGAAAATATAAGACTCTCAAGGAATGAGGAATTGTTGGCCAAGTGCTAATGAAACCTATTCCCACACAGCTGTTTTTAGGATTCTTTGTCAGCATTGGTCTTTCCTGCTTGGACAGACTAAAAGCATTTCTGAAAATTGCTTTCCAAATATTTTTTTTCAGGAACCAACAATGTAGCATCCACCTAGAGATGGATTTACAGACTCTTAAATATTTTTCCCTCGATTAAAAGACTGGTTTTGATTATGACTTTCTGCAACTTTGACAATGCCCATACTCATCCGTTTTATTTTAAGTTCTGCCTTGTGATATTAACCAGAACCTATGACATAATTTTGCAAATATTGTCTGCCATAAACATTTCACAGAGTCAGTTATATATTCAGTGATTGTCAATCAATAGGTGATGAAGATAGTCTGGAATGTAAGCCAAGGGGCTAATAAGCCACAGAACTGCACTTTGTACAGGGTCATCCCAGTCTCCAGTTTCCCAGACTGTCTACTGATTTTTAGAAGGATGCAAAAAGGGGACATGTATACCCTCGGTTTCTGAAAGGGGGTACTCAAGTGATTCCCCAGGCTTTTGTCTGTTCCAGAATAACCGCCCCTCTCCCCCATTCTCACATCTGGCACCCTTGGAATCTGCATCTGCAAGCTCTCTAATGCCCATTAAAAACAATCGGGGGAAGATGACAGTCAGGCACCTTTCTGAGCTGATGTGGAGCCTGTCCCAGACTTTGTGTGCCCTCCCAAATAGGGGGAATTATTCAGATGTGAAGGGAAATCAACCAGTATTGATCCTTTGTTCCTATTTTCCCTTTTTCTCCACCTTAATAGTTGTCACCAAAATTCTTAGGTTACTTTTGACATTCAGCTATCCATGGCTTTAATATGAGTCATTCTGTCTGTTTTTCTCAATATCTGTCTATCTATCTATCTATCTACCTACCTATCTATCTGCTTGTCACCTATCTACCTACCTAACCTCTATCTCTATCATCAATCAGCCAATCTATCTCTCTACCTACACATCATCTATCAGTCAATCTTTGTTTCATCTGTCTGCCTATCACCTACCTATCACCTATCTCTAGGGGTTTGGCCCACCAAAGCCCTCTACTCTCCTTCCTGTCCTTTAATTATTTCCTTCATCTATCTATTGATCTCTCTATCCTATCTATCATCTCTATTAATCAAGCTACGTATTCTCCATCATCTATTTATCAATAATCTACCTACCTATCATCTCTATCAATCAATCAATATCATCTATCCATTCTATCTATCTATCTATCTATCTATCTATCTATCTATCTATCTATTATTTGTCTGCCTATGTATGTATGTATTATCTATCTATGATACTAGTTATCAACAATGGATGAGTTTGCCCCTGGAGAACATTTGGCAACATCTGGAGACCTTTTTGGTGACCACAACTACGGAATGAGAACATAGCACACTCTTGAAGTAAAATGTGCTGAGGAACATCCAGCTGTTTCTGACCCATTTCAGAGACTGAGCCTCAGAACCCTATCTTCTCTGTCTGAATATCTGCCTCCCGTGGGCTCTGTTCAGATTATTTACTCCCAGGGCTCTGTTCCATTGGTTGGTTGGCTAGTCTCCTCTGAATGTGCATCGTGGATCTCCATCGTAGTCTTGATCCCTATTCGCCCCTTAGATGCTTACAAAATTCTCAACCATCACATGGTAAATACAGCTTTGAATTGTTTCCCCAACACCGTCTCTCTCAGCCTTTGCCATCCAGCAAATGATAGCATCCCCCCACATGGAGAATCCTCCCCTCCAAGATTGTCCTCATTCTCACTCCCACCACTCAGCAATTTCTGCTGGCTCTTCCTCTAAGTACATTTGGAAATGTTCTGTATGCTTTCATATTTACTGCCTGGTTGTGAATCCAGCATCCCTCAATTTCTCTGCAGGATTCACCTCATTTCTGCCTCCCTCTCTTGCCCAGCTCTGACAAGTTCTCCAGGTAGTGGCCAACATTGCTGTTTTAACACATACTTCAATTCATGTCACTCCCTTCCTTAAACCCTCCAATCACTCCCTTTTGCACTTGGTGTAAATAAAACATAGTCCTTCCCATGTCTTCTCAGCTCTTAGGTAACCTGGTCACAGACAATCTCACCTACTCACCTGATACCATTATTTCCCCTGCTTGCTGTATCTAGAGAAATCCCAGCATCCAAGAAATGGAAAAGGATTTTTTTTTAAGATGCAGTCTCACTTTGTTGCCAGGCTGGAGTGCAGTGCTGCTATCTTGGCTCACTGCAACCTCCACTTCCTGGTTTCAAGCAATTCTTCTGCCTTGGCCTCCCAAGGTAACTCCTTACCTCAAGTGATCCACCCACCTTGGCCTCGCAAAGTGCTGAGATTACAGGCATGAGCCACCCACACGCAACCTGGAAAAGGATTTTGGCGCTGACATCAATTCCCTTTTGTGTGTTCACCATTCCAGACAGATTTGTTCTAAAATCCTAAATAATAATAAACACAACACATCTGCCCAAAGATTACCTAGGATTAGAGCAGGATTTCCTCACCTCAGCATAACTGACATTGGGACACTATTATCATTTTGGATAGGATCATTCTTTGTTTTATGTTGCTGTCATGTGCATTGTAAAATGTTGAGCAACTTCCCTGACCTTCACCCATTAGATGCCAGTAGCACCTGCTTCCATATTTGTGATCACCAAAAATCTCTACACATGATGACAAATGTTCCCTAGAAACAAACTTTTCCCTGGTTGAGAACTACTGCCACAGATAGACAATAGACAGACAAACAGGGAGACAGAAAGACAGACAGAGAGGCAGACAGATGATACAATGATTGATAGATAGAATGATAAAGATAGATGATAGATAGGTTGATAGATAATAGGATATTAGATGATAGATAAGATAGATGATAGACTGATACTGGATAGGATGATAGACTGATAGGTGATAGAGATAGATAAAAAGTAGGTATGTTGATAGGTAGGTGATTGGATGATAGATAGAATAGATATACATATGTAGAAAGGTGATAGGTAGATGACAGATAGATGTGATGGATGGATAGATAATAGAAGATAGATAGATAGGATACATAGATATTAGATACATAGATGCCATAGATATTAGATACATAGATGGATGGAAAAATAATAGATAGATAGATAGATAGATAGATAGATAGATAGATAGATAGATAGATGTGGTGGATGAATAGATACAAGATAGATAATGGAAACATGATAGGATAATAAGCAGATGATAAAATGATAGCTGATAGATGATAGAGATAGATGAAAGGTAGGTATATTGGTAGGTACATGATAGGATGATAGATAGATGAAATAGATATAGGTACATAGATAGATGATAGATAGATGGATAGATAGATACCCAGATACAGAGCTGGATGCAATGGATAGATAGGTAATAGATGGTAGATAGATAGTAGATAGATAGATAGATAGATACAGGTGATGGATGATAGATATATGATAGATAGAAAGATGGATGTGATGGATGGATAATAGATGATAGATAAATAGATGTAATGGATGAATAGATATATGATTGATATATAGATGATAGATAATAAATGCTTGACAGATGATAGGATGATGAGAGATAGGATTATAGATAGATTGATAGATGATAGGTAGGTAGGTAGGTAGTTAGATAGATAGATACAGACAGAGAGACAGGTAGACAAATTTGTACATGCTAAGGTAAGGTTACCAAATTTCTGCAATCTTGATGTTTAGGACTGAATCAATCTGGGTTGTAGGGGCCATCGTGTGCATTACAGGATGTTGAGCATCATCTCTATAGAGAACAAATCAATGGCCATGCTATAAAGCAGGCAAGCTTGGTGAGTCTAAGGAATAGAAAGATGGCCAATAACTCTGAACTTTATGGCAAACAGCAAAATACCAGAGAGGTAACTAATTGTCCACCATGGAATATTCTTCTAAAATGATGAGGCCATGCCCAAGTGGACCAATAATGAATCTCCAGAAATAAGATGAGGCATCTTGGAGCAGAGAGTTAAGAAACTGAATGAATAGTAAGTCAACCAATAATGGAGTGAAACACTGAAGCTGCACCCAAAACCAAGTTCCTAATCAGGATCAACAAACCAAACAGTGAGCTTTTGTATAAAGCAATGAAAATCTCTGGGTGTCTTCCTCCATTGGGAATGCCTTTCCCCAAGAGACCTGTACATGGTCACACCCCTTTGCTTCTGAAGCCCTGCTTCAAATCTCAGCTCCCCAGAGAGCTCTGCCACAGGCATTAACCCACCAAACCCCTCTACTCTCCTTCCTGTCCTTTAATTATTTCCTTATGAAATTCACGATTACCTGAAATGATCTTTTTCATTATTTTTACCCTTCTAGTCAACCTTCTTGCTAACAGAGCTGAGCCCTTGCCTATTTGGTTGACCCACCCAGAATAGTAACTTGCAGACCCACAAAGCTCAAATTATAGCTGTGACTGCATTGCAAGATGAATCCATGCACATAGAATCTGTAGCAGACATCGTTTCATATTGAGGGCATTTCAAACAGCACCTCCCTTATTTTTCCTTTCATTTCTCCATCTCTAAAAGCATTAGAGCTTGTTTTCAGAGCCAGCTACATCCTGAAGGCACATATAAAGCTGACCTGTACAATGCTTTTGCAATTTTTTAAAGTAAAATTCAAATGGCATGGAATTCACTATTGTAGACGCTACAATTCAGTGCCATTTAGTACATTCATACTATTGTGTATACATCATCTCTATCTTGTTCCAAACATTTTTAACACCCCAAAAGGAGATCTCATATCTGTTAAGCAGTCATGCTCTACTCCCTCTCCTCCTCCAGCCTTTGGGGACCACCACTTTCTTTCCTGTATCTATGAATTTGACTATTGTGAACATTTCATATATATGGAATCATACAATATACATTTAATATACATGGAGTCATACAATAGATCAGCAGTCCCCAGCCTTTTTGGCACTGGGGACCAATTTCATGGAAGACAATTTTTCCACAGACAGGGTTGGGGAGGGGGTGGTTTTGGGATGACTCAAATGCATTACATTGTTGTGCACTTTATTTCTTTTATCATTGCATTGTAATATATAATGAAATAAATCTACAACTCACCATAGTGTAGAATCAGTGGGACCCCTGAGTTTATTTTCCTTCAACTAGACAGTTCCATCTGAGGGTGACAGGAGACAGTGACAGATCATCAGGCATTAGATTCTCATAAGGAGTGCACAACCTAGATCCCTTGCGTACACAGTTCAGAATAGGGTTTGTGCTTCTGTGAGAATCTCATGCTGTCACTGATCTGACAGGAGGTGGAGCTCAGACAGTAATGCCAGAAATGGGGAGTGGCCATAAATACAGATGGGGTATGGAACTCAGGGAATGTATTTGGACTAGAGAAGCACATATGGTAGTCATCACTGGCGGGTGGGTGGTAATTGGAACCACACATGTGGGAGAGGCCATTGACTCTGAAGCCAACCAGGAAGGAAAGGGGCTTAGGACCAAGTCAAGGAGGACCCAGTCAGCAAAGATTCAGGCAGAGGAGGAGGAGGAAGCAGTGACTGAGACCAAGTTATGGCCGGAAAGGTGGAGAAAATTCCAGAGGATTTCATATCCAGGAGACCAAGAGGATAATGTGAGCTCAAAAGCAAACACTCTATGAAGTGTTTACTATAAATATAGAGAGAGTTATAAATATAGATATAGTTACCTAGATACATACATATTGATTATATATACATTGTATATTATAAATTTATAAATATAGAGTTATAAATATATAGTTACCTAGATATCTACACATTGATTATATATAAATTGTTATGAATTTATAGAGTTATAAATATATAGTTACCTAGATACATACAAATTGATTATATATACATTATATATTAAAAATTTATACTTATAAATATATAGTTACCTAGATACATACATATTGATTATATATTTAAAAATTTATAAATATATTTATAAATATAGATATAGTTCCTAGATAGACACATATTGATTATATATAAATTACATATTATAAATTTATAAATATAGTTATAAATATAGATATAGTTACCTAGATACATACATATTGATTATATACAAATCATATATTATGAATTTATATAGAGTTATATAGTTACCTAGATACATACATACTGATTATATATAAATTATATATTATAAACTTATAAATATAGATATAGTTACCTAGATACATATATATTGACTATATATAAATTATATATTATAAATTTATAGAGTTATAGATATAGTTACCTAGATACATGCATATTGATTATATATAAATTATATATTATAACTTTATAGAGAGAGTTATAAATATAGATATATTTACCTAGAAATATACATATTGGTTATATACAAATTAAATATTATAAATATAGTTATAAATATATAGTTCCTAGATAGATACATATTGATTATATATAAATTATATATTATAAATTTATAAATACATAGTTATAAATATAGTTACCTAGATACATACATATCAATTATATATTTATATATAAATATATGTTATATATTTATATATAAATATATGTTATATATTTATATATAAATATATGTTATATATTTATATATAAATATATGTTATATATTTATATATAAATATATGTTATATATTTATATATAAATATATGTTATATATTTTAAATTTAGAATTTAAATTTATCATTTAAATTTATAAATGATTTATAATATAAATATATTGATTTATATATATTTATAATATAAAGATGTTGATTATATATTACTTATAAATATATGTTTCTCTATAAATTTATATATTGTTATATCACAATTTTAAAAAGTAAATATGATGTGATACATGCCAGAGATTCTTCCTTTTACCTGAAAATGCTTTCACGGGTTTATATATTTATATCCATATATATTTATATATTATTTATATATATTTAGATATAAATATACATTGATTATATGTCTATATATCTACATATAATATATTTATTGATATATCAATATATGTTTATATATCATGATAGATATATATCTATATATTATATTATATATTATATATAAAATATAATATAAAATATAATATATATAATATAATATAAAATATAATATATAGATATATATCTATCATGATAAACATATATTGATATACCAATAGATATATATCTTATTTATTATATATTATACAGATATATATCATTATAATATATATTTAATCTATATATAGATATATAATATCTATATTTATATATTATATATAATATAGATATATATTATATAATTATATATATTCTATATATTATATAGATATATAATAGATCTCTATATTATATCTATATAGTATATATAGATATATATAGATAGAGAGATCTATTATATATCTATATATTATATAGATATATATTATGTAAATATATATCTATTAAGATAGATACATATTTGTATATATTGAGATAGATATATATATAAATATTTTTTATATATAGGTATATATATAAAGACAAAAAACAACAAAAAATAGATATGATGTGATACATGCAAAGATTCATCCTTTTACCTAGAAATGTTTCCCCAGTTTGTAGTTATTTATACAGATTCTTCTAAACTTTCACAGAAGGTACATTGTATAATGTATATGAGTGAAGCTGTTTTCTTTAACTTAGAAATGTTTTTTAAATACCTGTTAGTAAGTATTTTAAGATATTTTTAAGTAAAAATTATTATTAATGGTTAAGCAGTTATAAAGCATCCATTAGTTACCACACAGTGTACTAAAACTGTGGTTTAACATGCCTTAAAGGCAACTCATGTATAGGATTCCTTGTTTATGGGATTACAGCTGGGTGATAAAGACGCAAACATAGGTTTTATCCTCTGGCCATGTACAAGGCGTGCCATTCTTTGGCTCCTTACCCTATTGAGTGTCTATTTGCTTATTTGTTTTAGGAATTCTGAAGTGTAAAAAGGACAAAGCTTATGAAGGCGGTCAGTTGTGTGCAATGTGCTTCAGTCCAAAGAAGTTGTACAAACATGAGATTCACAAGCTGAAGGACCTGACTTGTCTGAAGCCTTCCATAGAGTCTCCTCTGAGACAGAACAGGAGCAGGAGTATTGAGGAGGAGCAAAAACAAGAAGAGAATGGTGACAGCCAGCTCATCCTGGAGAAAATCCAACTTCCCCAGTGGAGCATCTCTTTGAATATGACTGATGAGCACGGGAACCTGGTGAACTTGGTGTGTGACATCAAGAAACCAATGGATGTGTACAAAATTCACTTGAACCAAACAGATCCTCCAGATATTGACATAAATGCAATGGTTGCCTTGGACTTTGAGTATCCAATGACCCAGGAAAACTATGAAAATCTATGGAAATTGATAGCATACTACAGTGAAGTTCCCATGAAGCTACACAGAGAGCTCATGCTCAGCAAACACCCCAGAGTCAGCTACCAGTACAGGCAAGATGCCGATGAAGAAGCTCTTTACTACACAGGTGTGAGAGCCCAGATTCTTGCAGAACCAGAATGGATCATGCAGCCATCCATAGATATCCAGCTGAACCGACCTCAGAGTACGGCCAAGAAGGTGCTACTTTCCTACTACAACCAGTATTCTCAAACAATAGCCACCAAAGATACAAGGCAGGCTCGGGGCAGAAGCTGGGTAATGATTGAGCCTAGTAGAGCTGTGCAAAAAGATCAGACTGTCCTGGAAGGGGGTCGATGCCAGTTGAGCTGCAATGTGAAAGCTTCTGAGAGTCCATCTATCTTCTGGGTGCTTCCAGATGGCTCCATCCTGAAAGTGCCTGTGGATGACCCAGACAGCAAGTTCTCCATTCTCAGCAGTGGCTGGCTGAGGATCAAGTCCATGGAGCCATCTGACTCGGGCTTGTACCAGTGCATTGCTCAAGTGAGGGATGAAATGGACCGCATGGTATATAGGGTACTTGTGCAGTCTCCCTCCACTCAGCCAGCCGAGAAAGACACAGTGACAATTGGCAAGAACCCAGGGGAGCCAGTGATGTTGCCTTGCAATGCTTTAGCTATACCCGAAGCCCACCTTAGCTGGATTCTTCCAAACAGAAGGATAATTAATGATTTGGCTAACACATCACATGTATACATGCTGCCAAATGGAACTCTTTCCATCCCAAAGGTCCAAGTCAGTGACAGTGGTTACCACAGATGTGTGGCTGTCAACCAGCATGGGGCAGACCATATCACGGTGGGAATCACAGTGACCAAGAAAGGTTCTGGCTCGCCATCCAAAAGAGGCAGATGGCCAGGTCCAAAGGCTCTTTCCAGATGAGAGAAGACATCGTGGAGGATGAAGGGGTCTCAGGCACGGGAGATGAAGAGAACACTTCAAGGAGACTTCTACATCCAAAGCACCAAGAGGCGTTCCTCAAAACAAAGGATGATGCCATCAATGGAGATAAGAAAGCCAAGAAAGGGAGAAGAAAGCTGAAACTCTGGAAGCATTCAGAAAAAGAACCAGAGACCAGTGTTGCAGAAGATCTCAGAGTGTTTGAATCAAGACGAAGGATAAACGTGGCAAACAAACAGATTAATCCGGAGCACTGGGCTGATATTTTAGCCAAAGTCTTTGGGAAAAATCTCCCTACAGGCACAGAAGTATCCCCAATTATTAAAACCACAAGTTCTCCATTCTTGAGCCTAGTAGTCACACCACCTTTGCCTGCTGTTTCTCCCCCCTTGGCATCTCCAATACAGACAGCAACAAGTGCTGAAGAATCCTCAGCAGATGTACCTCTACTCAGCGAAGGAAAGCACATTTTGAGTACCATTTCCTCAGCCAGCATGGGACTAGAACACCACAACAATGGAGTTATTCTTGTTGAACCTGAAGTAACAAGCACACCTCTGGAAGAAGTTGTTGATGAGTATTCCAAGAAGACTGAGGAGATGACTTCCACTGAAGGCGACCTGAAGGGGACTGCAGCCTCTACACTTATATCTGAGCCTTATGAACAATCTCCTACTCTACACACCTTAGACACAGTCTATGAAGAGCCCACCCATGAAGAGACGGAAACAGAGGGTTGGTCTGCAGCAGATGTTGGATCCTCACCAGATCCCACATCCAGTGAGTATGAGCTTCCATTGGTTGTTGTCTCCTTGGCTGAGTCTAAGCCTGTGCAATACTTTGACCCAGATTTGGAGACTAATTCACAACCACATGAGGATAACATAAAAGAATACAGTTTTGCACACCTTACTCCAACCGCCATCATCTGGTTTAATGACTCTAGTACATCACTGTCATTTGAGGATTCTACTGTAGGGGAACAAGGTGTCCCAGGCAAATCACATCTACAAGGACCGACAGAGAACATCCAGCTTGTGAAAAGTAGTTTTAGCACTCAAGACACCTTATTGATTAAAAAAGGTATGAAAGAGATGTCTCAGACACTACAGGGAGGAAATATGCTAGAGGGAGACCCTACACACTCCAGAAGTTCTGAGAATGAGGGCCAAGAGAGCAAATCCATCACTTTACCTGACTCCACACTGGGTATAACGAGCAGTACGTCTCCAGTTAAGAAGCCTGCGGAAACCACAGTTGTCACCCTGCTACACAAAGACACCACAACAGAAACAACTCCAAGGCAAAAAGTGGCTTCATCATCCACCATGAGCACTCACCCTTCTCGAAGGAGACCCAATGGGAGAAAATTACACCCTCACAAATTCCACCACCGGCACAAGCAAACCCCACCCACAACTTTTGCTCCATTAGAGACTTTTTCTACTCAACCAACTCAAGCAACTGACATTAAGATTTCAAATCAAATGGAGAGTTCTCTGGTTCCTACATCTTGGGAGATTAACACAGTTAATACCCCCAAACAGCTGGAAATGGAGAAGAATGTAGAGCTCATATCAAAGGGAACTCCACGGAGAAAACACGGGAAGAGGCCAAACAAACATCGATATACCCCTTCTACAGTGAGTTCAAGAGCATCTGCATCCAAGCCCAGCCCTTCTCCAGAAAATAAACATAGAAACATTGTTACTCCCAGTTCAGAAACTACACTTTTGCCTAGAAATGTTTCTCTGAAAACTGAGGGCGTTTATGATTCCTTAGATTACACGACAACCACCAGAAAAATACATTCATCTCACCATAAAGTCCAAGACACACTTCCAGTCATGTATAAACCCACATCAGATGGAAAAGAAATTCAGGATGATGTTGCCACAAATGTTGACAAACATAAAAGTGACATTTTAGTCCCTGGTGAGTCAATTACAAATGTCACACAAACTTCTCGCTCCTTGGTCTCCACTATGGGAGAATTTAAGGAAGAATCCTCTCCTGTGGGCTTTCCAGGAATTCCAACCTGGAATCCCTCAAGGAAAGCTCAGCCTGGGAGGCTACAGACAGACATACATGTTACCACTTCTGGGGAAACCCCTACAGACCCTCCCCTTGTTAACGAGCTTGAGGATGTGGATTTTACTTCTGAGTTTTTGTCCTCTGTGACAGTCTCCACACCATTTCACCAGGAAGAAGCTGGTTTTTCCACAATTCTCTCAAGCATAAAAGTGGAGATGGCTTCAAGTCAGGTAGAAACTACCACCCTTGGTCAAGATCATCATGAAACCACTGTGGCTATTCTCCACTCTGAAACTAGACCACAGAATCACATCCTTACTGCTGCCTGGATGAAGGAGCCAGCATCTTTGTCCCCTCCCATGATTCTCCTGTCTTTGGGACAAACCACCACCACTAAGCCAGAACTTCTCAGTCCAAGAACATCTCAAATATGTAAAGATTCCAAGGAAAATGTTTTCTTGAATTACATGGGGAATCCAGAAACAGAAGCAACCCCAGTGAAAAATGAAGGAACACAGCGTATGTCAGGGCCAAATGAATTATCAACACCATCTTCTGACCACGATGCATTTAACTTGTCTACAAAGCTAGAATTGGAAAAGCAAGTATTTGATAGTAGGAGTCTAACACGTGGCCCAGATAGCCACCACCAGGATGGAAGAGTTCATGCTTCTCATCAACTAACCAGAATCCCTGCCAAACCCATCCTACCAACAGGAACAGTGAGGCTGCCTGAAATGTCCACACAAAGCACTTCCAGATACTTTGTAACTTTCCAGCCACCTCATCACGGGACCAACAAACCAGAAATAACTACATATCCTTCTAGGGCTTTGCCAGAGAGCAAACAGTTTACAACTCCAAGAGTAGCAAGTACAACTCCTCTCCTATCACACATGTCCAAACCCAGCATTTCTAGTAAGTTTGCTGACCTAAGAACTGACCAATCCAATGGCTCCTACAAAGTGTTTGGAAATAGCAACATCCCTGAGGCAAGAAACTCAGTTGGAAAGCCTCTCAGTCCAAGAATTTATCATTATTCCAATGGAAGACTCCCTTTCTTTACCAACAGGACTCTTTCTTTTTCACAGTTGGGAGTCACCCGGAGACCCCAGATACCCTCTTCTCCTGTCCCAGTAATGAGAGAGAGAAAAGTTAATCCAGGTTCCTACAATAGGATATATTCCCATAGCACCTTCCATCTGGACTTTGGCCTTCCAGCACCTCCACTGTTGCACACTCCATGGACCATGGTATCACCCCCAACTAACTTACAGAATATCCCTATGGTCTCATCCACCCAGAGTTCTGTCTCCTTTATAACATCTTCTGTCCAGTCCTCAGGAAGCATCCACCAAAGCGGCTCAAAGTTCTTTGCAGGAGGACCGCCTGCATCCAAATTCTGGCCTCTTGGGGAAAAGCCCCAAATCCTCACCAAGTCCCCACAGACTGTGTCTGTCACTGCTGAAACGGACGCTGTGTTCCCGTGTGAGGCAATAGGAAAACCAAAGCCTTTCGTTACTTGGACAAAAGTTTCCACATGTAAGATTTTTAAGCATCTACTCTTTTTTGGGTCAATTTTTATTTTATTGGCTAGCAATATTACAATACACTAAAAGAGCATGAGGTACAAAACATAAACACGTTAGGAGAAATATTTACAACAAATTTGGGGAATTTTTTTTTACTTGAAGAAGTGTTTATTTTTATAATTTCAGCTTTTATTTTAGATGCAGGGGGGAACACGTGCAGGTTTCTCACATGGGTATATTGTATGATGCTGAGGTTTGGGGCACAAATGATCCCATTACCCAGGTAGTGAGCATAGCATCCAATAGGTGGATTTTCAGCCCTTGCTACCCCTCCCTGTCTCCTCTAGTAGCCCCAAGTATCCATTTTTCCTATCTTTATGTCCATGTGTACCCAATCTACACTTCAACCAGAGTGTAGGAGAAAGTTACTGGAGTCTTACTTTAGGCACAACCAGAAACTCAGAAAATAAGGAATTGGTAGGATGAGAGGAGTCATCTGAAATCTTAAATCTAAGCATGTTTCTTTGCAGGGACAGGAAGTGAGGAACTAGAATGGATGTGAGATTTTAATGGAGCCATGGAAATATCTAATAAGTCCTTTGGATGGAGAATAACCCAGGTTTGAAATATTCCATAAGAGAGACTCTCACTTTTTTCAGTTGGCTCCAATACAAATGCCTTCAACCACCATCTGAGGGCAGAGTGGATATGAGACGTGGTCTGTAAATCCCCCTTGCCCTTTTACCAGCTTGCAAAGGTAAACCCAGCTTGGTCAGAGATCAGGTTATAGTCTTCTAAGTGCTAATCAGGTGCTTCTTTGACTTGAACCTAGACCCAGGGTTATGTTAATCAGCTTGGGCTGCCATGACAAAGTACCACTAACTGGGCAGTTTAAGTAGCAGATAGTTATTTTCTCACAATTGCAGATTTTGGAAGTCCAAGATCAAGGTGTTGGCAAGATTAGTTCCTTGTGAGGCCTCTCTCCTTGGTGTGTAGTTGCCGTCTTCTTCCTATGTCATACATGATCCAACTTCTGTTTGTCTGGATTCTAATGTCTTCTTATAAAGATACCAGTTCTATCAGATTAGAGACCATCCTATTGACCTCATTTAACCTTAATCACCTTGGTAAAGATCCTATCTCCAGTCATATTTTGAGTTCCTGGGGGATAGGACTTTAATATATAAATTTGGGGGGACACATTTCAGCCCATAAAAATGGTTTATACTTGGAATCCTGAGACAGACATTCAAAGAGCAGCTGGCTTCCTAAATTGACCATCTGCTTTCTCTGAATGACAGAACAGTTTCTAGGTTACAGAAGAAAATAAAACCAGAGAATCACAACCTGGACAAAAGAGCATCTTTTTCTCCTTTCTCTTTCCTTCTCTCTCAACACAAATGTATCTTCAGCCCTGGATTCTGATCAGAGGATTGTGTGTATGTGTGTCTGTGTCTATGAGTGTTTTGCCTTCATTTCGATAATACAAAATGATTTATGCTGCTAGCACTTAGCTGTACTTTCTTTGTACTGCTTTATCTCCCAAATGTTGGAAGTTTTCCAGAGGTTCACAGAGACTCTGAGCCTAGGGCAATTGTTTACTTCTTTGATAAGCTTAGCACTTGAAGTCATAGGTTTTCATAATTTCATAATGAATTTTGCTGGAAGTGGAAAATGAGGGACACCATGGGTTATTTATTCCAAAAGGGTTATGTCCTTGAAGGAACCCATTCTCCTTCTGGGAATCCCATTTATATAAATCCTTAGGTTCCTTCACACCCTATGCCATTTCAGAGCATCTTTGAACTTTGCCCCTGCACCAGACATTCATGCACATTTTTCTTCTACATTTCCTGGAATCAGCTCTCAATGCTGGCTGCTCATTTGTTAGCTAGCTCTTGTTTTTAGACAAAAGCTATTTCTCTCAATGGATGGCCAAATGAGATTTGCTCACATCCAAAAGTGTTGTAATTGCATGTTGTGGAACTACATGGCATGGATTTATCATGCCTTTGTTTTCAGATAAACTAATCTCTTTTATTGAGGCATCAGAGAAAAATGGAAGGCACTTTAAAATTGCCCCAGGAGGTGTAAGAATAATTGGCAGGAGGTTTCAGTGGTCCTTCCCTTGCATCCAAAACCAAATGAAAGACAGGCACTCTTGTACCTCTGCGTCATAAAATGCCTCAGTGGGGAGGTGGGACTCCATAAGTGAGGGTCAGCAGGTTGGTGTCCATGACCATGCCCATGGTCACCTGTCATTCGGGAGGGCTCAACCACAAAGCTAGGTGGGATCTTAGCTGCATTGCCTGAAAAGTAGGGAGATTATATCAGCACTAAGCAATACCTGCTCTCTAAGACCTGGTGGGCTGGGCAGACTCAACGGGCTGCTGATCCTGGTTTTGGAGGGGACAGCTGTGGTCTTGGCTGCTTCTGTAAACACACCAGAGTAGTGACCTTTTATCAATGTCTGTTCTGTGTTGGAATAATCCATCCACTATGAAATTATTTTCATAGTGAGAGCAAGTAATTTTGCAGGTGTGTGACCACCAGATGCTTTGTCAGAGTATGAGTTCCCCTTGAGGATGGAAATGATGACGAGCTTGCAGGATTTGAAAGCTTCATCCAAAGGATGAACTCCAATATTAGAGAAAGTTATTAGTAAAACAGTTGGAGGCACTGGTCAGAATGAAGTGAATGGCACACAGGACAAGTCCAGACCCAGGAAGGTCCAGTAACATGGGAGAAGAACGGAAGGAGTTCTAAAATTCAGGGCTCCCTTGGGCTCCCCTGTTTAAAAATGTAGGTTTTATTATTATATTTCATTGTTAACAAAAGTCCATGAGATCTGTGGAGGATAAAGGGGGAGCTGTATTTTCCATTAAAAAAAAAAAAAAAAAGAAAACAGTTTCCAGATTAGGTGGACCTAGCCTTCAGTGCAAGTAAAAAGTGCTCTCTGAAGAACAAAGGAAGTAGAGACAGTTCCTGCACTGGCTCCCAATCAAGTCCATTTACACAAATTAGGAATTCAAATATGTTTAGTTCTGACTGGTCAAAATAGTTGAGCCCCGATTGGGTGATTTCCAAGCCCCAAACTGGAAGTCTCTGGCAAGTTGTTTGTCAAGAGATACTGCTCTGAGAACAAACAGCATTTGACAGCTGTTCTCTCCTCCTGCCACGGTTGCTTGGTTCTGTTTTGTAAATTTGCGGATCTCTATCAGTCACAGGGGTTCCATGTTATGAGAGCTTGAGGTCTCATTTACAGTTTCATTGCATGCCTGTATGGTTAGGCCAAGTGATCAGCAGATGACTGCCATTAAAAAGATAGTTTGTTACTCAGTTACCAGGACAGAGTAAAACACATCATGCAGGGCCACAGAGGGAAGCACCAGGTTTGGTTAGGAAGCAGAGAGATAGGAAGAAAGTGTGGGCAAGCACCTTTTTTTGTAGTTTCTATGGGAAGAAACAGGCGCGGCTTAGAATTGAGTATTTTGAAAAATGTCAGCAGGCTCTGGAGCACATGGGGCTGTCCCTAGTTGTATGTTACCTGACCCTGGGATAGTTAAGGCTAGAGGATAGTGACCTGGAATCAGACAGCCCAATAAAGGAGGTGGTTAGGGTGTGGTCTCTGGATTGATTGGTTTGCATATGCAAGCTGCACTCACAGGTGTGTAGTTTGCTATCTCTAGTGATTATCTAGCTTTGGGAGGGGTAGTTTCCCCAGGGTCAGCAAAACCCCAGATGACAGAGCATCAGAAACACACAATTAATACAGAGCCTGATGATTGCAGTCTTAGGAGGTCAAACAGAGTGTGAAATATAGAGAGTATAGAGAGTGGAGAGAAATAAGGACCTATGTCCCATAACTCCACCCACTGGCTAGAGTGGTGAGAGGTCAGATGTCACTGAGAAGCCTGAATTCATGCTCAACTCAAGTGGGGAATGACCCCATCATGACCCCGACCCCATCAGTCTAACCAATCTACCTTATTTTCTTTTCTGTCTGTTTTCTTTTCTTTTTTTACTTCTCTCTCTCTTTCCTTTTATTATTATTATTATTATTAAATAGAGTTTCACTCTGTTGCCCAGGCAGGAGTGCAGTGACATGATCATGGTTCACTGCAGCCTCTATGTCCCAGGCTCAAGTGATCCTCCCACCTCAGCTTCCCAAGTAACTGGGACCAAAGGCACATGCCACCGCACCCAGCTATTTTTTTTTTTTTTTTTTTTTTTGTAGAAACAGAGTTTAGATATGTGGCCTAGGATGGTCTAGAACTCCTGGGCTCAAGCATCCTCCTGCCTTGGCCTGCTAAGGTGCTGGGAGTAATTTACCTTTCTTGTGGACTCAAGGGCCTCTCTGGGCAGGGGGGCTGGCCACTACAAGCCTGGGATGCCCATGCAACCAGCTAGCCCAAGGAGTTCAGGAGAATAGCATAAGCATGAATAAATAAGGGAGAGGCTGTGTCTCTAGTAATTGAGCTTGTGGAATCTTAGCTCACCTTGGAAGTGGCTAGGACTCATGCCTGCTTCCAGAATTCTCTATAAAACCCACATTTGCCCTCTTTTGCTTGAGAATGGCCTTGTTTCTGGGACTAGTATAAAAATGAAAAAGAAAAACAAAACATTATTTTTCTCTATCCTTTTTTTAAAGAGCATATTTATTTCATATGTGTGTGATGACAAAAAATCTACTCTCAACAATTTTCAAATATAAACTAAATTGTTATTAACTATAGTTGCCATGAGTATAACATCACTTAAGCATATTCCTCCTAACTGAACTTTACATTCTTTAATTAATAGCTTCCCCTTTCTCCTACCCCCAGTCCCTGGTAACCCCCATTCCACTATCTGTTTCTTCTTCTATGAGTTCAACTTTCTTCCATTGCACATATAAGTGAGATCATGCAGTATTTGTCTTTCTGTGCCTGGTTTATTTCACTTAACCTAATATCCTCCAGGTTCATTTATGTTGTGGCAAATGACAGAATTTCCTTTAAAAAAAAAAGACATAATGGTATTTCATTGTGCATATATACTGCATTTTCTTTATCCATTCATTTATTGATGGACACTTAGCTGAATTCTGAATCTTGGCTATTGTGAATAGCACTGTTATAAACACGGAAGTGCAGATGTCTCATAAACAAACTGACATCATTTCCTTTGGATAAATACCCAGTAGTGGGATTGCTAGACCATAGGCAGCTCTATTGTTAGTTTTATGAGGAACCTCCATGCTGTTTTCCACAGTGGCTGTACCAATTTACATTCTCACCAACAGTGTACGAGGGTGCCCATTTCTCCACATCTTCACCAGTGTCTGTTGTTTTTGGTCTTTTTGACAATAGCCATTCCAGCAGGCATGAGGTGATAGCTCAGTTTTACATTTCTTTAATGGTTAGGACAAAAACAATCTGGGTGTGATGGCTCACATCTCTAATCCCAGCCCTCTGGGTAGCCAAGACAGAGAATCAATTGAGGCCAGACGTTCAAGAGCAGCCCGGGCAAAAAGTAAGACCATGTCTCTACAAAAAAAAAATAATAATAAAAAAAGAAAAAAAAATGGTTTTAATTATCCAGGACTGGTGGCCTGCACATGTAGTCCCAGCTACTTAGAAGGCTGAGTCCAGGAGGTTGAGACTGCAGTGGGCTATGATTGTACCTCTGCACCCCCGCCTGGGAGACAGAGCAAAACCCTATCTCTAACAAATGAAATAAACATAAAAAAACTTTTAAAAACACTAAAACATTCTACCTTCTACACTTGCTTTTGCTGTCTGGGTGATAAAGTGGAGACTTAGATTAACTAATATTGCTCATTTGAGCATTATCAAGAAGGCACAGTTTATGCCAAAGCTTACTATGTTAATTTTCTCCAGGAGTTCTTATGACTCCGAATACCAGGATACAACGGTTTGAGGTTCTCAAGAACGGTACCTTAGTGATAAGGAAGTTTCAAGTGCAAGATCGAGGCCAGTATATGTGCACCGCCAGCAACCTGTACGGCCTGGACAGGATGGTGGTCTTTCTCTGGGTCACCGTGCAGCAACCTCAAATCCTAGCCTCCCACTACCAGGACGTCACCGTCTACCTGGGAGACACCATTACAATGGAGTGTCTGGCGAAAGGGACCCCAGCCCCCCAAATTTCCTGGATCTTCCGTGACAGGAGGGTGTGGCAAACTCTGTCCTCCGTGGAGGGCCGGATCACCCTGCACCAAAACCGGACCCTTTCCATCAAGGAGGCGTCCTTCTCAGACAGAGGCGTCTATAAGTGCGTGGCCAGCAACGCAACCCGGGCGGACAGCGTGTCCATCCGCCTACACGTGGCGGCACTGCCCCCCATTATCCACCAGGAGAAGCTGTAGAACATCTCGCTGCCCCCGGGGCTCAGCATTCACATTCACTGCACTGCCAAAGCTGCGCCCCTGCCCAGCGTGCTCTGGGTGCTCGGGGATGGTACCCAAATCCGCCCCTCGCATTTCCTCCACCGGAACTTGTTTGTTTTCCCCAACGGGACGCTCTACATCTGCAACCTCGCGCCCAAGGACAGCGGGCGCTATGAGTGCGTGGCCGCCAACCTGATCGGCTCCGCGCGCAGTACGGTGCAGCTGAACGTGCAGCGCGCAGCAGCGAACGTGCAGCGCGCAGCAGCGAACGTGCAGCGCGCTGCGCGCCAACGCGCGCATCACGGGCACCTCCTCGCAGAGGACGGACGTCAGGTACGGAGGGACCCTCAAGCTGGACTGCAGCGCCTCGGGGGATCCCTGGCCGCGCATCCTCTGGAGGCTGCCGTCCAAGAGGACGATCGACGCGCTTTTCAGGTAGGCAGCTCCGCGTGGCTTCCTGTAAATCGCTGGGCTGGTGGCCCCAACGAATATAAGTCCTTGTTCAGGATGAATATGCACACACATTGGTCCCTGCGTGCGATAAAATTAAATGAAATTAATTAGCAGGACACGGTGGCTCACGCCTATAATCCCAGCACTTTGGGGCCAAGGCGGGCGGATCAGTTGAGGTCCGGAGTTCGAGACCAGCTTGGCTAACATGGTGAAACCCTGTCTCAACAAACATACAAAAATTTGCCGGACGTGGTGGCGAGCGTCTGCAGTCCCAGCTCCTCGGGAGGCTGAGGTAAGATAATTGCTTGAACCCAGAAGGTGGCGGTTGCAGTGAGCCAAGATCACGCCACTGCACGCCAGCCTGGACGACAGACTGACACTCTATCTAAAAATAATAATAAGTTAATTAATTAAGTTGAGACAGGGTGTTGCTCTGTCACCCAGACTGCAGTGCAGTGGTGCGATCATACCTCACTGCAGCCTCAAACTCCTGGGCTGAAGCGATCCCCTGAGTAGCTGGGATTACAGGTGTGCACCATGAGGCACGACTCTTCTTCTTCTTCTTCCTCTTCTCCTTCTTCTTCTTCCTCTTCTTCTTCTTTTCTTCTTTCTTCTTCTTCTTCCTCTTCTTCTTCCTCTCCTTCTTCTCCTTCTTCTTCTTCCTTTCTTCTTCCTCTTCTTCTTCTTTTCTTTCTTTCTTTTTCTTTCTTCTTCTTTCTTCTTCTTCCTCTTCTTTCTTCTTCTTTTCTTCTTTCTTCTTCTTCTCCTTCTTCTTCTTCTTCTTCTTCTTCTTCTTCTTCTTCTTCTTCTTCTTCTTCTTCTTTCTTCTCTCTTCCTCTTCCTATTCTTCTTCTTCTTTCTTCCTCTTCCTCCTCTTCCTCTTCCTCTTCTTCTTCTTTCTTCAATTTATGTAGAGATGGGATCTGCTATGTTGCCAAGTATGATCTTGAACACTTAACCTCAAGCAGTCCTCCTGCCCTGACCTACCAAAGTGCTGAGATGACAGGCTTGAGCCACCGCGCCTGACCCTGTGTGTGATTTTTATGCAATGACATTTTGTATCTCTAAACTTGGATCTACAACGAATGCTTAACTTCCTCTTAACAAATACTTAACTTCCTCCTCTCTTGTCCCATTCAAAAAAAAAAAAAAAGGAAAAAAATAAATCAAGAAACTGTTGTTTTAATGATTATATGTTTAACTATAATGTTAGGGCAAACAATTCAGCTTGCTTCTATTTCCATTGTAGATTTCAACAATATACATAGATGTGTTAGGCTTTATTTTAATATGGCATTATTGGTACAATCAAAGTGTACACATTGTTTTAAAAGCATCATTACCACACCAACATAGTGCACTTGAAATGATACAAATGTACTTGGGCTATGAAGAAAGCCACCTTCTAATCAAGTACCATCAGTTCCCAGATATACAGGTTTATGGCAGTGCTTTTCAACCAAGGGTGATTTTGCCCCAGGACAACCCTTGGCAACATCCGAAGACACCTTTGATTATCACAAATGGGGCGGTGGGTGCTTCTGGTATCTGGTGGGTGGAGCCCAGGGACAGTGCTCAACACCTTGCAGTGCACAGGATGGCCCATCACAGATAGTCATCCATCCTACCTTCAATGTCCATAGTGCCGAGGTCAAGTTACTCTGTCTTAGCAGGAAAGATTCTATCTATCTATCTGTCTATCTATCTATCTATCTATCTATCTATCTATCTATCTATCTAATCTATAATCTATCCATCCTTCTACCTATTTCATCTATCTTCTATCTATCTATCTATCTATCTATCTATCTATCTATCATCTCTCTGTCTATCCATCCATTATCTATGGCAGTCGTTTGCAACCAGGCATCAGGTGTTCCTTAGTCCCTAGGGGACACTTGGTGATGTATGGAGACATTTTTGGTCATCATGACTCTGGGGTGGAGGGTGTGCTTCTGGTATCTGGTTGCTGCAGCCCTGGGATCCTGCTCAACATCCTACAGTGCACAAGACACCCCACCACAGATTAGCATTCATCTTGCCTTAAATGTTAATACTGCTGAGGTCAAGTAACCCTGTCTTAGCATGTAAGATTTTGTCTGTCCATTTAGCTATCTATTTATCCATTCATTCATTCCTGTATACCTAACCTATCATCCATCCTTATCTCTTGTGTATCTATTCATTCAATCATACACCCATATCTGTCTGTCTGTCTATCTATCTATCTATCTATCTATCTATCTATCTATCTATCTATCTGCCTATCTGCCTGCCTACCTATCCCTCTATGGCAATTGCTTGCAACCAGGGAGATTTTATTCCCAGGAGATATTTGGCTATGTCTGACAACAATTTTTTTGGTTGTCACAAATGGGATGAATGTTACTGGCATCTGGTGGGTGGAGCCCAGAGATGCTGCTCAACACCCTACAGTGCACAAGACAGACCCACCACAAAGAATCCTCCATACAGCCTTAAATGTCCCTAGTACTGAAGCCAAGAAACCCTATCTTAGTATGAAAATGTTGGTCTATCTGTCTATATACCTGCTTATCTATCCATCCATTTCTATCTACCTAACCTATCCATCCATCCATTCTAATGTCTTATGTATCCATCTATTCATCCATCCACCCATCTCTCCATCCATTTATCCATCCATCCATCGATATGTATGTATGTATGTATGTATGTATCTTTCTATCTATCTATCTATCTAGTCTGTCTACTGATCTAGCTAGCTAGCTAGCTATGGTAGTTGTTTGCAACCAAGGAGATTTTACTCCCAGGAGACATTTGGCTGTGTCTGGAAACATTTTTTGGTTGTCACAGATGGGATGGATACTGCTGGCATCTGGTGGATGGAGTCCAGGGACATTGCTCAACACCCTACAGTTCATAGGTTGGCCCCATCACAGAGAATCATCTAGGCTCAAATGTCACTAGTGCCAAGGTTGAGAAACCCTGAGCTAGATTCAAAAAAGGGCTAATATCTCTTTAATAAGTGTGTCAAAAAATAGAGGACACTGACAGTAGAGTAAAGGTAAAATGGAGTCCAACTCAGTTCACGCTGCTATGGTGGAGAATCCCTGGATTGTGCTGTCTTCGGCATTCAGCAGCTCAAGCAGGAAAGCCTCTCACCATGGTGAGAGCAAAATCAGTGTCCAAGGGTTTCTTCTGCACATTTGTATCTGCCCTTCTAGGACTCTTTGCAGTTCAGGAAAAGGGCTGAGATGCCTTTCCCCTGCCTGTATTTTATACTTTAGATGGCTGGGTGGTGCTCTGAAGAGCTTGCACAATCAGTCCAGAAGAATCATGTACCAAATATACCCAGGAATGCCTTCCAGCTTAGCAGATGTGCTGCCACTAAGAAAACTGTTTTCCATTGAATTTGGCATGGTGGAGGCAATTTTGAATGGATAACAGTACAAGAATGCAGTTCCACTAGGATTTTTGAGTCATTCTATTAATATCTCCATATAAATCCTAAATAAATTATAAACTGTTATTTATGTTACTTTATTCTTTGTAAATTCTGACTATATTCTTAGTAAAGTGTAATTGAACAAATCATGTGCATTTTGTCAGAGCAGGCTCTTCCCTGCCTACATGTTGGGATTATTTAAAAATAAAAATATAGGGCCTTGTGTGATGCCTGACACCTGTAATCCCAGCACTTTGGGAGGCCAATGTGGGTGGATTGCTTGAGGTCAGGAGTTCAAGACCAGCCTGACCAACATGGTGAAACCCTGTCTCTACTCAAAATACAAAAATTAGCAGGGCATAGTGCACATGCCTGTAGTCCCAGCTACTTGGAAGCCTGAGGCAGGAGAATTGCTTGAACCCAGAAGGTAGAGGTTTCAGTGAGCCAAGATCAGGCCACTGCACTGCAGCCTGGGTGACAAAGTGAGACTCCATCTCAAAAAACAAAAAGAAAAACAAGTATCAGAGCTTTGTTTCTTGAAGTCAAATCCCTCACAATGCATAGACATCTGTGGCTTTCAGATTTGCTCAGTTGATTTATTCTGATGAAAACTGGATTAGGGGTCACTGTTACGGAAGCCATAGAACGTTTACATACACATGCTACCATAATCATTTTTGGATTCAAACTCCAAGACACATTAAAATGTGCTTGCCTGCCCCACAGCTATTAAATTCCTTACTGAGTTACATTGACTTCATTCTCACTCATAACCCACAAAACAGTATATTTTGTCATTGTTAATTGTTGCTTTTATTACAATGATTAGGTTGAATGTAAGCACAAGCAGGCTCATTTTTGTTAAGATCTATGACATTGTCTTAGACATGTCATTAGAAAAATGGAATGTTGCCACATGTGGTGGCACATGCCTGTATTCCCAGCACTTTGGGAGATGAGCAGAAGGATC
Organism: Homo sapiens; assembly: GCF_000001405.40. Lineage (NCBI taxonomy): Eukaryota > Metazoa > Chordata > Mammalia > Primates > Hominidae > Homo > Homo sapiens. The sequence continues at coordinate 11,984,271 of NC_000024.10, forward strand.
ACTTAAGTCCAGGAGTTCAAAACCAGCCCAGACAACATAGCAAAATCCTGTCTCTACAAAAAAACAAAAACAAAAAAGCAAAAAACAAACAAACAAACAAACAAACAAACAAAAAAACACCTCCAGCCAGGCATAGGCATATTGGTATATGGTTATAGTCCAAACTACTCAGGAGGCTGAGATAATAGGGTCCCTTGAGTCCAGGAGATCAAGACTACAGTTAGCTATGATTGCACCACTGCACTCCACCCTGGATGACAAAGCAAGATCCCAATTCTTCAGAAAAAAAAGAAAGTGTGGCATTTAGGAAATATTAAGGCTCCCATTACAATGTATGTGTCATGGAGGATTCAACAGGGACAATTTTAAAAGTGAGAACTTTCTCAATCTTTTCACTGGATTATCCAACATGCTAGTTCTGAATAACTAAAGGATACTTCAGTATTTATGAAACTGTTACATATATAATGAAGATTTTCCTATCATCCTTTCTAGGTTGCCTCTATTAAACTGTTTGTAATTATTAACTCAGCAGTGCTTAGACTTCATGGGGAAGAATGGTACACCAGCCTTGGGGTCTTAGCTAGTGAGTGTTATTCAGCTTTAATTACAAATTCTAGAAAACCCGTTACACCAATATTGCCAACTTCTGAAGAGCCCAATTTTAGCCTTGGAACTCTGGGCATAACCATAATTACATGACCTTAGAGTTGCTTTTTCTGACTCTTGCCCAAAACTGGGATACAACAGCTTAAAAAAAAAATTGCCAAAAGTAGAAACAGTGTCTAAAGCATTTTCTCCAGGAAGAAATTAACATCTTTATTAGGCTGACTCAGATTCATCACCATCTCCATGACTGCAGCATTTTATCTGATTTTGTTTTTACATTGACCTCTGCAATGACTACCATGCAAATACTTGATCCAGACACACTTGCAGGAATAGGACTGACATCTTTGACTACATTTCATGTCCTTGAACCCATGGTCAGGCCAACCTAACATCAGATTTAACAGGGAGTTGTTATTTGCAGTCAATCACTTTCCACAATCTTCTCCAGGCTGTAAAAACCATTGGGCATTTTGCAATAGCAGCCACGTGGGCTGATGCATCACAGAAATACCTATTTTTTGTGTTATTCCAGTGACATAACGCCATGGTAGAGTATTTGGGAAACTGACATCTTAATTGTTTTTCTTTTTTTCTGTAGTTTTGATAGTAGAATCAAGGTGTTTGCCAACAGGACCCTGGTGGTGAAATCAATGACAGACAAAGACGCCGGAGATTACCTGTGTGTAGCTCGAAATAAGGTTGGTGATGACTGCGTGGTGCTCAAGGTGGATGTGATGATGAAACCGGCCAAGATTGAACACAAGGAGGAGAACGACCACAAAGTCTTCTACAGGGGTGACCTGAAAGTGGACTGTGTGGCCACTGGACTTCCCAATCCCGAGATCTCCTGGAGCCTCCTGGATGGGAGTCTGGTGAACTCCTTCATGCAGTCAGATGACAGTGGTGGACGCACCAAGCACTATGTGGTCTTCAACAATGGGACACTCTACTTCAGTGAAGTGGGGATGAGGGAGGAAGGAGACTACACCTGCTTTGCTGAAAATCAGGTTGGGAAGGATGAGATGAGAGTCAGAGTCAAGATGGTGACACCTGCCACCATCTGGAACAAGACTTACTTGGCAGTTCAGGTACCCTATGGAGATGTGGTCACTGTAACCTGTGAGGCCAAAGGAGAACCCATGCCCAAGGTGACTTGGTTGTCCCCAGCCAACAGGGTGATCCCCACCTCCTCTGAGAAGTATCAGATATACCAATATGGCACTCTCCTTATTCAGAAAGCCCAGTGCTCTGACAGCGGCAACTACACCTGCCTGGTCAGGAACAGTGCCGGAGAGGATAGGAAGACAGTGTGGATTCACGTCAACCTCCAGCCACCCAAGATCAATGGTAACCCCAACCCCATCACCACCGTGTGGGAGATAGCAGCCGGGGGCAGTCGGAAACTGATTGACTGCAAAGCTGAAGGCATCCCCACCCCGAGGGTGTTATGGGCTTTTCCCGAGGGTGTGGTTCTGCCAGATCCATACTATGGAAACCGGATCACTGTCCATGGCAACGGTTCCCTGGACATCAGGAGTTTGAGGAAGAGCGACTCCGTCCAGCTGGTATGCATGGCACGCAACGAGGGAGGGGAGGCGAGGTTGATCGTGCAGCTCACTGTCCTGGAGCCCATGGAGAAACCCATCTTCCACGACCCGATCAGCGAGAAGATCACGGCCATGGCGGGCCACACCATCAGCCTCAACTGCTCTGCCGCGGGGACCCTGACACCCAGCCTGGTGTGGGTCCTTCCCAATGGCACCGATCTGCAGAGTGGACAGCAGCTGCAGCGCTTCTACCACAAGGCTGACGGCATGCTACACATTAGCGGTCTCTCCTCGGTGGACGCCGGGGCCTACCGCTGCGTGGCCCGCAATGCCGCGGGCCACACGGAGAGGCTGGTCTCCCTGAAGGTGGGACTGAAGCCAGAAGCAAACAAGCAGTATCATAACCTGGTCAGCATCATCAATGGTGAGACCCTGAAGCTCCCCTGCACCCCTCCTGCAGCTGGGCAGGGACATTTCTCCTGGACACTCCCCAATGGCATGCATCTGGAGGGCCCCCAAACCCTGGGACGCGTTTCTCTTCTGGACAATGGCACCCTCACGGTTCGTGAGGCCTCGGTGTTTGACAGGGGTACCTATGTATGCAGGATGGAGACGGCGTACGGCCCTTCGGTCACCAGCATCCCCGTGATTGTGATCGCCTATCCTCCCCGGATCACCAGCGAGCCTACCCCAGTCATCTACACCCGTCCCGGGAACACCGTGAAACTGAACTGCATGGCTATGGGGATTCCCAAAGGTGACATCACGTGGGAGTTACCGGATAAGTTGCATCTGAAGGCAGGGGTTCAGGCTCGTCTGTATGGAAACAGATTTCTTCACCCCCAGGGATCACTGACCATCCAGCAGGCCAGACGGAGAGACGCTGGCTTCTACAAGTGCACGGCAAAAAACATTCTCAGCAGTGACTCCAAAACAACTTATATCCATGTCTTCTGAAATGTGGATTCCAGAATGATTGCTCAGGAACTGACAACAAAGCGGGGTTTGTAAGGGAAGCCAGGCTGGGGAATCAGAGCTCTTAAATAATGTGTCACAGTGCATGGTGGCCCCCGGTGGGATTCAAGTTGAGGTTGATCTTGATCTACAATTGTTGGGAAAAGGAAGCAATACAGACATGAGTAAAAGGGCTCAGCCTCACTGAGAACTTTCTTTTGTGTTTACATCATGCCAGGGGCTTCATTCAGGGTGTCTGTGCTCTGACTGTAATTTTTATTTTTTTGCAAATGTCATTCGACTGCCTGCGTAAGTGTCCATAGGATATCTGAGGAACATTCACCGAAAATAAGCCATAGACATGAACAACACCTCACTCCCCCATTGAAGATGCATCGTCTAGTTAACCTGCTGCAGTTTTTACATGATAGACTTTGTTCCAGATTGACAAGTCATCTTTCAGTTATTTCCTCTATCACTTCAAAACTCCAGCTTGCCCAATAAGGATTTAGAACTAGAGTGATTGTTATATATATAAATTATATATATATAAATTAAATTTATATATATATAATTTATATATAATATATATATTTTAATTCAGAGTTACATACATACAGCTACCATTTTATATGAAAAAAACATTTCTTCCTGGAACCCACTTTTTATGTAATTTTTTTATATAAATATTTTTCCTTTCAAATCAGATGATGAGACTAGAAGGAGAAATACTTTCTGTCTCATTAAAATTAATAAATGATTGGTCTTTACAAGACTTGGATACATTACAGCAGACATGGAAATAGAATTTTAAACAATTCCTCTCCAACCTCCTTCAAATTCAGTCGCTACTGTTATGTTACTTTCTCCAGCAACCCTGCACTGGGGAAGGCTGTGATATTAGATTTCCTTGTATGCAAAGTTTTTGTTGAAAGCTGTGCTCAGCGGAGGTGAGAGGAGAGGAGGAGAAAACTGCATCATATCTTTCCAGAATTGAATCTAGAGTCTTCCCTGGAAAGCCCAGAAACTTCTCTGCAGTATCTGACTTGTCCATCTGGTCTAAGGTGGCTGCTTCTTCCGCAACCATGAGTTAGTCTGTGTCCATGAATAATACAAGATCTGTTATTTCCATGACTGCTTTACTGTAATTTTAGGGTCAATATACTGTACATTTGATAATAAAATATATTCTCCCAAAAACCTGGCAGTGATGACAATGCTATTTTCTTTTTTTTTTTTTTAATTATACTTTAAGTTCTAGGGTACATGTGCACAATGTGCAGGTTAGTTACATATGTATACATGTGCCATGCTGGTGCGCTGCACCCACTAACTCGTCATCTAGCATTAGGTATATCTCCCAATGCTATCCCTCCCCCCTACCCCCACCCCAAAACAGTCCCCAGAGTGTGATATTCCCCTTCCTGTGTCCATGTGATCTCATTGTTCAATTCCCACCTATGAGTGAAAATATACGGTGTTTGGTTTCTCTTTCTTGCGATAGTTTACTGAGAATGATGATTTCCAATTTCATCCATATCCCTACAAAGGACATGAACTCATCATTTTTTATGGCTGCATAGTATTCCATGGTGTATATGTGCCACATTTTCTTAATCCAGTCTATCATTGTTGGACATTTTGGTTGGTTCCAAGTCTTTGCTATTGTGAATAATGCCACAATAAACATACGTGTGCATGTGTCTTTATAGCAGCATGATTTATAGTCCTTTGGGTATATACCCAGTAAGGGGATGGCTGGGTCAAATGGTATTTCCAGTTCTAGATCCCTGAGGAATCGCCACACTGACTTCCACAGTGGTTGAACTAGTTGACAGTCCCACCAACAGTGTAAAAGTGTTCCTATTTCTCCACATCCTCTCCAGCACCTGTTGTTTCCTGACTTTTTAATGATTGCCATTGTAACTGGTGTGAGATGGTATCTCATTGTGGTTTTGATTTGCATTTCTCTGATGGCCAGTGATGATGGACATTTTTTCATGTGTTTTTTGGCTGCATAAATGTCTTCTTTTGAGAAGTGTCTGTTGATGTCCTTCACCCACTTTTTGATGGGGTTGTTTGTTTTTTTCTTGTAAATTTGTTTGAGTTCATTGTAGATTCTGGATATTAGCCCTTTGTCAGATGAGTAGGTTGTGAAAGTTTTCTCCCATGTTGTAGGTTGCCTGTTCACTCTGACGGTAGATTCTTTTGCTGTGCAGAAGCTCTTTAGTTTAATTAGATCCAATTTGTCAATTTTGTCCTTTGTTGCCATTGCTTTTGGTGTTTTAGACATGAAGTCCTTGCCCATGCCTATGTCCTGAATGGTAACGCCTAGGTTTTCTTCTAGGGTTTTGATGGTTTTAGGTCTAATGTTTAAGTCTTTAATCCATCTTGAATTGATTTTTGTATAAGGTGTAAGGAAGAGATCCAGTTTCAGCTTTCTACATATGGCTAGCCAGTTTTCCCAGCACCATTTATTAAATAGGGAATCCTTTCCCCACTGCTTGTTTTTCTCAGGTTTGCCAAAGATCAGATAGTTGTAGATATGCGACATTATTTCTGAGTTCTCTGTTCTGTTCCATTGATCTATATCTCTGTTTTGGTACCAGTACCATGCTGTTTTGGTTACTGTAGCCTTGTATTATAGTTTGAAGTCAGGTAGTGTGATGCCTCCAGCTTTGTTCTTTTGGCTTAGGATTGATTTGGCGATGTGGGCTCTTTTTTGGTTCCATATGAACTTTAAAGCAGTTTTTTCCAATTCTGTGAGGAAAGTAATTGGTAGCTTGATGGGGATGGCATTGAATCTGTAAATTACCTTTGGCAGTATGGCCATTTTCACGATATTGATTCTTCCTACCCATTAGCATGGAGTGTTCTTCCATTTGTTTGTATCCTCTTTTATTTCCTTGAGCAGTGGTTTGTAGTTCTCCTTGAAGAGGTCCTTCACATACCTTGTAAGTTGGATTCCTAGGTATTTTATTCTCTTTGAAGCAATTGTGAATGGGAGTTCACTCATGATTTGGCTCTCTGTTTGTCTGTTGTTGGTGTATAAGAATGCTTGTGATTTTTGTACATTGATTTTGTATCCTGAGACTTTGCTGAAGTTGCTTATCAGCTTAAGGAGATTTTGGGCTGAGACAATGGGGTTTTCTAGATATACAGTCATGTCGTCTGCAAACAGGGACAATTTGACTTCCTCTTTTCCTAATTGAATACCCTTTATTTCCTTTTCCTGCCTAATTGCCCTGGCCAGAACTTCCAACACTAGGTTGAATAAGAGTGGTGAGAGAGAGGGCATCCCTGTCTTGTGCCAGTTTTCAAAGGGAATGCTTCCAGTTTTTGCCCATTCAGTATGATATTGGCTGTGGGTTTGTCATAGATAGCTCTTATTATTTTGAAATACGTCCCGTCAATACCTATTTTATTGAGAGTTTTTAGCATGAAGAGTTGTTGAATTTTGTCAAAGGCCTTTTCTGCATCTATTGAGATAAACATGTGGTTTCTGTCTTTGGTTCTGTTTATATGCTGGATTACATTTATTGATTTGTGTAAATTGAACCAGGCTTGCATCCCAGGGATGAAGCCCACTTGATCATGGTGAATAAGCTTATTGATGTGCTGCTGGGTTTGTTTTGCCAGTATTTTATTGAGGATTTTTCCATCAATGCTCATCAAGGATATTGGTCTAAAATTCTCTTTTTTTGTTGTGCTCTGCCTGGCTTTGGTATCAGGATGATGCTGTCCTCATAAAAAGAGTTAGGGAGGATTCCCTCTTTTTCTATTGATTGGAATAGTTTCAGAGGGAATGGTACCAGTTCCTCCTTGTACTTCTGGTGGAATTCGGCTGTGAATCCATCTGGTCCTGGACTCTTTTTGGTTGGTAAACTATTGATTATTGCCACAATTTCAGATCCTGTTATTGGTCTATTCATAGGTTCAACTTTTTCCTGGTTTAGTCTTGGGAGAGTGTATGTGTCCAGGAATTTATCCGTTTCTTCTAGATTTTCTAGTTTATTTGCATAGTGGTGTTTGTAGTATTCTCTGATGGTAGTTTGTATTTCTGTGGGATCGGTGGTGTTATCCCCTTTATCATTTTTTATTGCATCTATTTGATTCTTCTCTCTTTTTTCTTTATTAGTCTTGCTAGCAGTCTATAAGTTTTGTTGATCCTTTCAAAAAACCAGCTCCTGGATTCATTAATTTTTTGAAGGGTTTTTTGTGTCTCTATTTCCTTCAGTTCTGCTCTGATTTTAGTTATTTCTTGCCTTCTGCTAGCTTTTGAATGTGCTCTTGCTTTTCTAGTTCTTTTAATTGTGATGTTAGGGTGTCAAATTTGGATCTTTCCTGCTTTCTCTTATGGGTATTTAGTGCTATAAATTTCCCTCTACACACTGCTTTGAATGTGTCCCAGAGATTCTGGTATGTTGGGTCTTTGTTCTCGTTGGTTTCAAAGAACATCTTTATTTCTGCCTTCATTTCGTTATGTACCCAGTAGTCATTCAGGAGCAGGTTGTTCAGTTTCCATGTAGTTAAGCAGTTTTGAGTGAGATTCTTAATCCTGAGTTCTAGTTTGTATGCACTGTGGTCTGAGAGATAGTTTGTTATAATTTCTGTTCTTTTACATTTGCTGAGGAGAGCTTTACTTCCAAGTATGTGGTCAATTTTGGAATAGGTGCTGTGGTGCTGAAAAAAATGTATATTCTGTTGATTTGGGGTGGAGAGTTCTGTAGATGTCTATTAGGTCCGCTTGGTGCAGAGCCGAGTTCAATTCCTGAGTATCCTTGTTGACTTGCTGTCTCGTTGATCTGTCTAATGTTGACAGTGGGGTGTTAAAGTCTCCCATTATTAATGTGTGGGAGTCTAAGTCTCTTTGTAGGTCACTCAGGACTTGCTTTATGAATCTTGGTGCTCCTGTATTGGGTGCATATATATTTAGGATAGTTAGCTCTTCTTGTTGAATTGATCACTTTACCAATATGTAATGGCCTTCTTTGTCTCTTTTTATCTTTGTTGGTTTAAAGTCTGTATTATGAGAGACTAGGATTGCAACCCCTGCCTTTTTTTGTTTTCCATTTGCTTGGTTGATCTTCCTCCATCCTTTTATTTTGAGCCTGTATGTGTCTCGCACGTGAGATGGGTTTCCTGAATACAGCACACTGATGGGTCTTGATTCTGTATCCAATTTGCCAGTCTGTGTCTTTTAATTGGAGAATTTAGTCCATTTACCTTTAAAGTTAATATTGTTATGTGTGAATTTGATCCTGTCATTATGATGCTAGCTGGTTATTTTGATTGTTAGTTGATGCAGTTTCTTCCTAGTCTTGATGGTCTTTACAATTTGGCATGATTTTGCAGTGGCTGTTACTGGTTGTTCCTTTCCATGTTTAGCGCTTCCTTCAGGAGCTCTTTTAGGGCAGGCCTGATGGTGACAAAATCTCTCAGCATTTGCTTTTCTGTAAAGTATTTTATTTCTCCTTTGCTTATGAAGCTTAGTTTGGCTGGATATGAAATTCTGGGTTGAAAATTCTTTTCTTTAAGAATGTTGAATATTGGCCCCCACTCTCTTCTGGCTTGTAGGGTTTCTGCCGAGAGATCCGCTTGAATCTGAACATTGGCCTTCCTTGCTAGATTGGGGAAGTTCTCCTGGATAATATCCTGCAGAGTGTTTTCCAACATGGTTCCATTCTCCCCATCACTTTCAGGTACACCAATCAGGCGTAGATTTGGTCTTTTCACATAGTCCCATATTTCTTGGAGGCTTTGCTCATTTCTTTTTATTCTTTTTTCTCTAAACTTCCCTTCTCACTTCATTTCATTCATTTCACCTTCCAGTACTGATGCCCTTTCTTGCTGTTGATCACATCGGCTCCTGAGGCTTCTGCATTCTTTACGTAGTTCTTGAGCCTTGGTTTTCAGCTCCATCAGCTCCTTTAAGCACTTCTCTGTATTGGTTATTCTAGTTATACATTCTTCTAAAGTTTTTTCAAAGTTTTCAACTTCTTTGCCTTTGGTTTGAATGTCCTCCCATAGCTCAGAATAATTTGATTGTCTGAAGCCTTCTTCTCTCAGCTCGTCAAAGTCATTCTCCGTCCAGTTTTCTTCTGTTGCTGGTGAGGAACTGCATTCCTTTGGAGGAGGAGAGGCTCTCTGCTTTTTAGAGTTTCCAGTTTTTCTGTTCTGTTTTTTCGCCATCTTTGTGGTTTTATCTACTTTTGGTGTTTGATGATGGTGATGTACAGATGAGTTTTTGGTGTGGATGTTCTTTCTGTTTGTTAGTTTTCCTTCTAACAGACAGGACACTCAGCCGCAGGTCTGTTGGAATACCCGGCTGTGTGAGGTGTCAGTCTGCCCCTGCTGGGTACCTCCCAGTTAGGCTGCTCGGGGGTCAGGTGTCAGGGACCCACTTGAAGAGGCAGTCTGCCCCTTCTCAGATCTCCAGCTGCGTGTTGGGAGAACCACTGCTCTCTTCAAAGCTGTCAGACAGGGACATTTAAGTCTGCAAAGGTTACTGCTGTCTTTTTGTTTGTCTGTGCCCTGCCCCCAGAGGTGGAGCCTACAGAGGCATGCAGGCCTCCTTGAGCTGTGGTGGGCTCCACCCAGTTCAAGCTTCCTGGCTGCTTTGTTTACCTAAGCAAGCCTGGGCAATGGCGGGCGCCCCTCCCCCAGCCTCGCTGCCACCTTGCAGTTTGATCTCAGACTGCTGTGCTAGCAATCAGCGAGACTCTGTGGGTGTAGGACCCTCCGAGCCAGGTGCGGGATATAATCTCGTGGTGCACCGTTTTTTTAAGCCCATTGGAAAAACGCAGTATTCAGGTGGGAGTGACCCAATTTTCCACGTGCCATCTGTCACCCCTTCCTTTGACTCGGAAAGGAACTCCCTGACCCCTTGCGCTTCCCAAGTGAGGCAATGCCTTGCCCTGCTTTGGCTGCCACACAGTGCACGCATCCACTGACCTGCGCCCACTGTCTGGCACTCCCCAATGAGATGAACCCAGTACCTCAGATGGAAATGCAGAAATCACCGTCTTCTGCGTCGCTCACACTGGGAGCTGTAGACCGGAGCTGTTGCTATTCGGCCATCTTCAACAATGCTATTTTCAAGGACAAAAGAGGGTCACATTAATTTGGGTTTCCATCAGAGTGGTTGAAAAAACTGCTTTCATCACCTTCTCTCAATGATTAGCTTCTCTACACATTTTTAACAGGCAAGGAAACTGAGTCAAAGGCAATGCTTCTGATGACAGATTTGGCAGGCAGGAAGGCAGGATTTGAGTGTCAGTTGCATGTAGTGACAATTTCAGTATTCAGCAAGACAGCTTGGGGACTGAGAAGCAGTGCTCTAGGAAATCATTCAGGATTTTTCTTTTTTATATTGTTTTCAAAGAGACACCTGTATATACATGTATTTGTATTCCACAAATATGCAAAACTGTCCTTCTTTTGCTTCCCCTGAGAGTAAGGAAAAAGGCAAACAAGATAAATATTTGGGAAAAATATTACTGTCAGCATTTCAAGAAATGCAGTGTCACAAATTGTTAAAGAATGTCGGTCATGGAAACTAAAGAATGCTGGTTTATTTTTTTTTAACTCTGTGGAAGGCATAGAGCATGTCTCTCATTCATGAATCCACTTATTTGCTTAAATATGTCTGCACAGCCCTTACTTGTGCTGGATATCAACAGAGCCTGAGGAAGCAGAGAGGAGGAGGAGGAGGTGGTGCTTGGAGTGTTTATGCTCAATAGACTGGTTCTTCAGATGGTGCAGGGTCTCTCAAAATGCCCATGAATGACATTTGGGGATGGATGATTCTCTGGGCTTGGGTGTCCTGTGTAGGGTGTTGAGAAGTATCCCTGGGCTCTACCTGCCACATGCTAGCATCCCCCCACCCCCAAAAAGTTGTGATGACCAAAATGTCTCTGGACATTACCAAATGCCCCTTTAGAGGGTGCAAACTTGCTCCTGAGAGCCACTGATGCGGACAGATTAGATTGGTAAATAGATAACTGATAGATGATTGATATAGATAGATAAGTGATAGATAGATGGTAGACAGGTGATAGATAAATGACTGGCAGATACAAAGAGATAGATGATAGGTTGATAATAGATATAGATAGGGGACAAAGATTGATACAGATAGATGATTGATAGATATAAATAGATAGTAGATACAGATAGGAGTAAGATAGGTAGATAGATAATAGATGGTTGGATGGAGGATAGATAGATAAATGATGGATGGATAAATGATGGATGGTTGGATGGATGATAGATACACAGATAAATAAATGATGGATGGTTGGGTGGATGATAGGTATATAGATAAATAGATGTATGTTTGGATGAATTATAGATAGAAGATAGAGTGACAGATAATGTATGGTTGAATAGATGATCAATAATTGGATAGATACCTATGTAGATAGACTGATGACAGATGGTTGGGTGGATTAGATAGGTAGTTGGGTAGATGATAGATGTATAGATAAATAGAAGATGCATGGTTGGATAGGTGATAGATGAATGGATGGATGATAGATGAGAGATGAGAGATAGAGATGAGAGATAGATAGATAGAGATGAGAGATAGATACATACATACATACATACATACATACATACATACATACACAGACAAATAAATGAGGGTTGACTGGATGGATAATAGATAGAGTTTCTCATGCTAAGGATTTCTCCGCCTCAGCAGTATGGACATCTGGGGCAGGAGGATTCTCTATGGTGGGACTGTCCTGTGCACTGTAGGGTGTTGAGCAGAGTCCCTGGGCTCCACCCACAAGATGCCAGGAGCACGCACCACCCCAGTGGACAACCAAAAATGTCTCTAGATATGGCTACATTCCCTGCATAAGGCTGTACCTTTCCTGATTGCGAAACACTGTGCTAGGTAAATACACGCAGCAGAGGGTTTCAGAAACATGTTCATTTGGACAGTCTTCTTCAGTGCATGATGTGGAAACTGAGATCTGGGGAGGTAAGTTCACCTAGGTGTAGAGAATGTTTCTGCAGGACATACCTTGGTAAAATTTTACCTGGAAAAAAATTGGCAAAAACATCCTATCAACAAAAATTTCTGCATTCACATGAGGTGATGGGCTGAAGAGGTGTTTGGAAACATTAAAAGTGTTTCAGAGAGCATTCAGATTCTAGAAGATTAAAAAACCAAGTGGGATTGTAGTCCCATTTAAAAAGAGCTATATTTTTATGACTTAGATAGCATTTTCACTGAGTCAAGAATAGAAGAATGGCTGGGCAGAATGATATGAACAAATGAGAGGACGTGTTCTCCTGGCCGCAAAAAGATCATGAAGAAAGTGCGACCCTCAAGTAAAGAGACCTGGGGTTTAGTAATAGATATAATGTAATAGTGGTGCAGGCCCGTAGTCACAGCTACTCAGGAGGCTGAGCTAGGAGGATTACTTGAGCCCAGGAGTTTGAGGCTGCAGTTTGCAAAAAAATCATTTCTACCTGCAACCTGTCAGTGCAACCTTATTTGAAAAAAGAGTTTTTGCAGATGTAATCATGTGAAGGACCTGGAAATGAGATTATTCTGGATAAGGATGGGTTCTAAATGCAATAAGTGTGCCTATAAGAGACAAATCAGGGGACACAGACACAGAGGAGGAGGCCATGTGGAGACAGAGGCAGAAAATGGAGTGACATGGCCCAGGGATTCCTGGAGCCCCCAGGATCTGGAAGAGGTAGGAAGGATCCTCCCCTGGAACATCCAGAGGGAACTGCATACAATTGTAGTGCATTGAACAGTGGCCCCCAAAATATATGCCCATATTCTGACTCCCAGATCCTGGGAATGGGACCTTATTTGGAAATAGGGTCTTTGCAGGTGTAATTAAGTTAAAGATCTTGAGACGAGTTCATCCTGGATTAGACGGGCTCTAAATCCAATAATAGGTGTCTGTCCTAAGAGACAAAACAGGAGGAACAGACACAGGAGAAGGCCTTGTGGAGATGGAGGCAGACTGGAGTGATGCAGCCACAAGCCCAGGGACATCTGGAGCCCCCCAGGAGCTGGGAGAGGCAGGAAGGATCCTCCCCTAGAGCCTCCATAGGGAGCATGGCCCTGAGACACTTTGATGTCAGACTTCTGGTCTCCAAAACTGAGAAGGAGTCCATTCTGTTTTTTTTTTTTTCTTTCTGAAGGTAACATATATTTTTATTTCTTTTCTTATTATTATTATACTTTAAGTTTTAGGGTACATGTGCACAATGTGCAGGTTTGTTACATATGTATACATGTGCCATGTTGGTGTGCTGCACCCATTAACTCATCATTTAGCATTAGGTATATCACCTAATGCTATCTCTCCTCTCTCCCCACACTCCAAAACAGTCCCCGATGTGTGATGTTCCCCTTCCGGTGTCCATGTGTTCTCATTATTCAGTTCCCACCTATGAGTGAGAACATGCGGTGTTTGGTTTTTGTCCTTGTGACAGTTTGCTGAGAATGATGGTTTCCAGCTTCATCCAGGTCCCTACAAAGGACACGAACTCATCATTTTTTATGGCTGCATATTATTCCATGGTGTATATGTGCCACATTTTCTTAATCCAGTCTATCATTGTTGGACATTTGGGTTGGTTCCAAGTCTTTGCTATTGTGAATAGTGCCACAATAAACATGCATGTGCATGTGTCTTTATAGCAGCATGATTTATAATCCTTTGGGTATATAACCAATAATGGGATGGCTGGGTTAAATGGTATTTTTAGCTCTAGATCCCAGAGGAATAGCCACACCAACTTCCACAATGGTTGAACTAGTTTACAGTCCCACCAACAGTGTAAAAGTGTTCCTATTTCTCCACATCCTCTCCAGCACCTGTTGTTTCCTGACTTTTTAATGATTGCCATTCTAACTGGTGTGAGATGGTATCTCATTGTGGTTTTATTTCCATTTCTCTGATGGCCAATGATGATGAGCATTTTTTCATGTGTTTTTTCACTGCATAAATGTCTTGAGAAGTGTCTGTTCATATCCTTCTCACTTTTTGATGGGGTTGTTTATTTTTTTTCTTGTAAATTAGTTTGAGTTCATTGTAGATTCTGGATATTAGCCCTTTGTCAGACAAGTAGGTTGCAAAAATGTTCTCCCATTCTATAGGTTGCCTGTTCACTCTGATGGTGGTTTCATTTGCTGAGCAGAAGCTCTTTAGTTTAATCAGATCCCATTTGTCTATTTTGGCTTTTGTTGCCATTGTTTTTGGTGTTTTAGACATGAAGTCCTTGCCCATGCCTATGCCCTGAATGGAAATGCCTAGGTATTCTTCTAGGGTTTTTTATGGTTTTAGGTCTAACATGTAAGTCTTTAATCCATCTTGAATTAATTTTTGTATAAGGTGTAAGGAAGGGATCCAGTTTCAGCTTTCTACATATGGCTAGCCAGTTTTCCCAGCACCATTTCTTAAATAAGGAATCCTTTCCCCATTGCTTGTTTTTCTCAGGTTTGTCAAAGATCAGATGGTTGTAGATACGTGGCATTATTTCTGAGGACTCTGTTCTGTTCCATTGGTCTATATCTCTGTTTTGGTACCAGTACCATGCTGTTTTTGTTACTGTAGACTTGCAGTATAGTTTGAAGTCAGGTAGCGTGGTGCCTCCAGCTTTGTTCTCTTTTGGCTTAGGATTGACTTGGCAATGTGGGCTATTTTTTGGTTCCATATGAACTTTAAAGTAGATTTTTCCAATTCTGTGAAGAAAGTCATTGGTAGCTTGATGGGGATGGAATTGAATCTATAAATTTCCTTAGGCAGTGTGGCCATTTTCATGATATTGATTCTTCCTACCCATGAGCATGGAATGTTCTTCAAGTTGTTTATATCCTCTTTTATTTCATTGAGCAGTGGTTTGTTGTTCTCCTTGAAGAGGTCCTTCACATCCCTTGTAAGTTGGATTCCTAGGTATTTTATTCTCTTTGAAGCAATCGTGTATGGGAGTTCACTCAGGATTTGGCTCTCTGTTTCCCTGTTATTGGTGTGTAAGAATGCTTGTTAGTTTTGCACATTAATTTTGTATCCTGAGACTTTGCTGAAATTGCTTATCAGCTTAAGGAGATTTTGGGCTGAGACAATGGGTTTTTCTAGAAATACAATCATGTCATCTGCAAACAGGGACAATTTGACTTCCTCCTTTCCTAATTGAATGCCCTTTATTTTCTTCTCCTGCCTGATTGCCCTTGCCAGAACTTCCAACATTATGTTGAATAGGAGTGGTGAGAGAGGGCATCCCTGTCTTGTGCCAGTTTTCAAAGGGAATGCTTCCAGTTTTGTGCATTCGGTATGATATTGGCTGTGGGTTTGTCATAGATAGCTCTTATTATTTTGAGATATGTCCCATCAATACCTAATTTATTGGTAGTTTTTAGCATGAAGGTTGTTGAATTTTGTCAGAGGCATTTTCTGCATCTATTGAGATAATCATGTGGTTTTTGTCATTGGTTCTGTTTATATGGTGGATTAAGTTTATTGATTTGCATATGTTGAACTAGTCTTGCATCCCAGGGATGAAGCCAACTTGATTATGGTGGAAAAGCTTTTTGATGTGTTTCTGCATTCGGTTTGCCAGTATTTTATTGAGGATTTTTATATTAATGTTCATCAAGGATATTGGTCTGAAATTCTCTTTCTTTGTAGTGTCTCTGCCGGCTTTGGTATCAGGATGATGCTGGCCTCATTAAATGAGTTAGGGAGGATTCCCTGTTTTTCTATTGATTGCAATAGTTTCAGAAGGAATAGTACCAGCTCCTCCTTGTATCTCTGGTAGAATATGGCTGTGAATCCATCTGGTCCTGGACTTTTTTGGTTGGTAAGCTATTAATCATTCCCTCAATTTCAGAGCCTATTATTGTTCTATTCAGAGATTCAACTTCTTCCTGGTTTAGTCTTGGGAGAGTGTATGTGTCGAGGAATTTATCCATTTCTTCTAGATTTTCTACTTTATTTGCATAGAGGTGTTTATATATTCTCTGATGGTAGTTTATATTTCTGTGGAATCATTGGCGATATCCCCTTTGTCATTTTTTATTGCGTCTATTTGATTCTTCTCTCTTTTCTTCTTTATTAGTCTTGCTAATGGTTTATGAATTTTGTTGATCTTTTCAAAAAGCCAGCTCCTGGATTCACCGAATTTTGAAGGGTTTTTGTGTCTCTATTTCCTTCAGTTCTGCTCTGATCTTAGTTATTTCTTGCCTTCTGCTAGCTTATGAATGTGTTTGCTCTTGTTTCTCTAGTTCTTTTAATTGTGCTGTTTGGGTGTCAATTTTAGATCTTTCCTGCTTTCTCTTGTGGACATTTAGTGCTATAAATTTCCCAGTAGTCATTCAGGAGCAGGTTGTTCAGTTTCCATGTAGTTGAGCGGTTTGGAATGAGTTTCTTAATCCTGAGTTCTAGTTTGATTGCACTGTGGTCTGAGAGACAGTTTGTTATAATTTCTGTTCTTTTGTATTTCCTGAGGAGTGCTTTACTTACAGATATGTGGTCAATTTTGGAATAGGTGTGGTGCTGAAAAGAATGTACATTCTGTTGATTTGGGGTGGAGAGTTCTATAGATGTATATTAGGTCCTCTTGGTGCAGATCTGAGTTCAATTCCTAGATATCTTTCTTAACTTTCTGTCTCGTTGATCTGTCTAATGTTGACAGTGGGGTATTAAAGTCTCCTATTATTGTGTGGGAGTCTAAGTCTCTTCATAGGTCGCTAAAGACTTGTTTTATGAATCTGGGTGCTCCTGTATTGGGTGCATATATATTTAGGATAGTTAGCTCTTCTTGTTGAATTGATCCCTTTATCATTATGTAAAGGCCTTCTTTGTCTCTTTTGATCTTTGTTGGTTTAAAGTCTATTTTATCAGAGACTAGCATTGCAAGCTATGCCTTTTTTTGTTTTCCATTTGCTTGGTAGATCTTCCTCCACTGCTTTATTTTGAGCCTATGTGTGTCTCTGCATGTAAGATGGGTTTCCTGAATACAGCACACTGATGGGTCTTTACTCTTTATTCAAGTTGCCAGTCTGTGTCTTTCAATTGGAGAATTTAGCCCATTTACATTTAAGATTAGTACTGTTATGTGTGAATTTGATCATGTCATTATGATGTTAGCTGGTTATTTTGCTCGATAGTTGAAGCAGTTTCTTCCTAGCCTTGAAGGTCTTTACAATTTGGCATGTTTTTGCAGTGGCATTACCGGGTGTTCATTTCCATGTTCAGTGCTTCCTTCAGGAGCTCTTTTAGGGCAGGCCTGGTTGCAACAAAATCTCTCAGTATTTGCTTGTCTGTAAAGGATTTTATTTCTCCTTCACTTATGAAGCTTAGTTTGGCTGGATATGAAATTCTGGGTTGAAACTTCTTTTCTTTAATGTTGAATATTGGCCCCCACTCTCTTCAGTCTTGTAGAGTTTCTGCTGAGATATCCACTGTTAGTCTGATGGGCATCCCTTTGTGGGTAACCCGACATTCCTCCCTGGCTGCACTTAATATTTTTTCCTTCATTTCAACTTTGTTGAATCTGACAATTATGTGTTTTGGAGTTGCTCTTCTCAGTGAGTATCTTTGTGGCATTCTCTGTATTTCCTGAATTTTAATGTTGGCCTTCCTTGCTTGATTGGGGAAGTTCTCCTGGATAGTATCCTGTAGCATGTTTTCCAACTTGGTTCCATTCTCCCCTCATTTTCAGGTATGCCATTTAGATGTAGATTTGCTCTTTTCACATAGTCCCATATTTCTTGGAGGCTTTGTTCTTGTCTTTTTATTCATTTTTCTCTAAACTTCTCTTCATGCTTCATTTCATTCATTTCATCTTCCATCACTGATGGAAGTTGATTGCATTGGTTACTGAGGCTTGTGCATTCATCACATAGTTCTTGTGCCGTGGTTTTCAGCTCCGTCAGGCCCTTTAAGGACTTCTCTGCATTGGTTATTCTAATTAGCCATTCATGTAATTTTTTTTCAAAGTTTTTAACTTCTTTGCCATGCGTTCAAACTTCCTCCTTTAGCTGGGAGTAGTTTAATCTTCTGAAGTCTTCCTCTCTCAACTTGTCAAAGTCATTCTCCATCCTGCTTTGTTCCATTGCTGGTGAGGAGCTGTGTCCCTTTTGAGGAGGAAAGGCACTCTGATTTTTAGAGTTTCCAGTTTTTTTGCTCTGTTTTTTCCCCATCTTTGTGGTTTTATCTACCTTTGGTCTTTGATGATGGTGACGTACAGATGGGGTTCTGGTGTCAATGTCCTTTCTTTTTGTTAGTTTTCCTTCTAACAGTAAGGACCCTCAGCTGCAGGTCTGTTGGAGTTTACTGGAGGTCCACTCCAGACCTTGTTTGCCTGGGTATCAGCAATGGTGGCTGCAGAACAGTGGATATTGTTGAACCACAAATGCTGCTGCCTGATCGTTCCTCTAGAAGTTTTGTCTTGGAGGAGTACCCGGCCGTGTGAGGTGTCTGTCCACCTCTGCTGGGGGTGCGTCCCAGTTAGGCTACTCAGAGGTCAGGGACCCACTTGAGGAGGCAGTCTGCCTGTTCTCAGATCTCAAGCTGCATGCTGGGAGAACCACTACTCTCTTCAAAGCTGTCAGACAGGGACAATTAAATCTGCAGAGGTTATTGCTGTCCTTTGTTTCTCTGTGCCCTGCCCTCAGAGGTGGAGTCTACAGAGGCAGGCAGGCCTCCTTGAGCTGCAGTGGGCTCCACCCAGTTCGAGCTTCCAGGCTGCTTTGTTTACCTACTCAAACCTGAGCAATAGCAGGTGCCCCTCCCCCAGCCTCGCTGCCACCTTGCAGTTTGATCTCAGACTGCTGTGCTAGCAATGAGTGAGGCTCCGTGGGCATAGGACCCTCCAAGCCAGGTGCGGGATATAATCTCCTGTTGTGCCATTTGATAAGCCCTTTGGAAAAGCACAGTATTAGGGTGGGGGTGACCCAATTTTCCAGGTGCCATCTGTCACCCCTTTCTTTGACTAGGAAAGGGAATTCCCTGACCTCTTGCACTTCCCCAGTGGGCGATGCCTCACCCTCTTTGGCTCACACATGTTGTGCTGCACCCACTGTCCTGCACCCACTGTCTGGCACTCCCTAGTGAGATGAACCCAGTACCTCAGTTGGAAATGCAGAAATCAGCCATCTTCTGCATCGCTCACCCTGGGAGCTGTAGACTGGAGCTGTTCCTATTCGGCCATCTTGGCTCCACCCCCATTTCTGTTGTTTTTAAGCCCCTATTTTGAGGTGATTGGTTACAGAAGCCCTGAGAAATAAATGCAAATATTTAAAATTTTCTTGTAGGGATGGTCATGATGATAGGTACTTAAAACCTCATGACAGGTAAAATAAATGATTTAAACCAGTTTGTCCAGAACACAAAGGTGTGATTTGAGCAGATCATTAATCAGAATCACATATGACTATTATTATTTGTAAATAATATACTAACTACAAGACAGTTGTTTTTTTCCCCCTAAATGGCTAAGTTCTAACATCTGGTATATGTTCTTGTAAATCTGTGGACACAAGCAAAATCCCTAGCTAACCATCCATTGTCACCATTTAATTACTCTCAGGCCCTCACAGAAAAACAAAACTTCAATCAGGCTCTAGTCCTTGAAGTCTGGTTTGTAATTGCAAAGGCTGTTCTTGTTTAAATGAAGCTGGGCTGAATGTGGGACAAGATGAGGAAGACCCCAATCCTGCTGCTGAATTCAGTCTCCAAGACACTGAACCCCACAAGATTGTTTTCTGCACTTTTGTCATTTAAGACCCAAGTCTCACCTGTAATCCCAGAACTTTGGGAGACCAAGGCCTGCAGATTGCTTGAGCCCAGGAGTTCAAGACCAGCCTGCGCAATATAGCAGGATCACATCTCTACAGAAAATACAAAAATTAGCTAGGTGTGGTGGTGCATGACTGTAGTCCCAACTACTCTGTAGACTGAGGTAGGAGGATCACTTAAGCCCAAGACAATGAGGCTACAGTGAGCCGAGATCACACCACTGCACCCCAGCCTGGGTGATAGAGAAAGATTGTCTCCAAAAATAAAAAATGACCCAAGTCTTTTGGAGGTGGAAGTTCAGTAACAGATTAATGATGAAACTAAGAGGGCTAGTGTTAGTGAGATCCTGGATGGCCAGCACAAACTGACTGCTTTGGGAAAAAAAAAAAAAAGTTGGTTTATCTTCTCCTGAGAGGTTGTTCATCTTACTTTTTAGTAGAGTCTTTTTAAAATTAACCTTGTTAGAACACAAGAAACCTGTGTTTCTTGTTGGCTTTATGTTGTCATCTCCTGGATTGATTTAAACATCCTCAACTCCAAGTGTCTTCATTTCCTGGGGCTGCCCTTGCAAGTGACCACAGAACCTATGGCTTAAAACAAAAGGAATTGATTCTCTCACAGTTCTGGAGACCAGCAGTCTGAGGTGAAAGAGTGGACAGAGCTATGCTACCTCTGGAGGTTCTAGGAAAGGATTCTTCCTGCCTCTCCCAGCTCCTGGAGGCTCTAGGCATCTCTGGGCTTGTTGCTGCATCACTTCAGTGTCTGCCTCCATCTCCAGGTGGCTTACTCCTCTCCATCTGTGTCTCCTTTTGTGTCTCTTAGAAACCTGCTGTTTAATCTAGGGCCACACTAATCCAGGATGATCTCATCTTGAGATCCTTGACTTAAGTATACCTGCAAAGCCCTCATTTCCAAATAAGGTTCCATTCACATATTCTGGGGATAGGATGTGGACATATCTTTTTGGGACACTATGGTTCAATCCATTACAATTGTATTCCACTCCTTCTGGAGGCTCTAGAGGAGGATCCTTCCTGTCTCTCTCAGCTCCTGTGGACTCTAAGCATAATTGGGCTTGTATCTGCCTCACTCCAGTTTCTACCTCCATCTCCACATGGCCTTCTCCTCTGTGTCTGTTCTCTTCTGTCTCTTTTCTCTCTCTTTTTTTAATTGGAGACAGAGGTTCACTCTTGTTGCCTAGGCTGGAGTGCAATGTCACGATTTTGGTTCACTGAAACCTCTGCCTCCTGGGTTCAGGCAATTCTCCTTCCTCAGCCTCTTGGTTTTCTGTAAGGACATTTGTCCATAGATTTAGGGCTTATCTAATCCAGGATAATATCATTTTGAGATACTTAAGCCATTTATATCTTATCTAAATAAGTTCACATAAGTTCCAGAGGTTAGGACATAGACACATCTTTGAGGGCCACCATTCCACCTGCTACACAAGGCTCTATTAATATCTCTGACCTACAATTCAGAATCTCTGAGAGAGAAGCCTGGGTGAGTACGAAGTGCAGCAAGAATATGATGAGGAAGTGGCCTCTTTAGTGCTGGAATTCATTTGTTCCTGAAGTAGTTTGGCAAAACTATACTGTGATCCATCACATATTTCTTATGATTTAACCCTCAATGGGGCAACCTATTTTGCTAATTTTTATCATATTGTGTGGTACCTCCCCCCAAGAAGACATTAGAACCTTGTGTGTTGTTGAAATTCTGCATGCTTCTGTTTTCAGATTTGTGGGAAAGAGGAAAATTATAGGATATTTATCTCATAAAGCCATTGTGAAAATAGAATATGAGATTCTTAGAACAAAGCCTGTCACATCACAAGTACTCAGTATATGTTGGTTGTTTCCATACTTATTGCTGTCATTTCTCCAGTAGTTTGAAGAGTGATGGTTTCCAAAGTATGTTCAAGTTAAGCACTACAACCACTCTTGGGAGAGTTGAATTCGGATGAAGCGTTCTTAGATATGACCACTATACTGGTGTGGGATTAGAGCATCGGTGTAGGTTCAGTCCTACACCATCCAACTTCAGCTGAAGCTTATGCATCCTAAGCCATGTAGCAGAACCAGAACTAGAAACCAAAACTAGAACAAACATGTGCGCTGTGCTGTGTTGTGCCTAACCATGGAGCTTTGGGAAAACATGGCCTATCAAACAAGGTTTTGAGTGGATGGGACACTTGGGAAAACATGCACAATTAAACTAGGCTTTGAGTGGATGAGGAGCCTTGGAAAAGCATGGCTGATCAACAAGGCTTTGGGTGGATGAAAAGACTTGGGAAACCATGGCTGATCGAACAAGGCTTTGAGTGGATTATGAGCCTTGGAAAAATATGGTCCATGAAACAAAGCTTTGGGTGGATGGGGAGCTTTGGGAAAACATATTCCATCACACAAGGCTTTGAGTGGATGAAGAGCCTTGGGAAAACATAGCCGACCAAACAAGACTTCAAGTGGATGAGACAAAGGCTTGAATTTATTTCCTGTTCTTTAATAGCTGTGTGAATGTAGATGTCCTCTACTTAAACTTCTGTTTCTTTGTGTATATCAAGTGGGGATGACACCACTCATTTTACCAGGCCATTGGGAAAACCACAGATATATCATAATTCATAGGACAAAACTTGAAAGTTCCATTAAAAAAAGAAGAAAAACACTGAAGCTGTGTCCACTCTCTGGTAGGACAGCATAAATTATCTGAGAGAAAAATGTACCCTTTTTTTGTTTTAGGAAACATTCTATGATGCTTCCTAATTATATAAACAGAAAAAACTTCAAGGACTACATAGTTGGAGTTTTCAGTCAAGGGGAATTACTATATGGTGTTGTCTACAGAAAGAAAGGAAGGGCTGAGGAGCCCAACTAGACAAGTAGGCACCTCAGAGAGTGAGTCACAGACTGATGATGTATCAATTGTGGCTGCAACACTGTGGCCCAAGACTGACACAGGAAATGCACTCACCTTCCATTTCTCCCACTTCTTCTCCAAAGTCCGATACCTGCCCCATTGCTGACTTCAGCAACAAGTCACCTGATAGGAGCTCTGCAGGGGACATTCTCCTTGCCATGCAGAGCTGAGGATATACAGGAAGTAGATCAGGAAAACGGGTGCCAGGAAATCTAGTATAAAAGCCAACAATTACTTACAATGCTTGATTGAAGACATTTGTCTAGTTTCTTTTTTTATCCTTTGGGGCATTTTTTAAAATATATATATATTTTATTATACTTTCAGTTCTAGGGTACATGTGCACAATGTGCAGGTTTGTTACATAAATATACATGTGCTATGTTGGTGTGCTGCACCCATTAACTCGTCATTTACATTGGGTATATCTCCTAATGTTATCCCTCCCCCCTCCCCCCACCCCACTACAGGCCCCGGTGTGTGATGTTCCCCTTCCTGTGTCCCAGTGTTCTCATTGTTCAATTCCCACCTATAAGTGAGAACATGCAGTGTTTGGTTTTTTTGTCCTTGTGATAGTTTGCTGAGAATGATGGTTTCCAGCTTCATCCATGTTCCTACAAAGGACATGAACTCAACATTTTTTATGGCTGCATACTACTCCATGGTGGTGCCACATTTTCTTAATCCAGCCTCTCATTGTTGGACATTTGGGTTGGTTCCAAGTCTTTGTTATTGTGAGCAGTGCCACAATAAACATACATGTGCATGTGTCTTTATAGCAGCATGATTTATATTCTTTGGGTATATACCTAGTAATTGGATGGCTGGGTCAAGTGCTATTTCTAGTTCTAAATCCTTGAGGAATCCCCACACTGTCTTCCACAATGGTTGAACCAGTTTACAGTCCCACCAATAGGGTAAAAGTGTTCCTATTCCTCCACATCCTCTCCAGCACCTGTTGTTTCTTGACTTTTTAATGATTGCCATACTAAATGGTGTGAGATGATATCTTACTGTGGTTTTGATTTGCATTTCTCCGATGGCCAGTGATGACCATTTTCTGATGTGTCTTTTGGCTGCATAAATGTCTTCTTTTAGAAGTGTCTGTTCACATTCTTCGCCCACTTTTTGATGGGGTTGTTTCTTTTTTTCTTCTAAATTTGTTAGAGTTCTTTGTAGATTCTGGATATTAGCTCTTTGTCAGATGAGTAGATTGAAAAAATTTTCTGCCACTGTGTAGGTTGCCTGGTCACTCTGATGGTAATTTCTTCTGCTGTGCAGAACCTCTTTAGTTTAGTTAGATCCCATTTGTCAATTCTGGCTTCTGTTGCCATTGCTTTTGGTGTCTTAGACATGAAGTCCTTGCCCATGCCTATGTCCTGAATGGTATTGCCTGGCTTTTCTTCTAGGGTTTTTATGGTTTTAGATCTAACATGTAAGTCTTTAATCCATCTTGAATTAATTTTTGTATGAGATGTAAGGAAGGGATCCAGTTTCAGCTTTCTACATATGGCTAGCCAATTTTCCCAGCACCATTTGTTAAATAGGGAATCCTTTCCCCGTTTCTTGTTTTTGTCAGGTTTGTCAAAGATCAGATAGTGGTAGATGTGTGGTATTATTTCTGAGGGCTCTGTTCTGTTCCATAGGTCTATATCTCTGTCTTGGTACCAGTACCATGCTGTTTCGGTTACTGTAGCCTTGTAGTATAGTTTGAAGTCAGGTAGTGTGATGCCTCCAGCTTTGTTCTTTTGGCTTAGGATTGACGTGCCAATGCGGGCTCTTTTTTAGTTCCATATGAACTTTGAAGTAGTTTTTTTCCAATTCTGTGAAGAAAGTCATTGGTAGCTTGATGGGGATGACATTGAGTCTATAAATTACCTTGGGCAGTATGGCCATTTTCCTGATATTGATTCTTCCTACCCGTGAGCATGGAAAGTTCTTCCACTTGTTTGTGTCCTCTTTCATTTCATTGAGCAGTGGTTTGTAGTTCTCCTTGAAGAAGTCCTTCACATCCCTTGTAAGTTGGATTCCTACATATTTTATTCTCTTTGAAGCAGTTGTGAATGGGAGTTCACTCATGATTTGGCTGTCTCTCTGTTATTGGTGTATAAGAATGCTTGTGATTTTTGCACATTAATTTTGTATCCTGAGACTCTGCTGAAATTGCTTATCAGCTTAAGGAGATTTTGGGCTGAGATGATGGGGTTTTCCAGAAATACAATCATGTAATCTGCAAATAGGGACAATTTGACTACCTTTTTTCCTAAGTGAATACCCTCTATTTCTTTCTCCTGCCTGATTGCTCTGGCCAGAAATTCCAACACTATGTTGAACAAAAGTGGTGAGAGTGGGCATCCCTGTTTTGTGCCAGTTTTCCAAGGCAATGCTTCCAGTTTTTGCGCATTCAGTATGATATTGGCTATGGGTTTGTCATAAATAGCTCTATTATTTTGAGATACGTCCCATCAATACCTAATTTATTGAGAGTTTTTGCATGAAGGGCTGCTGAATTTTGTCAAAGGCCTTTTCTGCACCTATTGAGATAATCATGTGGTTTTTGTCTTTGGCTGTGTTTATATGCTGGATTACATTTATTAAGTTGTGTATATTGTACCAGCCTTGCATCCCAGGGATGAAGCCCACTTGATCATGGTGGATAAGCTTTTTGATGTACTGCTGGATTCGGTTTGCCAGTATTTTATTGAGGATTTTTGCATCAATGTTCATCAAGGATATTGGTCTAAAATTCTCTTTTTTAGTTGTGTCTCTGCCAGGCTTTGGTATCAGGATGATGCTGGCCTCATCAAATGAGTTAGGGAGGATTCCCTCTTTTTCTATTGATTGGAATAGTTTCAGAAGGAATGGTAGCAGTTCCTCCTTGTACCTCTGGTAGAATTCGGCCATGGATCCATCTGGTCGTGTACTTTTTTTTGTTGGTAAGCTATTAATTATTGCCTAAATTTCAGAGCCTTTTATTGGTCTATTCAGAGATTCAACTTCTTCCTGGTTTAGACTTTGGAGGGTGTATGTGTCGAGTAATTTATCCATTTCTTCTAGATTTTCTAGTTTATTTTCATTGAGGTGTTTATATTATTCTCTGATGGTAGTTTGTAT
The DNA here is from genome assembly GCF_000001405.40 of Homo sapiens. NCBI lineage: Eukaryota > Metazoa > Chordata > Mammalia > Primates > Hominidae > Homo > Homo sapiens. Next base: position 12,010,201 of record NC_000024.10, read on the forward strand.
TTCTGTGGGATCGGTGGTGATATCCCCTTTATCATTTTTTATTGGGTCTATTAGATTCTTTTCTCTTTTCTTCCTTTTTAGTCTTGCTAGTGGTCTATCAATTTTGTTGATCTTTTCAAAAAACTAGCACCTGGATTCATTGATTTTTTGAAGGGGTTTTGTGTCTCTATCTCCTTCAGTTCTGCTCTGATCTTAGTTATTTCTTGCCTTCTGCTAGCTTTTGAATGTGTTTGGTCTTGCTTTTCTAGTTCTTTTAATTGTGATATTAGGGTGTCAATTTTGGGTCTTTCGTGCTTTCTCTTGTGGGCATTTAGTGCTAGAAATTTCCCTCTACACACTGCTTTGAATGAGTCCCAGAGATTCTGGTATGTTGTGTCTTTGTTCTAGCTGGTTTCAAAGAACATCTTTATTTCTGGTTTTATATCCTTATGTATCCAATAGTCATTCAGGAGCAGGTTGTTCAGTTTCCACGTATTTGAGTGTTTTTCAGTGGGTTTCCTAATCCTGAGGTCTAATTTGATTGCACTGTGGTCTGAGAGACCACTTGTTATAATTTCTGTTCTTTTGTATTTGCTGAGGAGTGCTGTACTTCCAACTACGTTGTCAATTTTGGAATAGGTGCAGCATGGTGCTGAGAAGAATGTATATTCTGTTGATTTGGGGTGGAGATTTCTGTAGATGTCTATTAGGTCCACTGGGTGCAGAGCTGAATTTACTTCCTGGATATCCTTGTTACCTTTCTCTTTCATTGATCTGTCTATTGTTGACAGTGGAGTGTTAAAGTCTCCCATTATTATTGTGTGGGAGTCTAAGTCTCTTTTTCAGTTCACTAAGGACTTGCTTTATGAATCTGGGTGCTCCTGTATTGGGTGCATATATATTTAGGATAGTTAGCTCTTCTTGTTGAATTGATCCCTTTATCATTATGTAATGGCCTGCTTTGTCTCTTTTGATCTTTGTTGATTTAAAGTCCGTTTTATCAGAGACTAGCATTGCAAGCTATGCCTTTTTTTGTTTTCCATTTTCTTGGTAGATCTTCCTCCATCCCTTTATTTTGAGCCTATGTGTGTCTCTGCACGTGAGATGGGTTTCCTGAATACAACACAATGATTGGTCTTGACTCTTTATCCAATTTGCCAGTCTGTGTCTTTTAATTGGAACATTTAGCCCATTTTCATTTAACGTTAATATTGTTATGTGTGAATTTGATCCTGTCATTATGATGTTAGCTGGTTATTTTGCTCAGTAGTTGATGCAGTTTCTTCCTAGCATCAATGGTGTTTACAATCAGCCATTTTTCTGCCATGGCTGGTACTGATTTTTCCTTTCCATGTTTAGTGCTTCGTTCAGCAGCTCTTTTAGGGCAGGCCTGGTTGTGACAGAATCTCTCAGCATTTGCTTGCCTGTACAGGATTTTATTTCTCCTTCACTTATGAAGCTTAGTTTGGCTGGATATGAAATTCTAGTTTGAAAATTCTTTTCTTTAAGAATGTTGTTTTTCTCAGGTTTGTCAAAGATCAGATAGTTGTAGATATGTGGCTTTATTTCTGAGGACTCTGTCCTGTTCCATTGATCTATATCTCTGTTTTCGTACCAGTACCATGCTGTTTTGGTTACTGTAACCTTGTAGTATAGTTTCAAGTCAGGTAGTGTGATGCCTCCAGCTTTGTTTTTTGGCTTAGGGTTGGCTTGGCGGTGTGGGCTCTTTTTTGGTTCTATATGAACTTTAAAGTAGTTTTCTCCAATTCTGTGAAGAAAGTCATTGGTAGCTTGATGGGAATGGCATTGAATCTGTAAATTACCTTGGGCAGTATGGCCATTTTCACGATATTAATTCTTCCTACCCATGAGCATGGAATATTCTTCCAATTGTTTGTATCCTCTTTTATTTCCTTGAGCAGTGGTTTGTAGTTCTCCTTGAAGAGGACATTCACATCCCTTGTAAGTTGGATTCCTAGGTATTTTATTCTCTTTGAAGCAACTGTGAATGGGAGTTCACTCATGATTAGGCTCTCTGTTTGTTTGTCTGTCATTGGTGTATGAGAATGTTTGTGATCTTTGTACATTGATTTTGTATCCTGAGACTTTGCTGAAGTTTCTTATCAGCTTATCTTTGACAAAACTGAGAAAAACAAGCAATGGGGAAAGGATTCCCTATTTAATACATGGTGCTGGGAAAACTGGCTAGCCATATGTAGAAAGCTGAAACTGGATCCCTTCCTTACACCTTATACAAAAATCAATTCAAGATGGATTAAGGACTTAAACGTTAGACCTAAAGCCATCAAAACCCTAGAAGGAAACCTAGGCAATACCATTCAGGACATAGGCATGGGCAAGGACTTCATGTCTAAAACACCAAAAGCAATGGCAACAAAAGACAAAATTGACAAATGGGATCTAATTAAACTAAATAGCTTCTGTGCAGCAAAAGAAACTACCATCAGAGTGAACAGGCAACCTACAAAATGGGAGAAAATTTTCGCAACCTACTCATCTGACAAAGGGCTAATATCCAGAATATACAATGAACTCAAACCAATTTACAAGAAAAAAAACAACAACGCTATCAAAAAGTGGGCAAAGGACATGAACAGACACCTCTCAAAAGAAGACATTTATGCAGCCAAAAAACACATGAAAAAATGCTCACCATCACTAGCCATCAGAGAAATGCAAATCAAAACCACAATGAGATACCCTCTCACACCAGTTAGAATGGCTATCATTCAAAAGTCAGGAAACAACAAGTGCTGGAGAGGATGTGGAGAAATGGGAACACTTTTACACTGTTGGTGGGACTGTAAAGTAGTTCAACCATTGTGGAAGTCAGTGTGGCGATTCCTCAGGGATCTAGAACTAGTAATACCATTTGACCCAGTCATCCCATTACTGGGTATATACCCAAAGGACTGTAAATCATGCTGCTTTAAAGTCACATGCACACATATGTTTATTGCGGCATTATTCACAATAGCAAAGACTTGGAACCAACCCAAATGTCCAACAATGATAGACTGGATTAAGAAAATGTGGCACATATACACCATGGAATACTATGCAGCCATAAAAAATGATGAGTTCATGTCCTTTGTAGGGACATGGATGAAATTGGAAATCATCATTCTCAGTAAACTATGGCAAGAACAGACAACCAAACACCACATATTCTCACTCATAGGTGGGAATTGAACAATGAGAACACATGGATACAGGAAGGGGAACATCACACTCTGGTGACTGTTGTGGGGTGGGGGGAGGGGGAGGATAGCATTTGGAGATATGCCTAATGCTAGATGACGAGTTAGTGTGTCCAGCACACCAGCATGGCACATGTATACATATGTAACTAACCTGCACATTGTGCACATGTACCCTAAAACTTTAAGTATAATAATAAATAAATAAAAAGATTAAAAAAAAGAGAATGTTGAATATTAGCCCCCACTCTCTTCTGTCTTGCAGAGATTCTGCTGACAGATCAGCTTTTAGTCTGATGGGCTTCCCTTTGTGGGCAACCCGACCTTTCTCTCTGGCTGCCCTTAACATTTTTTCTTTCATTTCAGCTTTGGTGAATCTGACAATTATGTGTCTTGGAGTTGCTCTTCTCGAGGAGTATCTTTGTGGCACTCTCTGTATTTCCCAAATGTGAATGTTGGCCTGCCTTGCTAGATTGGGGAAGTTCTCCTGGGTGATATCCTGCAGAGTGTTTTCCAACTTGGTTCCATTCTCCCTGTCACTTTCAGTTACACCAATTAGACATAGATTTGTTCTTTCACGTAGCCCCATATTTCTTGGAGTCTTTTTCATTTATTTAATTCTTTTTTCTCTAAACTTCTCTTCTCACTTCATTTCATTCATTTGATCTTCAATCACTGATACCCTTTCTTCCAGTTGACTGAAACAGGTACTGAAGCTTGTGCATTCATCATGTAATTCTGGTCCCGTGGTTTTCAGCTCCATCAGGTTCTTTAAGGACTTCTCTGCATTGGTTATTCTAGTTAGCCATTTGTCTAATCTTTTTTTTTTCTTTTTTATTATTATTATACGTTAAGTTTTAGGGTACATGTGCACAATGTGCAGGTTAGTTACATATGTATACATGTGCCATGCTGGTGTGCTGCACCCATTAACTCGTCATTTAGCATTAGATATATCTCCTAATGCTATCCCTCCCCGCTCCCCCCACCCCACAACAGCCCCCATAGTGTGATGTTTCCCTCCTGTGTCCATGTGTTCTCATTGTTCAATTCCCATCTATGAATGAGAACATGTGGTGTTTGGTTTTTTGTCCTTGCGATATTTTACTGAGAATGATGATGTCTAATCTTTTTTCAAGGTTGTTAACTTCTTTGCAATGGGTTCGAACTTCCTCCTTTAGCTTCGAGAAGTTTGATGATCTGACGTCTTCTTCTCTCAACTCATCAGAGTCATTCTCCATCCAGCTTTGTTCCATTGCTGGTGAGGAGCTGCGTTCCTTTGGAGGAGGAGAGGTGCTCTTGATTTGTAGAATTTTCAGTTTTTCTGTTCTATTTCTTCCCCATGTTTGTGGTTTTATCTACCTTTAGTCTTTGGTGATGGTGACGTACAGATGGGGTTTTGGTGTGGATGTCCTTTCTGTTTGTTAGTTTTCCTTCTAACAGTCAGGGCCCTCAGCTGCAGGTCTGTTACAGTTTGCTGGAGGTCCACTCCACACCCTGTTTACCTGGGTATCAGCAGAGTAGGCTGCAGAACAGGGAATATTGCTGAACAGCAAATGTTACTATCTGATCATTCCTCTGGAGGATTTGTCTCAGAGGCGTACACAGACGTGTGAGATGTCAGTCTACCACTACTTGGGAATGCTTCCCCCATAGGCTACTGGGGGGTCAGGGACCCATTTGAGGAGGCAGTTTGTCCATTCTCAGATCTCAAACTCTATGCTGGGAGAGCCTCTAATCTCTTCAAAGCTGTCAAACAGGGACATTTAAGTCTGCAGAGGTTTCTGCTGCCTTTTGTTTGGCTATGCCCTGCCCCCAGAGGTGGAGTCTACAGAAGCAGGCAGGCCTCCTTGAGCTGCAGTGGGCTCCACCCAGTTTGAGCTTCCTGGCCACTTTGCTTACTTACTCAAGCCTCAGCTATGGTGGGCACTCCTCCCCCAGCCTCAGTGCCACCTTGCTGTTTGATCTCAGACTGCTGTGCTAGCAATGAGCAAGGTTCTGTGTATGTGAGCCCCTCTGAGCCATGCTTGGGATATAATCTCCTGGTGTGCCTTTTGCTAAGACCATTCGAAAAGTGCAGTACTAGGGTGGGAGTGACCTGATTTTCCACGTACTGTCTGTCACAGCTTTGCTTGGCTATGAAAGGGAATTCCCTGACCTCTTGCACTTTCTGGGTGAGGCGATATTTCACCCTGCTTTGGTTCACCCTTGGTGTGCTGCACCCACTGTCCTGCACCCACTGACAGACAAGCCCCAGTGAGATGAACACAGTACCTCAGTTGGAAATGCAGAAATCACCTATCTTCTCTGTCACTCACGCTGGGAGCTACAGACTGGAGCTGTTCCTATTCAGCCATGTTGGAACCACACCATCTAGTTTCTTCAATGCTGTGCGTATATTGACCTAGCCAGTGCCTGATCATGGGTAGATACTAAAAAAAGTATTGGGTGGCTATAATAAAGGTATGTCAATTTTCTCTTGGGCTGGGAGATGACTCTGAAGTGACTTCATTTTGTCTTCTTCTGGGGAAGGGCTTGGGTTCTGAGCTTCATGGCAGTAATAAGGATTACATGGACTACTATATTTAAAATTCCTTCTAAACTTTTTCCCATTTCTGCTCAATTTTCATTCTCCAATATTTGCAAAACTTAAAGTTCCATGACACAAAGCAACCTTGGGTTGGTGGTGTGTTGGGGCATGAAGAAAGATCTGCTTTCTCTTCTGTTGATGAAGACTTTGAAAGGGAAGAACAACAACCTTAGTAAACATAATAGAAAGATCTGAGAGATTATCAAAATCCAGATGAAGAAGGTAAACAGTGCCTGTGGACCATTTGAAGTACTGGGAAGGACCGTAAATCTGCTTGACACTCAACTTGACTCAGAGTATGCAGTCATTTAGTTAAGGGTAGTCCCTGGAAGGCTGGAAAAACTGGAAATCCTTAGATTGGAGTATAAAACCTTTATTTCATGTCTTCCACATAAAGGGGTCTCATAAATAAGGATGCTCCTTTCCCACTGTAATTTTTTCTTTGATTCCAGGAAAGCATCCACTGCCATTTAACCCAATATTATGCTTATCTGCTGGATATCTTCAGGGATACATGTTTTTAGGTTTTTGTGATACTCATAGAATGCCATAAGGATAAGAAATGATTCCTGCCATTATTCTGTCTCCCTTCCCACCTGAAACCCACTCAAATGAACTATGGTATGGTAAGAAAAGCAAGGGTTATCTTCATATGGGCTTTTCACAGTATCCCAATTCTGTGCGCATGTGGGCAAACGAGTAGAAACATATGCAAATATCCATGGTATTGTCTAAGCTTTTTATGACCAAGTGATTTTTGAGAACAATGTGGAAATTCTATGTATTCCTTTACCCTTTATATCTGTTGTATGGTACTGTCACTGTTTATTTTCTTTATACTCCAATGTCTTTTTTCTTCCCCTCCTTTTACTTACCCAATTTTCTTCTTTTTCTATCTTCAAACCATTCTTTTCTCTCTTCACTCATGAATCCCTCTATCTTCAACTATAACTTTTATATATTGAAGGATTTTAGTTATGTTTCTAACTTTTTCCTGAGTTCTGTTTCTGCTTGATTTTCTGCAACTTGCTGCCTCTCTCTCTCTCTATTCACTATCATCTTCCACTGTGTTCCAAACTGCATTCACCATCTGACACAAATTAGATCATGTTCCCAATGAGCTGCTTTCTCAGATAAGGAGGAAATTAAACAGATTCACTCATGACCATATAAAATGTTTAGACCAGTGAAATTAAGCAGACATGATGTAAATTTTATCCAAGCAGAAGACTCAAGACATTCTTTAACCCTGTACCTCCGGCTGTCCACCATGAGGACAGCATGAAATGCTTCTTTGGCTTCCAAATAGGAATCCAGCACGGCTGAACCCAGCAGAGCCCAACTGAGCTGTAGTTGACCTGTAGCCATCTTTTCACACAGGCACATTTATTGTTGAATTGGAGCTATTTGTTACTGAAGCAGAAGCTGAAATATACACCATCTTTCTTCCAAATTTAGCTTTTCCTTCTTTGATATTTCTGTTAATGCCACCACGTCTTTCAGTTCATAAACCTAAACTTTTTTGTGACATTTACTCTCTCTTGCTTTCCTTTCAATCACTCACCAAGATATTTTGAGATGCCTTTGTAACATTGACTTTATCCTTCTATTTTTCCCTATTACTTGTCTATCACTGCCCTGGTGCTGATACCAAATTTGAGATCTCACTTGGATTATTGCTGATTTTGTCTACTAAACTCTTCACCTTAATGCATTCAACACACAATACCACTAAGCTAGTCTTCTGCTGTAGAATTCCAGCTATGCTACTTCAGTGAAAAATCCTCAGATTGGATCTTCAAATTTACACAATTAACTCCACACTTTGGATTAGTAATCAAGGGCTTTGACTACTTTTCAAGTCTTCCATTTCATTTTTTACTCCATGTTTTAACACAAGGATTCTTATTGTCAACCAACAATTTGCAACCCTCTATCAAAGACTTTTCTCACCATCACTATCATCTTCATCATCATCACAACCATCACCATCATCACCATCATCATTGATATCATCATCATCATCCTGTTTATCAACTGCAAGGTCACTCCTCTTACTCCTCTCTCCCTTTCACCACCACACTTTCAGGCCATGCAGGCTTAGATGGACATCAGTCGAGGTAAAATTTTGCAAAAGCTTCCCTTTGGAAATAAAGCTTTGCCTCTTTGAAAATCATAGAGCTTGTAAAAGATTTCTTTGTGTTTCTTGCTGTCACCTTGCTCACAGAATTCAGTCAACATTTACTGATATGTAGCATGAGATAAGCACTGAGTGAGACAGTGTAATGAAAAGTGAATTGCATGGGATTCCTATATCCCAGTGAACTTACAATACATATACAGACATTAATTGTAACATGATAAGAAAAGCATCAGAGGATGTATGTACAAGGGATAAAAGTTATGAAAACAATTAGAAGAGAATTATCAGTTGTTGAAAAATATTTAAAAAATGGTACTTGTTTGTTTATTTTCTTTTTTTGAAAGTTTATTTTATTAATATATTTTTTAGAAATTGGGTATGGGGAGAGTATCCCAGGATCAGTGAGCAGCTATGTGTATAACTCTCAGATGCATCATTTTCTATCTCCTGTCTTCATTCCTTCTCACATTTATGGCCTTTGACTTTTCTCTGATGGTGATTTAAAAGTTAATGTTCCCTGTTATATTACTTTCCCCTACATTCCTGACTTACTCCCTCTAGAGTTCTCAAAAACTGCCTTTGCTCATTATATAGGTCACCCAAATGACTCAGGCCCTCCCTCTGGGAGGTTGCCCTTCTCTGAAACATCCCAGTAGAACGATTTAGGTACTCTCCCAAAGATTATAGAAAGCCCAAAGCTACTTCCTATTGTGAGGTGCTTCAGTGGGAGAAAGGTGAATAATTGTTATCATAGCCACTGGGTTGCAATGTGCCTCTTCTTGTTTCAATCTCCAGCTTCTGGCAAAATTCTCCATCAACTCTACCTGCCGAAGTATGACCTTGGAAGCCTTCTGTCTCAAAGATTGGCTAAATTTGTCCCAATCTCAAATTCATCTTCTCTCCTTCATCTTCCAAATTCAATACTGATGATAATAATTGGTATCTATCTAGAGTCTTGACAGCCTTGGCCAGTTTCCATATATTACTTATTTGATTATCACAACCACCCTGCAAAGTTAGTGCCAATACCACTGCTCCCATTTTACATAGTAGGAAGTTGAGGCACAGTGAGTTTGAACAGCTTGCCTTTGGTCATTCAGTTCTAAGATGGCAGAATTACTATTCCATCTTCTTACCTTCCTAATGAGAACTTTAGAAAGTCTGTGCTTTATATTCATGTTCCTCTTCTATCGTATGAGAACTTCAAAATCTAGGAAATTCCTGCTCTACTTTGCATTATCTTAACCTCTGTACAACCTCATCACGTGAACATGGAACAGAACATAATGAAAGTCAATATCATACAGGATGGGGCATATGAGGACAATAAAACTTCAAATATCACCACTCCTTAAGGCAATGGAAATGTCAAACCCTGATAAATCTCTTCACCAGTGGTTCTTAATTTTGGATGCACTTTGAAATCATTGAAGGGTTTAAGAAATTTGATGTCGATAACATCTCTCTCTTCCCATTACCCCACTGTTAGGAATTCAAATTCAATTAGTTTAGGGAATGTTTGGGGTGTTGGTATTTGTGCAAGCTCCCTGTGATTCTAATAATCAGCCAAGATTGAGAACTTCTGTTCTAGCTTGCATCTCTGTAGACTTCACTCTACTTCCTTACTTTCATTCTAAGAACTTTAGATCCAATCTTGCTTGAAGCTCCAACCTTTTATTCCTTCAGCTGTTAGCTGTCAACTCTGATTTCCAATCACTATGCTGAGCTGAGCCATCAACATCCTTACTTTGCCTGAACCTCTTCCATGCACACCAGCATGGGTCATATGCCACCCTTTGCAAAGTCAAAAAGGCTCATTGACATTTTAGTTTACTTGCCCAAAAGAACAATTTTCTTTCTAAATGGAATTATTTGCCACCTTAGTGCACTGGTTTAAATGGTATTTTTCCTTCTAAAGTGAAACTAGCCTGAGAATATATGTCATTTCAGCCATTTGAAAAATAGTTATTAGTCTGGGATAAGTAGATAGAATATATAGTATATAATAAAAACATATAAATATAAAATGTAAGTATAAAGTTATACACATGTGTATGAGTGTGTGTGTGTATGAATAGATTCAAGATTGAGGGACTCATTTTTGAGACTACTATTAAATCCATTGTAAAATAACCTGCTAAATCCTTTATTACACCAACACCGAAATCTCACACTGTACTTACTACTGCCTATTTTAGTGCACACCATAAAAATAGCATACCTGGCACCTTTAGCATTCATTAAACCCAGTTAAAGGATTTCATCTGAGCACGCATGTCATCTGTTTATAAAAAGCTTCCTAGGTGTAAAAGGGAATACCACACTCCTGAATATTATCCAACTTGTCGGACACATCTTAATGTAGCCTGAATTATTCACTCTTATTTTAAAAGTCTTTTTCTATTTCTCTTTGGAAGTTATGAAATAACAGATGCAGAAATGAAGAGATGGGATTCCAAGTGGAGAGATGGATAACCCAAACAGTCACATGTAGGAGGGAAAACATAATTTGGGGGACATTTTCAAGCACAAATAATAAATTAAAAAGAAATCTTAGTTTTTTGTTTGACACATTCCTCCCTTTTGAGTGCACAAGAAAACATGCGTTAAAGAAGCAGTTTGCCATAATGTAGCCTGGACCTACATCTGACTCCCAGTTATTGAATTGCCCATTTACTTGACCTGCAACATCAATGGCAATGCAACTGCTCTGAGGCAGAGGTGGCTACCTGTCCACCAAGCACCATGCACTGCCTGCCATATTGAATGTAAATCCTGAGGTAAAGACTACATTTCCCATGCTTCCTTGCACTGAGGTGGCATCTTGTGATGAATTCCCACCAATTAAGTGATATGATAAATTCCTGCCAGTGGAGTGTTGTGATGAATTCCCACAAATGCTGTGTGTTCTTTCCAGGCTCAGGAGTAAATAAGCAAGGATGGTTTTCTACCTCTTTGTTCTAATTACCCATTCAGTAAAAATTACAAGGCACTAGGGGATAGGAAGGACAAGGTGGGAAGAACTTGAGTTCTTGAATGAATTCAGAGCACCTTCAAAGGTTGTCCACAGAGGCGCTGTATTATCCTACTATACCTTATCTTCTTATCCTCACTGCTGCCATACCTGTTGAGAAACACTCCTGCCCTTGACATCAGAAAGCAATACTTATCAAAGTATGCTTCTGCTAGACTGAGGTTTATTTTACCCATGGTATATTTCCACAAAGCCACAAATGTTTTCATATTTAAATGAAATAATATTTGTGAAAGGCTCCTCTAGAAATGATATATAAATACTATCTATTATTGTTATATATGTGTGTATGTGTGTATTTTTTTGTCTTTTTTTTGAGATGGAGTCTCCTGTCACCCAGGCTGGGTGCAGTGGTGCAATCTCGACTCACCACAACCTCCACCTCCCAGGTTCAAGCAATTCTCCTGCCTCACTCAGCCTCCTGAGTAGCTGGGATTACAGGCATGCACTACCATGACTGGCTATTTTTTTTTTTTTGTATTTTTAGTAGAGATGGGGTTTCACCATATAGGCTACGGTGGTCTCAACCTCCTGACCTTGTGATTTGCCTGCCTCAGCCTTCCAAAGTGCTGGAATTACAGGCGTGAGCCACCATGCCCAGCCATTATTATTATTATTTCTTGGATGCAATGATGTTAATAGCATAACTCCAATTTACACAATGAATTGTAATTTTTTAAAAGCATTCCCTTATACTGCCATTTAAAGTGTATAACAATACTGTAGGCTGAACATTATTTCTTTATTCCAGATTAGAGGACTAGGATTCATGGGATTATGCATCAACTTAAGTTCTGCCCACAAGTAAGTGATAGAGAAATGTCATCTGCAGCCCAGACAAGTGTCCCTGTTACAATTTAGTTGGATTACTAATCAGAGCATAGATTACAATTTTTTACAAGTCCCTATTCACAATCTTAAGACTCTTAGCCCTCTTTATCATTTAAGAGATTTCTAAATAAGTATATTTTATATTTTAAAAAAGTAATAAAAGAGATTGGAGAATAGTGAAGCACTGTGAGTGGAATTTAGCTTCAACTTTCTGTTATGAAAAAGAAATATGGACATGTGGATTTTGGAAGAATGAAAGCAAAGCTATTTTTCACTGATGTTCAGCAACATGAGTTTTAAGACAATAAGAAAAAACAAGCCAAAAAAAAAAAAAAAACTAAGAGTTTCCACATATAACAGGAGACTCACACAGTCTTTTTTCATTATTTTATGTTATATAAGCTTTTGTGAAATATGTCAACATAATGCAATCTTACATTTTCTGGGCCTAGCTGAAGGGTTGAAGTTTTTAGTTTTTTCCTCAAGATTTGGCTTTGAATCATTATAAAAATAGCTTACGTGTATAAACATTTTCTATCTTACTTTCTGGATGATGGAAGGAGGCTGAGTTTCATTTTAAGTAAGTATTTAAAGGAAGAGATAAAAAATGATTTTCAGATGACTGTATTAAAACCCACTGCAGTTTTATTTTTTATTGTTGATTCTGGAAAGGTGAGACTTTTATTAGGCCAGGATTTAAACTAATAGAAAAAAAAAAAACCACTGATATTTTTCTACAGAAAATACTGCCTTTAATACATTCTCAGAGAAAGATAATCTGTCTTGATGTCCCCCTTGCTGAAGCAAGAGCAGACACAAAACCTACCGTGGATCCAGGTGGCTGGAGGACAAGTGGGAGCAGGAGAAGGAGAGGAGGAAGAGGAAGAAAGGAAGAGGAAGAGTAGGAGAAGGAGAAGGAGAAGAAGGAGGAGGAGGAGAGGAGGAGGAAGAGAAGGAAAGGGCAGAGGAAAGGGAAGAGGAGAGGGAGGAGACAAGAAGATTATACTCCTTTGTAGTTATCAAATTAGAAGTTGTTAAAATGATAGCAATTCTTGGGAAACATGGAGGTAAAATATGCACTCTCATAGGCTGGCACAGTGACAATATAAATGGAAAAAACCTCTTTTTTTGTTTTGTTTTGTTTTTTTGAGACAAGAGTCTCACTCTGTTGCCAGGCTGGAGTGCAATGGTGCGATCTCGGCTCACTGCAACCTCCGCCTCCTAGTTTCAAGTGATTCTCCTGCCTCAGCCTCCCACGTAGCTGAGATTACAGGCACCCGCCACTATGCCCAGCTAATTTTTGCATTTTAGTAGAGATGGGATTTCATTATGTTGGTCAGGCTAGTCTCAAGTTCCTGACCTCAGGTGATCAGACCACCTCAGCCTTCCAAAGTGCTGGGATTACAGGTGTGAGCCACTGTGCCCAGTGAAAAAAACTCTTTGAAGGGCACTTAGGAAGGAGAATTGGCCCCTGCTTGGAGAGGAAAAACAAGTTTCCAGCATTTTCACATGCATAGCTGGAACTAGCTTCTATCTTTGTGAAAAGCCTTTATTTCATAGTGTAACTGTTATAAATAATAAGACATAGAAATATATTAGAATGTAATATTCTACATAATGTAATATATATTGGAATAGAAAAGAATGAATAAATAAAAGTTATTTGCAATATCATTTATCAAAGATAAATATTCTGAACATGCCCAGATTTTGGTTAGTGTGTATGCACACTATGTAATTGCAGTTTGGATTATAAATCAGATCATGTGGTTTAAAGTTCACCTCCGCCCCCAAAACCCCAATATGTCCTTTGCATAGCTCAACATCAGTCAGCCTCATCCTAGGGATGTATGGATGTGTCACTAAGTATTTAATCCTATCTTGGGGGACTTCTAGACTGTTTCACAACTTTGCCCACCTCTGCAAAGAATTCCCAGAGTCTCTGAAATTCCGAGATATGGAATGGCCACAGTGAAGTGTATGAGCATGTTTAAGGCTCTTGCAAAACATTTCCAAAATGCCTTTCAAAGAGCTTTTTCCAGTTTATATTGTCACCATGCCAGCCAGCCTATGAGAGTCCACATTTTATTTCCATATTTCTCAGATGAATTACTATCATTTTAACAACTCGCATTTTGATAACCACAAAGCAGTATGCTCTTCTTCTCTCCTCCCTCTCCTCTTCTCTTTCCTCTTCACTCTCCTCATTCTCTTCCTCCTTTCTCCTCCTCCTCCTCCTCTTCTTGCAGGAGCACAGATAATCACTTAAAAAGAGATCTTGGTTATTTTTTGTTTGGGTGTTGGTATTTGTGCAAACTCCCTGGAGATTCTAACGTTCAGCCAAGATTGAGTACTGCTGTTCTATCTTGTGTCTTTGTAGACTTCACTCTACCTCCTTACTTTTATTATAAGATGAAATCTTAGATAGAATCTTTAGATGCAATCTTACACCAAACTCTCATTCCCACAAATGGGAGGAGTAAACCTCCAAATTCCAATCACTATACTGAGTTGAGCCATCAACATCCCTACTTTGCCTCAACTTATTTTATGCTCACCAGCACTGAGACACACTCTACTTTTTGCAAAGTCGCTTGTGTCAATGACCTCCTATTCCTCTTCCTCTTCATCCTTCTTTCTTCTTCCTTCTTCTTTCCTTCTCCCCCTCCTCTTTTTACTCCTCCTCCTCACCCCCTTCTTCTTTGCCAAACTACCTAATTTGGCCATCTCTTGGAAGACTTTCATTTCTTGGTTTGTCCTTACATTTCCTTTTTAAAAATTTTAACTGACATAGTATAATGTATGGAGTACATAGTGATGTTTTGATACATATGATGTATACTGATCAGATTACAGTAATTATCGTGTTCATCATCTCAAACATATGTCATTTCTTTGTGTGGGGAACATTCAGTTCCCACTTTCTAACTATAGGAAACTATATATTTTTATTACTATAGTCATTCTACAGGGATATAGAACACTAGAACTTATTCTTTCTGTCTAGCTGTAATTTTGTATCATTTATCTACTGAGCTGCTCAGGCTTAGTTTGCTGAGTAGTAAGAATTAATCTACATAGCAAGCCTTAAATATAGCAAATACATAAAAAGGCATTAATATTGTTCTAAATATAACAAATATTTTGTTCACAGTTGTCGTTTATTCTATTTTGTTTATGAAACTGCATTTTTGGAATGCACAGTAGTGTTAAATTGTTTAAGCAAACTATCACAAGGACAGAAAACCAAACACCACATGTTCTCACTCATAAGTGGAAATTGAACAATGAGAACACTTAGTCACAGGAAGAGGAACATCACACACCAGAGCCTGTCATGGGGTCGGGGGAGCAGGGAGGGATAGCATTAGGAGAAATGCCTAACGTAAATGATGAGTTAATGGGTGCAGCACACCAAAGTGGCACATGTATGCATATGTAACAAACCTGCATGTTGTGCACATGTACCCTAGAACTTAAAGTATAATAATAATAAAAAAAATTGTTTGTGGCTGTTATCTTTTATTTTTCCTTTGTTATTCACTCTTCTTTGTATTTAGAAAGTCACTCTTCTTTCTGATATGAGATATTGCCCAGATGTCTTTTATAATATTTTTCATTTTTAATTATCAGAATTTGGCCAGGAGCAGTGGCTCACACCTGTAATCCTAGCAGTTGAGGAGGCTAAGCTGGAAGGATTGCTTGAGGCCAAGAATTTAGACCAGTCTGGACAATACAGTGAAACCATCTCTACCATTTTTTTTAATTAGGTGGATGTGTTGGCATATGCCTGTAGTCCCCCCTACTTGGCAAACAGAGGTAGGAGGATTGCTTGAACCCAGAAGTTGGGGGATGCATTGAGTTATGATTGTGCTACTGCACTCTAATATGGGGGATAAAGCAAGACCTTGTTTCTAAAAATATATAATACATATAAGTATATATATATATATAATATATATTATGTATACGTATATGAACTTAAAGCATTAGGAACTCACTTGAGTATATGGTGTGAAACCAAGATCTAACTTTGTTTTACCTGAATATTAAACCACTTATTCTAATATCATGTATTAGTCTGTTTTCATGCTGCTATGAAGAAATACCCGAGACTGGATAATTTATAAAAAAAGAGGTTTCATTGACTCACAGTTCCACATGGCTGGAGAGGCCTCAGGAAAATTATAATCATAGAGGAAGGCACCTCTTCACAGGGTGGGAGGAGAGAATGAGAGCTGAACAAAGGGGGAAAAACTCCTTATAAGACCAGGACCCACAATGATTCAATTATCTCCCACCGGGTCCCTACCATGACATGTGGGGATTACGGGAACTGCAATTAAAGATAAGATTTGGGTTGAAGCATAGCCAAACCGTCTTGTACCATGTGTTAAGTAATTTATTATTTCCTCAGTGACCACATATGTCACTCACATTAAACATCCATGTGAGTTTCTGTTCTCTGTTTTATTTTAGGGTGTCTTAACAATATATTTTAATATGATAACCCATGCTTTCTTATATTTTCCATATTGTTATATGTATTCATACTAATTTTTGCCTTTAGATAAATTTCATTTACTAAATGTTTATCACCAAAAGTCATTGAGATTTTAATTGAATTTCTTTTAAAAGATAAATCAAACTTTTAGTATGTATTCTTTATAATATTGTGTTTCATCATGGAAGGTCATATATATTTCCAGGTTTTCAGCATCTTTGTAGAAGCCTTGAACACTTTTGCTAAACTTTCTTGGGAAGCTCTTGTTTATTTGCATCATTTTGAGCTGAGCTACTTAATTCATCATATTGCCTGTGAAAAAGTATAGCTTTCTCTCTCTTCCCATTGTTATTTCTATGGCTTCTTTTTCTTGTTTTATTCTACCGGCTACTTTTCAAAGCCGTAGTTCACAATGTTTCTGATTCTTAGAGAAGAAAAATGTCTGTAGAACAGCCTTTTGTAGGTAATGCCCAGAAGTCTGGTTCTGATTTTAGCAGACTGTCTAAAAAATAAAACAACAAGGGGCCGGGCGCGGTGGCTCACGCCTGTAATCCCAGCACTTTGGGAGGCCGAGGTGGGCGGATCACGAGGTCAGGAGATCGAGACCATCCTGGCTAACATGGTGAAACCCCGTCTCTACTAAAAATATAAAAAATTAGCCAGGCGTGGTAGCGGGCGCCTGTAGTCCCAGCTACTCGGGAGGCTGAGGCAGGAGAATGGCGTGAACCCGGGAGGCGGAGCTTGCAGTGAGCCGAGATCACGCCACTGCACTCCAGCCTGGGCGACAGAGCGAGACTCCGTCTCAAAAATAAATAAATAAATAAATAAATAAATAAATAAAACAAGGACTTCTCTGTTCAAGAAAATATGCACCCTGTGGCTGAAAGAAAATTCTCATGACGTTGAAGAATCTTCCCAAGTCTAGATTACTAAGTGTGCTCTGTTTTTGAAAGGGTTGTTGAAATTGAACAAGGGCATCCTCACACCTTTATGCATAAGTGGTGCTTTGGAATGGGCTCATTCTGACTTTAAGGAACTAACCATGAAACATGCAGGAATTGTGCGAGCCATCTCTCCAACTGTTTGTAGCTTTAGTGGGAGAATTTATGCCATGGAAATTGGCTAAAACCACTAATCAGTATGTGTGTGTATTTTGAGAGCTGATTTACTTAGCACACTATCTATTATATAGATAATCTCATCCATGCCTTTATTTAATAAGGGGCATATTCTACACACCAAACAAGTTAGAAAGACATTAATAAAAATTTCAATAATGAAGGCAAAGTTTCAATGAATAATTACACCAACAACCAATTGATAATACAGTTATGATCAGTACCATAAATGTCAGATGCTGTCATAGAGTTTATAAAACAGATGTGTGGTGAAATCTGGTGCAAGATTTCCCAAGGAAATGATGTGTCGACTTTCACCATGCCATTTTTCAGGACTCTTGATCTATCACATAAATATATAAACAGTTTTTTCCTAACTGGATTTGCCTGCATCACATTCAGGGAAAGCATATTTTATTTTAAGAGCTTACCACAATCAATAGAGCTCACTTCTGTGTGTATGTCCAGGCCTCAGGATTAAGTAGTTAAAGATTGACTGATGGGAGGGAGATCTGAGATGGAAAGAACAAGATAGAGCATTGAGAACAGAATATGTAGGAGAGTCTCTGCCATCTCTTCTGAAAGGTTTGCCATTTCAAGATTTCCCAGGTTTGCTTTCTCACAGATAAAGTGACCACCAAGTCTGGTCGTTTGGTGTTGAGATACATAATTATCTGTGTGTGACAGATTGCTCCCCAGAAAACAAAATGAAAGAATTCCATTGTATATGTGGACCACATTTACTTTATCCAATCAGTCACTGATGGGCATTTAAGTTGATTCCATGACTTTGCTATTGTAGATAGTGCTACAATGAACATTCAGGTACATGTGTCTTTATGGAAGAATGATTTATATTCCTCTGCGTATATACCCAGTAATGGGATTGCTGGGTCAAAAGGAATTTCTGCTTACTGTGCAGCCATAAAAAAGAATGAGATTATGTCTTTTGCAGGAACATGGATGGAGCTGGAGGCTATTATCCTTAGCAAACTAACACAAGAACAGAAAACCAAATACTGCATGTTCTCACTGATAAGTGGGAGGTAAATGATAAGAAATTATGAACACAAAGAAGGAAACAACAGACACTGGGTTCTACTTGAGGGGGGAGGGTGGGAGGAAGGAGATGAAAGAGGGAGAGAGGAAGGGAGAGGAGCAGAAAAGATAACTGTTGGGTACTGGGTTTAATAAGTGAGTGATGAAATAATCTGCACAACATTCCCCCCAACACAAGTTTACCATTGCAACAAACCTTCACATGTACCCTCAAACCTAAAGCACAAGTTTAAAAAACTAATGAATTTCACATGGTATGAAAGGAAATGAAATAAAAGTGTAACTTGGAGTAATTCATATTCTCTAACTTTCCACCCAAATTCTACACACATTTAAGTAGGTTCTACTTATTTAAGTAGGTTCTTGGAATTTGTACCCCTCCATGATGGCCTTTTTGTTTTGAGTTTGTCAATAACCCAAGTGCCAACATGTTTACTTGACCAAACATTCTTTATGTTACCTTTATGCAATAGAAGCACCATTTATCTATTGTGTTTGCTGTTAAGATAGCTGATGAAATACCAGTACAACATGTTTATGAATGAGTTGCTTTTAATTGAACTGAAACTTTAGTTCTTAGCAACAGAATTCCAAGTATAGTTGACCCTACATGACAGTTTAAACAAACAGGAATGTGGTAAATCAATGTTGTTTCATATATTTTAGTTTCAGTCATTTACAATTTTCCATATTGATTGAATAACTACCACCCAACATCATTCACCGTTTGATGGAGGAAATGAGACAGATGAACCAGTGAGTGTTGACAGGCTAAATGACCTCCTATACGCTTATTAGCAGAGGTAGATTAGGGGGCTGCAAAGTGAATAAATTTGGGTTAGAAATGGGGTCTCAGAAGAAAATTCACTCAAGAATGGCTATAATTTGTACAAGCCCCTTTAGCAGAGAATTGTCAGCTTGAGCCAGACCCAGGGATGTGGTTCTCTAGGGTGATTTTGGGAAAGAATGAGTGGTTCCGTTTGGCTTAAAGATGGGTTGTATGGGGCTTGGGGTGGAAGAAAATGCTGGAAGTATTATGCTACATTTTATTTTTTATTTTACTTATTTATTTTTAGAGACAGTTTATTGCTGTCAGTCAGGCTGGAGTGCAGTGGCTTGATCATAGCTTACCGGAGCCTTGACCTCCTTCACTTTAGTGATCCTCCAATCTCAGCCTCCCAAGTAGCTGGGACTACAGGTGCACACTACCATGCTTGGTTAACTTTTTTAAATTTTGTGGAAGCAGTGTTTTACTATGTTGCCCAGGCTGGCCTCAAACTCCTGGCCTCAAGCGATTCTCCCACCTTGGCTTCCCAAAATGCTGATATTATAGCTGTCATCCACTATTCCCAGCCCCTATACTACATTTTAAAATAGGTTCCATATTGGAATGAATTTGATAAATATGGAATTGTTGCAGGGATTTTGTTTAGTTAAGCAAGGTACTGTGGGGCATGTAATCAGTAAGGAATTTTAAAAAATTAAAATGGGCATGGTGACTTAGATTGATCTGCATTAGAAAAAATTAATTTGCCTCTTCATAAAAAATAGTTAGGCAGCAATTGTCAGATCAGTGAGGATTTTCAGGAAAATTAATAAGGGATTCAGTTGAATTGATTTCCATTAGGCAAAATTAATTGGCCTCCTGGTCAAAATTAGTTAGGAGGTGATTATCATGATTTAGACAAAGATTAATAAAAGTTTTATATAAAGTGGTTCTAGAGAAAATAGAAATTAGGGAAGATAGTGGCAAAATATGACAGAGCTTCTCTAGAATTTGGTGATTGTCTGCCTGTAAAAGAGGGAATATCAGCCTCAAAAAATATTTGAACTTGAGTGACTATGAGTAACATGTCTCATTCAACCAGGGTGAGGAGGTTGAAAAGGGGACTGTTTTTCTAGATAATGAATTGGAAGTATCATACAAATAGTTAAAAATAACAACCGAAATCCATTCAATATCACCAGATTCAGAAACAATCACATCAAGATGTTTTTTCCTTTCTGTTATTTTAAAGTTCAGTTTCTTTAGCTGTTCAATATTTATTAGTATGTTTGAAGCCATAGATGCAAAGAGAAGAAAGCTTAGACTTTTAGGACAAAAATGAAACTGTAGCCAGGTACAAAAAGAATTTGGAGACACAGAGCAAAGTGTTGAAGGAAGTAAACTGGGAGTTTTTATTTGGGTTTTGAGATCCAATTATTATAATCCCAAGCCTGCACTGATTGCAAATTGCTAAAAGGTTTATTAGCCTCCTATAAAACCTTCCTTAATTAGCCCAAACTGAGGCAATGCAGCTTCAAACAAGAAAATCTGCCTTTGTCAAAAAGTGCACACAAATCAACTTAGAGAACCGCAGGCCAGAAACAGTCCAAGCTGGCTTGCAAAACTGAACCTTTTACTGCTGAGACCCCACTGTGATTCATGGCCCATGGGGTCATCCAGCAGGAATTGGGGGCACCACAGCCCACTGCAAGGAAAGCCCAGAAATCATGGCTCCCTGTGGGTATTCACAACAAAGACTCACAGAGGTATGGAGACAACCTCAGGGTGCAGCTTTTACTGAGTCCATGGACATGATTCAGACTCTGCTTCTCCTGCTGTCAGCCACAAAATCAGCACAAGAAAAATTAAGAAAGGTTAAAAAAATCGCGTTTGCTTTGCAAGAGAGGGGAGACTCAATGTGTTCAGTTTTCATCATCACAAATGGTATATGTTCAATGAGATGAAGGAAATTCTCATTAGTTGAAAGGTTTAATTGATCTTGGTGCAGCCTTATGCCCACAAAACAACCTGCCACTGCCAATTAATTTGCCAGGATAAATAAAGCAAGCTAGGCCCGTTCAGGCTTGGTGCATGGCTTCAGTGTTAAGGGTGGAGCCCACAAAAGCTTGCACTTCTCCCAAATCTCTTTAAAGCTCTTTCCACATGCCTATAGAATGAATCACGCTGGAGCTGAAATCTCTAGTAAGTGCACTAGTAAAGTAAGAGGTCGAGATGTATTATATAGCTGTATGCAGTTACAGTCCATCAGAATTTTTATTTTATTTTTTGGTAACTGTAACGATGGGAGCACAAAGGAAGGTCAGGCAGAACAAGAAGTACTGCCATAAGATTTGAAACACCTTCATTATAATTTTCTCATTTTATTAGAAGATGTGTATTAACAAAAGTCATGCAACAACACATAACTAGATGAAGCCTGGATAAGAAAACATTCAGGAAGACAGCAGAGAATCCTATAATCAAAGTGATAAGAGGGCATTATTAAGGCAAAAAATAATCCAAATAATATATATAAACACTTACCAATATTGTTGCGGTGTACAGTGTTGATGTTAAAGAAATGTTCGACAACCACATTAAAAAATAGGCAAACAGCCAGGCACAGTTGCTCATGCCTGTAATCCCAGCAATTTGGTAGGCTGGGGCAGCAGATCACTTGAGGTTCAGCAGTTCAAGACCAGCCTGGCCAAGATGGTGAGACCCGACTCTATTAAAAATATAAAAATTAGCTGGGCATGGTGACACATGCCTGTAATCCCAACCACATGGGAGGCTAAGGCAGGAGAATTGCTTGAACCTGGGAGGCTGAGGTTGCAATGAGCTAAGATCATGCTTCTGCACTTCAGACTGGGTGACAGAGCAAGAAACTATTTCAAAAAATAAAGGAAAAAAATGGGAAAAGGATATGAACAGACACATCTAAAAAGAACACATACACACATATGACAACAAACATATAAAAAAACTCCATATTACTAATCATCAGAGAAATGCAAATTAAAATCACAATGAAATACCATCTCAGCTTAAGGAGACTTTGGACTGAGATGATGGGGTTTTCTAGATAAACAATCATGTCATTTGCAAACAGGGACAATTTGACTTCCACTTTTTCTAATTGAATACCTTTTTCTCTTTCTCCTGCCTGATTGCCCTGGCCAGGACTTCCAACACTATGTTGAATAGGAGTGGTGAGAGAGGGCATCCCTCTCTTGTGCCAGTTTTCAAAGGGAAAGCTTCCAGTTTTTTCCCATTCAGTATGATATTGGTTGTGGGTTTGTGATAGCTAGCTCTTATTATTTTGAGATATGTCCCATCAATACCTAATTTATTGAGAGTTTTTAACATGAAGTGTTGTTGAATTTTGTTAAAGGTCTTTTCTGCATCTATTGAGATAATCATGTGTTTTTTTGTCATTGGTTCTGTTTATATGCTGGATTATGTTTATTGATTTGCATATGTTGAACCAGCCTTGCATCCCAGGGATGAAGCCCACTTGATCATGGTGGATAAGCTTTTTGATGTGCTGCTGGATTCGGTTTACCAGTATTTTATTGAGGATTTTTGCTTCAATGTTCATCAGGGATATTGGTCTAAAATTCTCCTTTTTTCTTGTGTCTCTGCCTGGCTTTGGTATCAGGATGATGTGGGCCTCATCAAATGAGTTACAGAGGAGTCCCTCCTTTTCTATTGATTGGAATAGTTTCAGAAGGAATAGTACCAGCTCTTGTTTGTACCTTTGGTAGAATTAGGCTGTGAATCCATCTGGTCCTGGAGTTTTTTCGGCTGGTAAGCTATTAATTATTGCCTCAATTTTAGAGCCTGTTATTGGCCTATTCAGAGATTCAACTTCTTCCTGGTTTAGTCTTGGGAGAGTGTATGTGTCAAGGAATTTATCCATTTCTTCTAGATTTTCTAGCCTTATTTGTGTAGAGGTGTTTATAGTATTCTCTGATGGTAGTTTGTATTTCTGTGGGATCGGTGGTGATATCCCCTTTATCATTTTTTATTGCATCTATTTGATTCCCCTCTCTTTTCTTCTTATCAGTCTTGTGAGCAGTCTATCAATTTTGTTGATCTTTTCAAAAAGCCAGCTCCTGGATTCATTGATTGTTTGAAGGTTTTTTCTGTCTCCATCTCCTTCAGTTCTGCTCTGATCTTAGTTATTTCTTGCCTTCTGCTAGCTTTTGAATGTGTTTGCTCTTGCTTCCCTAGTTCTTTTAATTGTGATGTTAGGGTGTCAATTTTAGATCTTTTCTGCTTTCTCTTGTGGGCATTTGGTGCTATAAATTTCCCTCTACACACTGCTTTGAATGTGTCCCAGAGATTCTGGTATGCTGTGTCTTTTTTCCCATTGGTTTCAAAGAACATCTTTATTTCTCGCTTGATTTCATTATGTACCCAGTAGTCATTCAGGAGCGAGTTTTTCAGTTTCCACGTAGCCGAGTGGTTTTGAATGAGTTTCTTAATCCTGAGTTCTAGTTTGATTGCAATGTGGTCTGAAAGACTGTTATAATTTCTTTTCTTTTACATTTGCTGAGGAGTGCTTTACTTCCAACTATGTGGTCAATTTTGGAATAAGTGCAGTGTGGTGCTGAGAAGAATGTGTATTCTGTTGATTTGGGGTGGAGAGTTCTGTAGTTGTCTATTAGGTCCGCTTGCTACAGACCTAAGTTCACTTCGGGGATATCCTTCTTAACTTTCTGTCTTGTTGATCCATCTAATGTTGACAGTGGGGTGTTAAAGTCTCCCATTATTATTGTGTGGGAGTCTAAGTCTCTTGCTAGGTCTCTAAGGACTTGCTTTATGAATCTGGGTGCTCCTGTATTGGGTGCATATATATTTAGGATAGTTAGCTCTTCTTGTTGAATTGATCCCTTTACCATTATGTAATGGCCTTCTTTGTCTCTTTTCAACTTTGTTGATTAAAAGTCTGTTTTATCAGAGACTAGGATTGCAACCTGTGCCTTTGTTTGTTTTCCATTTTCTTGGTAGGTCTTCCTCCATCCCTTTATTTTGAGCCTATGTGTGTCTCTGCAAGTGAGATGGTTTTCCTGAATACAGCACACTGGTGGGTCTTGACTCTTTACCCAATTTGACAGTCTGTGTCTTCTAGTTGGTGCATTTAGCCCATTTACATTTAAGGTTAATATTGTTATGTGTGAATTTGATCCTGTCATTATGATGTTAGTTGGTTATTTTGCTCATTAGTTGGTGCAATTTCTTCCTAGCCTCGATGGTCTTTTCAATTTGGCATGTTTTTGCAGTGGCTGGTACCGGTTGCTCCTTTCTATGTTTAGTGCTTCCTTCAGGAGCTCTTTTAGAGCAGGCCTGGTGGTGACAAAATCTCAGCATTTGCTTGTCTGTAAAGGATTTTATTTCTCCTTCACTTATGAATCTTAGTTTGGCTGGATATGAAATTCTGGGTTGAAAATTATTTTCTTTAAAAATGGTGAATATTAGCACCAACTCTCTTCTGTCTTGTAGAGTTTCTGCCAAGAGATCAGCTGTTAGTCTGTTGGGTTTCCCTTTGTGTGTAATCTGATATTTCATCTCAGGATACAAAATCAATGTGCAAAAATCACAAGCATCGTACATATCTATAACAGACAAACAGAGGGCCAAATCATGAGTGAACTCCAATTCACAATTGCTTCAAAGAGAATAAAATACCTAGGAATCCAACTTACAAGGGAAATGAAGGACCTCTTCAAGGAGAACTACAAACCACTGCTCAATGAAGTAAAAGAGAATACAAACCAATGGAAGAACATTCCATGCTCGTGACTAGGAAGAATCAATATCGGAAAATGGCCATACTGCCCAAGGTAATTTATAGATTCAATGCCATCCCTATCAAGCTACCAATGACTTTCTTCACAGAATTGGAAAAAACTACTTTAAAGTTCATATGAACCAAAAAAGAGCCCGCATTACCAAGTCAATCCTAAGCCAAAAGAACAAAGCTGGAGGCATCAAACTACCTGACTTCAAACTATACTACAAGGCTACAGTAACCAAAACAGCATGGTACTGGTACCAAAAGAGAGATATAGACCCATGGAACAGAACAGAGCCATCAGAAGTAATGCCACATATCTACAACCATCTGATCTTTGACAAACCTGACAAAAACAAGAAGTGTGGAAAGGATTCCCTATTTAATAAATGGTGCTGGGACAACTGGCTAGCCATATGTAGAAAGCTGAAACTGGATCCCTTCCTTATACCTTATACAAAAGTTAATTCAAGATGGATTAAAGACTTACATGTTAGACCTAAAGCCATAAAAACCCTAGAAGAAAACCTAGGCAATACCATTCAGGACATAGGCATGGGCAAGGACTTCATGTCTAAAACACCAAAAGCAATGGCAACAAAAGCCAAAATTGACAAATGAGATCTAATTAAACTAAAGAGCTTCTGCACAGAAAAAGAAACTACCATCAGAGTGAACAGGCAACTTATAGAATGAGAGAAAAATTTTGCAATCTACTCATCTGACAAAGGGCTAATATCCAGAATCTACAATGAACGCCAACAAATTTCCAAGAAAAAAACAAACAACCTCATCGAAAAGTGGGCAAAGAGTATGAACAGACATTTCTCAAAAGAAGACGTTTTATGCAGCCAACAGACACATTAAAAAAATGTTCATCATCACTGGCCATCAGAGAAATGCAAATCAAAACCACAATTAGTTACCATCTCACACCAGTTAGAGTGGTGATCCTTAAAAAATCAGGAAACAACAGGTGCTGGAGAGGATGTGGAGAAATAAGAACACTTTTGCCCTGTTGGTGGGACTGTAAACTAGTTCAACCATGTGGAATTCAGTGTGGTGATTCCTCAGGGATCTAGAAGTAGAAATACCATTTGACCCAGCAATCCCATTACTGGGTATATACCCAAAGGATTATAAATCATGCTGCTATAAAGACACATGCACACGTATGTTTATTGTGGCACTGCTCACAATAGCAAAGACTTGAAACCAACCCAAATGTCGAACAATGATAGACTGGATTAAGAAAATGTGGCACATATACACCATGGAATACTATGCAGCCATAAAAAATGATTTCGTGTACTTTGTAGGGACATGGATGAAGCTGGAAACCATCATTCTCAGCAAACTATCACAGGACAAAAAACCAAACACCGCATGTTCTCACTCATTGGTGGGAATTGAACAATGAGAACACATGGACACAGAAAGGGGAAAACATCATACACTGGGGCCTGTTGTGGGGTGGAGGAAGCGGGGAGGGATAGCTTTAGGAGATATACTTAATGTTAAATGACGAGTTACTGGTTGCAGCACACCAACATGGCACATGTATACATATGTAACTAACCTGCACATTGTGCACATGTACCCTAAAACGTAAAGTATAATTTTTTAAAAAAGGATATGAATGGGGAAAACAAATGAGAAAAAAGTAATACCATCTCATACCTGTCTCATATTTCCGATATGATTAATAAGTCAGAAAGCAACAGATCCTCACAAGATTGCAGAGGAAAGGGAACACTTACATGGTTGGTGGAAATGTAAATTAGGCCAGCTTCTGTGGAAAGCCGTTTTGAGATTTGTCAAAAAACAAAAACAGAACTACCATTCGACCCAGCAATCCCATTACTCTGTATATGCTCAAAGGAATATACATTGTTCTACCATAAAGACACATGCATGTGTATGCTCATTGCACCACTATTCAAAATAGCAAAGATATGGGATCAACTTAGATGCCTCTTAAGAGCAGACTGAATAAAGAAAATGTGGTGAATATACACTTTGGAATACCATTAAACCACTAAAATAATGAGATCATGTTCTTTGCAGCTACATGGATGGAGCTGGAAACCATTATTCTAAGTGAATTAACACGGGAACAGGAAACAAAATACCGCATGTTCTCACTTATAAGTGGGAGCTAAGCATTGAGTACACATGGACAGAAATGTGGGAACAATATACA
Organism: Homo sapiens; assembly: GCF_000001405.40. Classification (NCBI taxonomy): domain Eukaryota; kingdom Metazoa; phylum Chordata; class Mammalia; order Primates; family Hominidae; genus Homo; species Homo sapiens. The sequence goes on from NC_000024.10 coordinate 12,037,449, forward strand.
CCAACACCTACTTGAGGGTGGAGGGTGGGGATCAGAAAACTACCTATGGGATACTACACTTCTTACCTGGGTGACAAAATAATCTGTACACAAAAAACCTATACGTGCAATTTATCTATTTAACAAACCTGTACATGAACTCTCTGATCCTAAAATAGAAGACGGAGAGAAAAATAAATAAATAAATAAGTAAACATATAAGATTTAGATGAATGCTATATTTTACAACAAATGAAATACATATACTATTAGCAATGCAGAAATAAAGTTTTTGTTCAATTGTGCATTGAACAATTATAAGGTGATTTCTGCAAAAGATAAGGCTACAAAATATGTCGGTTTTTCGCAGAGGTCATTGAAAAACTACTAAGATAATATTAACATATTTTATATAAATGTAGAAAAGTATAGAAAATATTTCATTCCAATGTATATTCCATTTTAATATTATATATATAATGTCATATTTCTAGATGTTTTATATGTTTCAAGGTAGATATAGATATTGGTATAACAAAGATACATAAGTTTTCATGGCTCAATAGTTCATTTCTTTTTAGCACCGAGTAATACTCCATTGTTGATAAACTGATGATGAGGAAGCCCATACATGCATAGGCACGGGGGTCTGGGGAACTCTCAGTACCTTGTGTTCAGTTTTGCTATGAACTTAAAACTGCTGTAGAAAATAAAGTTTATTTAAAAATATTTACCAATCAAGCTAAATTATGAAAAAATAAATTTTGTTAAATCTAAAATATTTACCTTCTCAAAAAATGTATAATGTCATCTCCTTTGCTGAGACAAAGGGGAAAAATTAATTATTTTCTAAGAAGTGTGGGTAGGAAGACTCTCCTCTTTAGGTCTCTAAAACCTTTTTGTCTGTTCCTTCTGTATGAGCAGAACTTTGGTTGCCTGGCTTCCCCCATCACTAGGCCATGTGGCCAGACAAAAGAAAGAGCAAATTCCTGAATTAAGTATTAGTTCCTTCCCCTGCTATTGGAGCCATGGTGGAGTGAAAAGTGCTTTTTACAATGGAAAGGTGCAATGTTGAGTCAAACTTTTCTATTTATTCAGTTGACATCCTCTGAAGAAGCACCATAGTAAAGCTTGTGCTTCTGCAGAACGTGGACTAAAATTAGAATAAATGTGCAGTTCCTGCTGGTGTATGTCCAGCATTAGATGTCCCTCATGGATAAACTTACCAAAGAGAAACAGAAATCTGAGTATTTAATACATCTATCTTAAAAGCAAAACCCAATTATCACCAGTTTTAAATTTCCCTCTTTAAGAGAATTTCAAAAACAATTACATATGATATATATGTGTGTATGTGTGTGTGTGTGTGTGTGTGTGTGTGTGTGTATATATATACTTTTTTTTTTAGAGTTTGGCTTGTTGCCCAGGCTGGAGTGCAGTGGTGTGATCTTGGCTCACTGCAACTTCCACCTCTGGAGTTCAAATGATATTCCTGCCTCGGCCTCCTGGGATTACAAGCACCCACCACCACACCCGGCTAATTTTTGTATTTTTAGTAGAGATGGGGTTTCTCCATATTGGCCAGGCTTGCCTCAAACTCTTGACCTCAGGTGATCGGCCTGCCTCAGCCTCCCAAAGTGCTGGGATACAAGCATGAGCCACCATGCCAGGCCAAAAAATGCGATTATATTTTGAAAAAATACTCAGATTCCCTATTGTTTTATTTGTAAGCATTGTTGTATCCATGTGACTTATGTCTGATTCCTCAGAAGTAGACCCTGAGTGGAAGGGCTCCCAAGAAACCTGTAGGAATGTTGGTGGAACCATCCAGGGTGGGGGAGGGGAGAAACATAAATCAAGCAAGGTGGGATCTCAGGCCAAGTTGTAGGGAATGAAAGTTTCATTTTGCATGACTTAAATCAGTGCCTGCACACAATCTTTTACACATTTTAAAAACAGTTAATGAAGATGATCAAATAGGAACAGTTCCAGTCTACAGCTTCCAGTGTGAGCGATGCAGAAGACGGGTGATTTCTGCATTTCCAACTGTGGTACCAGGTTCATCTCACTGGGGAGTGTTGGAAAGTGGGTGCAGGACAGTGGGTGCAGTGCATTGAGTGTGAGCTCAAGAAGGGCAAGACAACACCTCACCCAGGAAGCACAAGGGGTCAGGGAATTCCCTTTCCTAGTCAAAGAAAGGGGTGATGGACAGCACCTGGAAAATCAGGTCACTCCCACCCTAATACTGTGCTTTTCCAATGGTCTTAGCAAATGGCACATCAGGAGATTATATCCCATGGCTGGCTCAGAGGGTCCTATGCCCACGGAGTCTTGCTCATTGCTAGCACAGCAGTCTGAGATCAAACAGCAAGGTGGCAGTGAGGCTGAGGGAGGGGCGTCCACCATTGCTGAGGCTTGAGTAGGTAAACAAAGCAGCTGGGAAGCTCGAACTGGGTAAAGCCCACCGCAGCTCAAGGAGGCCTGCCTGTCTCTGTAGACCCCGTCTCTGGGAGCAAGGCATAGCCAAACAAAAGGCAGCAGAAACCTCTGCAGACTTAAATTTCCCTGTCTGACAGCTTTGAAGAGAGTAGTGGTTCTCCCAGCATGCAGCTGGAGACCTGAGAATGGACAGACTGCCTCCTCAAATGTGTCCCTGACCCCTGAGTAGCCTAACTGGGAGGCATTCCCAGTAGAGGCAGATGGACACCTCACACAGCTGGGTACTTCTCTGAGACAAAACTTCCAGAGGAATGATCAGACAGCAACATTTGCTGTTCACCAATATATGCTGTTCTGTAGCCTCCACTGCTGACACCCAGGTAAACAGATCCTGGAGTGGACCTCCAGCAAACTCCAACAGATCTTCAGCTGAGGGTCCTGACTGTTAGAAGGAAAACTAACAAACAGAAAGGAGATCCACACCAAAACTCCATCTGTAGGTCACCATCATCAAGGACCAAAGGTAGATAAAACCACAAAGATGGGGAATAAACAGAGCAGCAAAACTGGAAACTCTAAAAATCAGAGCACCTCTCCTCCTCCAAAGGAACAGAGCTCCTCACCAGCAATGGAACAAAGCTGGATGGAGAATGACTTTGACACATTGAGAAAATAAGTCTTCAGAAGATTAAACTACTCCAAGCTAAAGGAGGAAGTTCAAACCCATGGCAAAGAAGTTAAAAAGCTTTAAAAAAAATCAGATGAATGGATAACTAGAATAACCAATGCAGAGAAGTCCTTAAAGGACCTGATGGAGCTGAAAACCATGGCAAGAGAACTACGTGACGAATGCACAAGACTCAGTAGCTGATTTGATCAACTGGAAAAAAGGGTATCAGTGATGGAAGATCAAATGAATGAAATGAAGTAAGAAGAGAAATTTAGAGAAAAAAGAAGAAAAAGAAATGAACAATGCCTTCAAGAAATATGGGACAATGTGAAAAGACCAAATCTACATCAGATTGGTGTACCTGAAAATGACGGGGAGAACGGAACAAAGTTGGAAAACACTCTGCAGTATATTACCCAGGAGAACTTCCCCAATCTAGCAAGGCAGGCCAACATTCAAATTTGGGAAATACAGAGAATGCCACAAAGATACTCCTCAAGAAGAGCAACTCCAAGACACATAATTGTCAGATTCACCAAAGCTGAAATGAAGGAAAAAATATTAAGCGCAGCCAGAGAGAAAGGTCGGGTTGCCCACAGAGGGAAGGCCATCAGACTAACAACTGATCTCTCAGCAGAAACTCTACAATCCAGAAGACAGTGGGGACCAATATTCAACATTCTTAAAGAAAAGAATTTTCAACCCAGAATTTCATATCCAGCCAAACTACGCTTCATAAGTGAAAGAGAAATAAAATCCTTTACAGACAAGCAAATGCTGGAAGATTTTGTCACCACTAGGCTTGCCTTACAAGAGCTCTGAAGGAAGCAATAAACATGGAAAGGAACAACTGGTACCAGCCACTGCAAAAACATGCCAAATTGCAAAGACCATCGAGGCTAGGAAGAAACTACATCAACTAACAAGCAAAATAACCAGCTAACATCATAATGACAGGATCAAATTCACACATAACAATATTAACCTTAAATGTAAATGGGCTAAATTCTCCAATTAAAAGACACAGACTGGAAAATTGGATAGAGTCAAGACCCATCAGTGTGCTGTGTTCAGGACACCCAACTCACGTGCAGAGACACACATAGGCTTAAAATAAAGGGATGGAGGAAGAACTATCAAGCAAATGGAAAACAAAAAAAGGCATGGGTTGCAATCCTAGTCTCTGATAAAACGGACTTTAAACCAACAAAGAACAAAAGGGACAAAGAAGGCCATTACCTAAAGGTAAAGGGAGCAATTCAAAAAGAAGAGCTATCTACCCTAACTACATATGCACCCAATACAGGAGCACCCAGACTCACAAAGCAAGTCCTTAGAGACCTAGCAAGAGACTTAGACTCCCACACAATAATAATGGGAGATTTTAACACCCCACTGTCAACATTAGACAGATCAACATGACAGAAAGTTAAGAAGGATATCCAGGAATTGAATTCAGCTCTGCACCCAGGAGACCTAATAGACGTCTACAGAACTTTCCATGCCAAATCAACAGAATGTATATTCTTCTCAGCGCCACACCACACTTATTCCAAAATTGACCACATAGTTGGAAGTAAAGCTCTCCTCAGCAAATACAAAAGAACAGAAATTATTGCAGTCTTTTAGATCATATTGCAATCAAACTAGAAATCAGGATTAAACTCACTCAAAACCGCTCAACTACATGGAAACTGAACAACCTGCTCCTGAATGACTACTGGGTACATAACGAAATGAAGGCAGAAATAAAGATGTTCTTTGAAACCAATGAGAAAAAAGAAACAACATACAAGAATCTCTGGGACACATTCAAAGCAGTGTGTAGAGGGAAATTTATAGCACCAAATGCCCACAAGAAAAAGCAGGAAAGATCTAAAATTGACACCCTAATATCACAATTAAAAGAACTAGGGAAGCAAGAGCAAACACATTCAAAAGCTAGCAGAAGGCAAGAAATAACTAAAATCAGAGCAGAACTGAAGGAAATAGAGACACAAAAAACCCTTCAAAAAATCAATGAATCCAGGAGCTGGTTTTTTGAAAAGATCAACAACATTGATAGACAACTAGCAAGACTAATAAAGAAGAAAACAGAGATGAATTAAATAGACGCAATAAAAAATGATAAAGGGGATATCACCACTGATCCCACAGAAATACAAACTACCATCAGAGAATACTATAAACACCTCTATGCAAATAAGCTAGAAAATCTAGAAGAAATGGGTAAATTTCTCAACACATACACCTTCCCAAGACTAAACCAGGAATAAGTTGAATCTCTGAATAGATCAATAACAGGCTCTGAAATTGAGGCAATAATTAACAGATTACCAACCAAAAAAATTTCAGGAACAGATGGATTCACAGATGATTTCTACCAGAGGCACAAGGAGGAGCTGGTACCATTCCTTCTGAAACTATTCCAATCAATAGAAAAAGAGGAAAACCTCCCTAACTCATTTTATGAGGCCAATATCATCCTGATACCAAACCTGGCAGAGACATAAGAAAAAAAGAGAATTTTAGACAAATATCCCTGAAGAACATCGATGCAAAAATCCTCAATAAAATACTGGCAAACTGAATCCAGCAGCATATCAAAAAGCTTATCCCCCACAATAAAGTTGGCTTCATCCTTGGGATGCAAGGTTTGTTCAACATACGTAAATCAATAAACATAGTCCAGCATATAAACAGAACCAACGACAGAAAAACTCATTATTATCTCAATAGACGCAGAAAAGACCATTAACAAAATTCAACAACACTTCATGCTAAAAACTCTCAATAAATTTGGTATTGATGGGACGCATCTCAAAATAATAAGAGCTAGCTGTGACAAACCCTTAGCCAATATCATACTGAATGGGCAAAAACTGGAAGAATTCTCTTTGCAATTTGGCACAAGACATGGATGCCCTCTCTCTCACCACTCCTATTCAACATAGTGTTGGAAGTTCTGGCCAGGGCAATTAGGCAGGAGAAGGAAATAAAAGGTATTCGATTAGGAAAAGAGGAAGTAAAATTGTCCCTGTTTGCAGACGACATGACTGTATATCTAGAAAACCCCATTGTCTCAGCCCAAAGTCTCCTTAAGCTGATAAGCAACTTCAGCAAAGTCTCAGGATACAAAATCAATCTACAAAAATCACAAGCATTCTTATACACCAACAACAGACAAACAGAGAGCCAAATCATGAGTGAACTCCCATTCACAATTGCTTCAAAGACAATAAAATACCTAGGAATCCAACTTACAAGGGATGTGAATGACCTCTTCAAGGAGAACTACAAACCACTGCTCAAGGAAATAAAAGATGATAGAAACAAATGGAAGAACATTCCGTGTTCATGTGTAGGAAGAATCAATATCGTGAAAATGGCCATACTGTCAAAGGTAATTTACAGATTCAATGCCATTTCCATCAAGCTACCAATGACTTTCTTCACAGAATTGGAAAAATCTACCTTAAAGTTCATATGGAACCAAAAAATAGCCCACATTGCCAAATCAATCCTAAGCCAAAAGGACAAAGCTGGAGACATCACACTACCTGACTTCAAACTGTACTACAAATCTACAGTAACCAAAACAGCATGGTACTGGTATCAAAACAGAGATATAGATCAATGGAACTGAACAGAGCCCTGAGAAATAATGCCGCATATCTACAACTATCTGATCTTTGACAAACCTGACAAAAACAAGCAATGGGGAAAGGATTCCCTATTTAATAAATGGTGCTGGGAAAACTGGCTAGCCATATGTAGAAAGCTGAAACTGGATCCCTTCCTTACACCTTATACAAAAATCAATTCAAGTGGATTAAAGATGTAAACGTTAGACCTAAAACCATCAAAACCCTAGAAGAAAACCTAGGCAATACCATTCAGGACATAGGCATGGACAAGGACTTCATGTCTAAAACACCAAAAGCAATGGCAACAAAAGCCAAAATTGACAAATGGTATCTAATTAAACTAAAGAGCTTCTGCACAGCAAAAGAAACTACCATCAGAGTGAACAGGCAACCTACAAAATGGGAGAAAATTTTCACAACCTACTTATCTGACAAAGGGCTAATATCCAGAATATACAATGAACTCAAACAAATTTACAAGAAAAAAACAGACAACCCCATCAAAAAGTGGGCGAAGGACATGAACAGACACTTCTCAAAAGAAGACATTTATGCAGCCATAAAACACATGAAAAAATACTCACCATCACTGGCCATCAGAGAAATGCAAATCAAAACCACAATGAGATACCATCTCACACCACTTAGAATGGCTATCATTAAAAAGTCAGGAAACAACAGGTTCTGGAGAGGATGTGGAGAAATAGGAACACTTTTACACCATTGGCAGGACGTAAACTAGTTCAACCATTGTGGAAGTCAGTTTGGCGATGCCTCAGGGATCTAGAACTAGAAATACCATTTGACCCAGCCATCCCATTACTGGGTATATACCCAAAGGATTATAAATCATGCTGCTATAAAGACACATGCACATGCATGTTTATTGTGGCACTATTCACAATAGCAAAGACTTGGAACCAACCCAAATGTCCAACGATGATAGACTGGATTATGAAAATGTGGCACATATACACCATGGAATACTATGCAGTCATAAAAAATGATGAAGTCATGTCCTTCATAGGGACATGGATGAAATTGGAAATCATCATTGTCAGTAAACTATCGCAAGAACAAAAAAACAAACACCACATATTCTCACTCATAGGTGGGAATTGAACAATGAGATCACATGGACACAGGAAGGGGAACATCACACTCTGGGGACTGTTGTGGGGTGGGGGGGAGGGGGGAGGGATAGCATTGGTAGATATACCTAATGCTAGATGATGAGTTAGTGGGTGCAGCACACCACCATGGCACATGTATACATATGTAACTAACCTGCACATTGTGCACATGTACCCTAAAACTTAAAGTATAATAATAATACATTAAAAAATAAAAATAAAAACTCTCAATAAATTAGGTATCCACGGGACGTATCTCAAAATAATAAGAGCTAGCTATGACAAACCCACAGCCAATATCATACTGAATGGGCAAAAACTGGAAGCATTCTCTTTGCAATTTGGCACAAGACAGGGATGCTCTCTCTCACCACTTCTATTCAACATAGTGTTGGAAGTTCTGGCCAGGTGAATCAGGCAGGAGAAGAAAATAAATCATATTCAATTAGGAGAAGAGGAAGTCAAATTGTCCCTGTTTGCAGATGACGTGATTGTATATCTAGAAAACCCCATCATCTCCGTCGAAAATCTCCTTAATCTGATAGGCAATTTCAGCAAAGTCTCAGGATACAAAATCAATGTGCAAAAATCACAAACAGTCTTATACACCAATAACAGACAAACAGAGAGCCAAATCATGAGTGAACTCCCATTCACAATTGCTTCAAAGACAATAAAATACCTAGGAATCCAACTTACAAGGGATGTGAAGGACCTCTTCAAGAAGAACTACAAACCACTGCTCAAGGAAATAAAAGAGGACACAAACAAATGGAAGAACATTCCATGCTCATGGGTAGGAAGAATCAATATCGTGAAAATGGCCATACTGCCCAAGGTAATTTACAGATTCAACGCCATCCCCATCAAGCTACAAATGACTTTCTTCTAAGAATTGGAAAAAACTACTTTAAAGTTCATATGGAACTGAAAAAGAGCCCACATTTCCAAGTCAATCCTAAACGAAAAGAACAAAGCTGGAGGCATCACGCTACCTGACTTCAAACTATACTTCATGTCTGCTGTAACCAAAACAGCATGGTACTGATACCAAAACAGAGATATAGACTAATGGAACAGAAAAGAGCCCTCAGAAACAATGCCACGTATCTACAACTATCTGATCTTTGACAAACCTGACAAAAACAAGCAATAGGGAAAGGATTCCCTATTTAATAAATGATTCTGGGAAAATTGGCTAGCCATATGTAGAAAGCTGAAACTGGATGCCTTCCTTACACCTTATACAAAAATTAATTCAAGATGGGTTAAAGATTTAAATGTTTGACCTAAAACCATAAAAACCCTAGAAGAAAACCTAGGCAATACCATTCAGGACATAGGCATGGGCAAAGACTTCATGTCTAAAACACCAAAAGCAATGGCAACAAAAGCCAAAATTGACAAATGAGATCTACTTAAACTAAAGAGCTTCTGCACAGCAAAAGAAACAACCATCAGAATGAACAGGCAACCCACAGAATGGGAGAAAGTTTTTGCAATCTACTCATCTGACAAAGGGCTAATATCCAGAATCTACAATGAACTCAAACAAATTTACAAGAAAAAAAAACCAACCCCAACAAAAAGTGGGTGAAGGATATGAACAGGCACTTCTCAAAAGAAGACATTTATGCAGCCAAAAAACACGTGAAAAAATGTTCATCACCACTGGCCGTCAGAGAAATGCAAATCAAAACCACAATGAGATACCATCTCACACCAGTTAGAATGTTGATTATTAAAAATCAGGAAATAACAGATGCTGGAGAGGACGTGAAGAAATAGGAACACTTTTACACTGTTGGTGAGACTGTAAACTAGTTCAACCATTGTGGAAGTCAGTGTGGTAGTTCCCCAGGGGTCTAGAACTAGAAATACCATTTGACCCAGCCATCCCATTAATGGGTATATACCCATAGGATTATAAAACATGCTGCTATAAAGATACATGTACACGTATGTTTATTGTGGTACCATTCATAATAGCAAAGACTTGGAACCAACCCAAATGCCCAAAAATCATAGACTGGATTAAGAATATTTGGCACATATACACCATGGAATAGTATGCAGACATAAAAAATGATGAGGTCCTGTCCTTTGTAGGGACATGTATGAAGCTGGAAACCATCACTCTTAGCAAACTATCACAAGGACAAAAACCAGACACCACATGTTTTCACTCATAGGTGGGAATTGAACAATGAGAACCCCTGAACACAGGAAGGGGAACATCACACACTGAGACCTGTTGTAGGGTGTGGGGAGCAGGTAGGGATAGCATTAGGAGATATACCTAATGTTAAATGACGAGTTGATGGGTACAGCCAAACAACATGGAACATATATACATATGTAACTAACCAGCACATTGTTCACATATATCCTAAAACTTAACATATTTTTTTTTAAAAAAAGCAGGAAACAGAAATAAGAATGGAAGGATCTCCAAGATATTACTAAATAAAAGACAGGAAAATGTAAAAAAAAATCTTGTTTTATAATTAGCTTTATAATGCACAATCACACATTTGGCAGATTTATGTAGCGCCTAAATTTTCCACTTTGAATCACTATCATGCCAATTATATTAAAGAGATATTCCTGAAAAAAATAAAAAAAAAAAACACAGTTACCATCATTTTATCTCAGCATTCTGTGTGCAATTAACAGCAATTTTCTCATAATTAACTAATGGATTCTCTTCATGAGTTCACTCCCAAATTGTTGGCCATATCTGGTATCTAGCCTAGAATCCATCATTTCTGCACAGAAAGATAAATGTGGGGGTCTGTCCTACCAATGCTGACCCAATGAAGTATGAATAATGTGCACTGACACAAATAATCTGTTTTGCCAGTCGAGCGGAGCTAAGAGGCTGCTTACAGACTCCAAGCAGAGTGCTGTAAAGAGTAGCAGCTGCAACAAGCTAGTTAGATAAACTACCCCAAATTCCTTTGTATCTACTTTAATCTGTTTAACTAAAGGTAAAAGGACTAGGCTGCCTTCAGCCAAATATATTACTAAAGTTATGCAAACTCTCAGGCCTTCCAAGAGGGTTTGTGGCTATTATAACTAAAATTTTTCCCAGCAGCCGGACTGAACTCCCAGTATAAAATTTCAGTTTTTTTCCAATTTGTTGATATATTACTCCATTCCTCCCTCATAAATTTTCATGCTAAGTTTTCTAAAGCTTGGTCCCTAAATTATGTCCTAGGTATAGAAGAACCAAGAACAGGTAATATATCATGTTCCTTAGCCCACATGTGGTTATCTGGACCTGTTATATGGTCTTGTCTTGCTGATCACCTAGTTTTATTCTTGAAAAGTAAGTTCCCTTGAATCTACTTTTCCAAACCTTTACTCATTCTATGGTCTTTGTAAAAAGGATTTCTGCACTTTTCATAGTACTGCAGAGCTACATCTTGAATTATAAACACACATGTAAAATCATCTGCATAAACTTTATAAAATTTATCAGGGAAAAAAGAATGGGGAGAAATGAAAATAAATCAACCTCACAGGACACTCAACATTCATCCTAAGGGCAGCCTATCCCCTTGACCTTCTTCGTCATAGTTGTTTGGTGCCTCTTGTCCTAGAATCACATAAACCGTAGATTAGAGTTCCCTTAACTGCTCTGTAGATAACGACTTCAACGTTATGAAACAAGTTTTCCCTTTGAGATTTTTTTTCAGGTCCTGCATACTGATGAAACTACTAATGCCAGCTGGTCTGAAGGATACCACAAGAAGCTAACTCACCAAAGAATGCAGTTTCCATATCCTGAGGATTTTATGCTCCTTACCCTAAGCAGTCAATGACCCTAATTTCCCAGCCTCTTATCCTCTACAATCCCCTGAAAAACTACAGCTCAGAACTCCACAAGGAGACAGATTTGAGGGTTTCCTCCCATTTTCTCACTCAGTGTCCTACAATTATTAAGCTCTTTCTCTGCTGCAAACCCTGCTGTCTCAGAGTATTGGTTTTTTTACTGTACAGTGGACATTCGGACCCAGTGGTCCCATAACACATAGTTCAAGACAGATGTTGTTGAGTAAGTCAGGTCCTGCTTGTATGCACACAAAGTTTCAAAAGAGAGAAGGCTGTAAGATTTCTTCATTGGCTACAAATAAAATGTCTTAGAAAAAATCCCATGTTACTTACTTCAGTCTTCCCAGTGGTTATCAAAATGTGGTACCTGGACCACCCTCATCAGCATCACCTGGGAATTTGTTAGAAATGCAAATTCTAAAATCCTTCCTTAGACCCAATAAATGAGAAAGAGTGGGATCCAGCTTTGTGTGTTTCAACAAGCCCTCCTTAGTTCTAATCCTCTCTCAACATTGAGAACCACTGGTTAGGACTACAATTTCTCTCACCAAATCTCATTCAGATCATGACCTAATTAGCAAACAAGACTACGAGTCATTCCTGGACCGACCTGACCTTTTTCTTTATATATACCAAAGCTTTCTGTGTTTCAGCTGACTAAATGAGTGGAATTCAGTATGGAGCAGCCAGTTTATGAGGACACTGTGAGGATTTAACATATTACGGTGGGGTTGCAGATTAAATCCACACAGGGACTTAAAAAAAATGGAAACATTACAATATAAGATACAGAGATGAAACACTTCCAGGCTTTAAGAAAATGTAAGGCTGAGCACAGTGGCTTATGCCTGTAAATCTAAGCACTTTGGGAGACTAAGGACAGAGGATTGCTTGGGGCCAGGAGTTTAGACTAGACTTGAGGCTAGTTAAGGCAAAAAAGTGAAACCTTTTGTCTACAAAAAAAAAAAAAAACTAAAAATTTACTTGGGTGTGATGTCATGTGCCTGTTGTCCCAGCTACTGGGTAGGCTGAGGCAGGAGGATGACGTGAGCCCAGGAGTTTGAGGTTGTAGTGAGCCATGATTGCACCATTGCTCTCCAGCCAGGGGAACAGAGCAAGGTCCTGTCTGTAAAATAATAATAATAAAATTTTACAAAGAACAAAAGAGGATATCTAACAAAATTGAAAGAATGGTATCAGAATATAACTTGGGCAAGGTATAACTATATAAATAAGAAGAGGTAGTGGTCCACAGCCTACTTTCTAAACCTCTGAGCAGTCAATGATCCCAATTTCCTGACCTCTTATCCTCTACAATCCCCTGAAAAACTACAGCTCAGAACTCCACAGGGAGACAGATTTGAGGGTTTCCTCCCATTTTCTCACTCAGTGTCCTACAATTATTAAGCTCTTTCTCTGCTGCAAACCCCGCTGTCTCAGAGTATTGGTTTTTTTACTGCACAGTGGACATTCAGACCCAGTGGTCCTATAACACATAGTTCAAGACAGCTGTTGTTGGGTAAGTCAGGTCCTGCTTGTATGTCTCCCCATTCAGCGAGCTGCAAATAACAACATACACCTGTAAATCAGAGTCAAGTGAGTTTCATTAATGACTAACTCAAGGCTCCTTTAACCTATTTACAACCAAGACGGTGGCCCACTGTGAGTCTCATGAGTCTCACAGTGGGCCGCCATCTTTGTTGTAAATAGGTTAATGACTCCAAGGATCATTTTTTCAGACTTGGACTCTCTTTCATGGTGAATGTGTTTTATAGCATTCCTTTTTACAAAAATGTAATGAAAACTACTGATAATGAACACTGACAATGAATGCTCAAATAATTTTCAAACATGTATTTGAGGCTGTAACTGTAATATAAAACAGAAATGTAACAGAAAAGCAACTTCTCTTATTTTAAAACACTACGGCATTTTAATAGGTAAATGGTAAGTTAGGGATGGAAAAAAAGACCCACAGGTTTGCTTTAGATAGAATCATTGAGATAGATACCAGAACTGCCAACACTTGTGTGTTGTGTTGGCAACTCAAATAGCAGCAGGAGGATTTCCATAGATAGTGTTTTCCAAAGTGGTGACTAGTTCTTGATCAGGTTCTGATCGAAGCAACTGACTGCAGTCCTCTGTTTCCACTGGTTTGCTTTCTTGTGAATTTCATCTTGTGAATTAAAACTGTTCAAACGTGGATGGAACTGGAGGTCATTACATTAAGTGAGATAAGCCAGTCACTGGAGAACAGCACATATTCTCACTCCTGTTTGGGAACTCAAAAAAGTGGAGCTCATGTAGATAGAATGTAGAATGGGGATTACCAGAGTCTGGGGAGAGAAGTCTCACAGTGGGCCACCATCATGAGTCTCAAAATGGGCTGCCATCTTAGTGGTAAATAGGTTAATAGAGACTTGCTTTAGTCCTTGATGAAACCCACTTGAATATGTGTTGAATACCTAGAATAGACAGCCACAGTAGGTGTCCATTAATTTCAAAAATTAGTATTTGCAAGCAAATTTATTCAGATGAGAAGTCTTCATGAAAACTAACCTTCTTGGGTAAGCAGGATGAAGCTGTTTGTGAGTATAACAGTGAGTCATTGAATGAATATATTCCTACCTAATAGATTATAACATGTCCTAGCTTATTGAGGCAAATTATAAAAATATTATTAAGAACAACCATTTATCACACAATGTTTGGACTATTGCAAATTTCTTGTTTCTTGCTGTCAAAATTAAATCTATGGCATGTACTCAATGATCCTTCATGGAGGGAACTCCCCTTACTATTTTTAATTTTCAGTTTATTTTTAACAGACAAATAATAATTTCATGTATTTATGCATTAAAAGGTGATTTTTTACACATTTATACATTGTGGATTTAATACACTCACCTCATTGTGCAACAGATCACCAGAACTTATCCTTCCTGTCTAATTGAAACTTTGTACCCTTTGAAAAATATACACGGCATATCCCCATCCTCTACCATCCACCATTCTACTCTCTAGTTCTGTGTGTTTGACTTTTTTAGTTTCCACATATGAGGGAGGTTATGCAATTTTTGTTTTCCTGCCAACTTCCGGGGCATGGAATGGTATGTGGATGGCAGACATACCCCAAATTGGCTACAGAGCTCTGAGGAGAAACCTTGAAGACAACTTAAGGGCATTTTGGAATCTGGCTCTGAGGCACACAGCAGGCTTAATGGGTCTTTAATCACAACCATTGGAGAACCAGGATAATATTCCTCCCTGCCTTTGTCCACTTGGGCTTCTATAATAAAATATCATGCACTGAGTGGCTAAAGCAACAATCATCAATTTCTCATGCTTCTGGAGAGCGGAAGTCCAAGATATGGATGTCAGCAGACCCAGTGGCTGGAAAGGACTCTCTTTTTGGTTTTCAGATGGCTACCTTCTTGTGTCTGCAAATGATGGTGGGGGAGAGAGGGTGGAGAACAAGCTCTCTTGTCTCTCTGATTATAAAGGCACTAATCCCATCATGAGGGCTCCATTCTCATGACCTGTTTTTCAAAGTCCCCATCTTCAAATACCATCTGTCTTAGTCTTACAGGCTGCTATAATGAATACACTATAAAATGGGTGGCTTATAAGCAACATAAATTTATTCCTTCCAGTTCTGGAGGCTGGAAGTCCAAGATCAAGTTGTGGCAGGTTTAGTGTCTGGTGAGGACTGTTCTCCTAGTTCACGGATGGTGCTATGTCCATTCTGGTTTATAGATGACATTATGTTCTTCCTGTGTCCTCACATGGTGGAAAGGGTGAGGGAGCTCTCTGGTTCCCTTTTTATAACGAAACTCATTCCATCCATGAGGCTCCATCCTTATGACCTCACCACCTCCCAAAAGCACCACCTCCTAACACGATCACCTTGGAGGTGAAAATTCCAATATGTGAAATTTGGAGGGCAGATATTCAGATCATAGGACCATGATAGTAAAAATTGGGATTCCAAAACATATAAATTTGGGGAAGTTGAGATAAACATTCATTCCATTGCATCCCCTACCTGCCCTGTGTAAAGAGAATGCATGCCTATTGAATTCAGATGCCTGCCTATCTAACTGGCATTTTCTCTTGCGGGGTATGGATGGTACACATGCCCCAACTGGCTACAGAGCTGTGGGCAGAAAGCTTGAAAGCAGCTTGAGGGCATTTTGGAATCTGGCTCTGAGGCACACAGCAGACTTAATGAGTCTTTAATGACAACCAGAGACTTGGAGGTGGAGGGTGATTTTCTACACAGCAGATGAGAATGAACTTCTCTCCAACATTTGTTTGGATGAAGCAACTCAAGCCATCCATGAGATCAAATGCCCGGGCCTGTCAATACCCAGCTGATTGGAAAGTCTTCTGGGAAAGAATGAACCTTCTCATTCCCCATCTGGCAGGCTTCTGATGCCACTGCACCATTGGAGGTTCCTAAAATGCTCATCAACACAATTCACTGGCAGCTCATTTTACCTAGGATTTGACCCTCAACATTACTGAGTTGGGGGAGAGAAACTTTCCACCTCTCAGGTAGGAGACCAGAATTGGGCCATGAACAAAGGAAGTGGGAAGCCCTGCCATCTGTAGCAATGGGACTGGTTTCTTGGGAAAAACTTGGTTTTACAAGGTTTAGAAAATCTGCTCATCAAAACTACCATCTCATCCAGCAATCCCACTCACTGTGTATCTACCCACAGGAAAATAAATCATTCTATCCAAAAGATACCTGCACTCACCCGTTTATCATAGCACTAGTCACAATAGCAAAGATATGGAATCAACCTAAGTTGACTCCTCTCAAAATGTAAGTGTCCATCAGTGCATGAATGGATAAAGAAAATGTGGCATATATACACACCATGTGTATTAATCTGTTCTCACACTGCTGATAAAGACATACCCAAGACTGGGTAATTTATAAAGGAAAGAGGTTTTAATGGACTTACAGTTCTATATGGCTGGGGAGGCCTTATAGTCATGGCAGAAGAGCAGGGTATGTCTTACATGGCATCAGGCAAGAAGAGAATGAGAACCAAGCAAAAAGTGAAACCCCTTATAAAACCATCAGATCTCGTGAGATTTATTCACTACTATGTAGACATTATGAGGGAGACTGCCCCCTTGATTCAATTATCTCCTACTGGATCTCTCCTGCAACACATGGGCATTATGGCAGCTACAATTCAAGATGATATTTGTGTGGGGACACAGCCAAACCATATCTCCACGGAATATTACACAGCCCTCCAAATGAATTAAATCATGACTTTTGCAGCAACATGGATAGAACTGGAGGATATTATCCTAAGTGAAACAACTCAAAAACAGAGAGATAAACACCCCATATTCTCACTTATAAGTGGGAGCTAAACATTGTGTAGACATGGACATAGACAGTGGAATAAGAGACATTGGGGTTTGGGAGTAAGTATGTTATTACTGGAAAGAACATGCCCACATTTTTACTATGAGTAGTACAGATTGAGTTTACAGGGATAATACATTTCTTTTTGAACATGGATCAAAAATATTTTTGCAAGATATAGAACTAATCTAACTGTCCATTAACCAATGAGTGGATAAGACTATGTGGATACCATGGAATACTACTCAGCTATAAAAGCGAATGAAATAATGTCTTCTACAGCAACTTGGATAGAACTGGGGGCCACTATTCTAAGTGAAGTAACTCAAGAATGGAAAACCAAACATTGTATGTTCTCACCTATAGGTGGGAACTAAACTATGAGGATGCAAAGGCATAAGAATGATATAATGGACTTCAAGGACTCAGGGAGGTGGGAAGGCTGGGAGTGGGGTGAGGGATAAAAGACTACATATTGGGCACAGTGTACACTGCTTGGATGGTAGGCACACAAAAATCTCAGGAATCACCAGTAATGAATGTAACACGTAACCTTAAACCACCTGTATTCCCCACAACTATTAAAATAAAAACAAAAAGTATTAAAAAAATTTTTTTTGGCACATTTTGAGTACCAAGCACTAAATTATTTATTTTTTGTAGTAGTTTATTTTATTTATTACTTATTTTATTTCCGTAGGTTTTTGGGGAACTGGTGGTGTTTGACTACATGAGTAAGTTCTTTCATGGTGATCTGTGAGATTTGGGTACATGTTCATAGCAGCACAATTCACAATTGCAAAAATATGAAACCAGCCCAAATGCTCATCAATCAGTTAGTGAATAAAGAAATTGTGGTTAATACGTACCGTGGAATACTACTCAGCAATAAAAAGGAATGAAAGGGCTGGGCGCGGTGGTTCACACCTGTAATCCCAGCACTTTGGGAGGCAAAGGCAGCCAGATGATGAGGTCAAGAGATCAAGACTCTCCTGGCAACAAGTTGAAACCCCATCTCTACTAAAAATAGAAAAATTTGCTGGGCATGGTGGTGCGCGTTGGTAGTCCCAGCTGCTTGGGAGGCTGAGGCAGGAGAATCACTTGAACCTGGGAGGCAGAGGTGGCAGTGAGGCAAGATTGCACCACTGCACTCCAGTCTGGCAACAGAGCGAGACACTGTCTTAAAAAAGAAAGAAAGAAAGAAAAGGAATGAACGAAGGCACTCACCGCAACCTGGATGGAATTGGAGATCATTATTCCAAGTGAACAAGTGAAGTAACTCAGGAATAGAAAACAAACATTGTAAGTTTCACTCACAAGCAGGAGCTAAGCTGTGAGGATGCAAAGGCATGAGAATGATACAATGGACTTTGGAGACTTGGGAGAAAGGGTGGGAAGGGGTGAGGAATTAAATATTACGAATTGGGTACAGTGTATACTGCTTGGGCGATGGGTGCACCAAACACTAATTTAAAAGCAAATGGCATATATGAGTAGAAAGTTTTCATTTTGTAAGTGGAAAATGAGTTCTGAAGATGGATGGTGATGGTTGCACAATAACATGAATATATTTAACACTACTTCAGGGTACACTTAAAAATGGTGAAGATAATAGCTTTTGCATTATGTTCATGCAATTTTAAAAATATACAGTACCAAAAAATGGTCCTTTCCTCCTCTTAGGATAATGGTAGACATACATCAATGCATACATTTTACTCTGAAGTCACTTGCAAGATAGCCTGCTAAATGATTTCAAGTCCCTCTTGCTGGTTCAATGAGAAGCAGAGAAAATAACCATGTTCCTATATCACAGTAGAGGACATGCAAACTGCAGCTGATTGATATCACAGGCCATACCAAGGAGAAGGCCACACTTGGATTGCATTTTCCTGTCACCATGGATGTTCTATTAAAGAGATATTAGCAGAAATCCATTCTTAAAAAACGTGTTCATTTCTTTTTCCAGCACTTTAAATTGAAGGAACACATTTTCTCAATGGGAAAGCTCTAAGATATGTGCCCCCAGGCAAGCAAGTCTTGGATATATTACTAAAAGTTGCATTGGCCAATGTGGGTGGAGCCCTCTGGATACAGATGAGAGTCTTGGGAATTTAAAGTCTACATATTTTTATTTAATCTTTACATCAGTATTGATAACAGTCCATTGTTATCTGTGTTTTTCAGCCTAGGTGACTGGTACAACTCACCACTGGTCACCCAGTCAGAAAACGTGCATTCAGGATTCAAACCCAATTAGCTTGCCTTAAGAGCCTAAAAATTCTTGCCAGTTTCCTGGTCTCTGCTCAGGTGAAAAACAGCCATTTCTTGGTGTCTTCACAAGATGCATTATCACACTCTTCTTCCTCACATATTAGGTGATTTCACAGAGGTGCAACCTGGAGTTAAGTATTTTTAAGTGCCTCTTATGTATTTCTGTCCTCATCACATTACATTTAAATCAATCCAATAATATGTATTGACTTAAAACACATCACTGTTGGGGGCCCATTCCAAGATGGCTGAGTAGGAACAGCTCTGGTCTGCAACTCCCAGCATAATCAACACAGAAGACAGGTGATTTTTGCATTTCCAACTGAGGTACCTGATTTATCTCATTGAGACTGGTTGGACAGTGGGTGCAGCCCACAGAGGGTGGGCTGAAGCAGGGTGAGGTTTTATCTCACCCAGGAAGCACAAGGGGTTGGGAGATTTCCCTTTCCTAGCCAAGGGAATCTGTGACAGACTGTACCTGGAAAAATGGTACACTACGCCCAAATACTGCACTTTTCCAACAGTCTTAGCAACCAGCAGACCAGGAGATTCTCTCCCATGCCTGGATCAGTGGGTCCCATGCCTAAGGACCCTTGCTTAATGCTAATGCAGCAGTCTGACTGAGATTGACCTCCGAGGCTGCAGCCAGGTGGGGGGAGGGGCGTCCACCATTGCTGAGGCTTGAGTAGGTAAACAAAGTGGCTTGGAATCTCAAACTGGGCAGAGCCCACTGCAGCTCAGCAAGACCTATTGCCTCTATAGACTCCACCTCTGTGGGCAGGGAATAGCTGAACAAAAGGCAGCAGAAACTTCTGCAGACTTAAAAGTCCCTGCCTGAAAGCTCTGAAGAGAGCAGTAGTTCTCCCAGCATGGCTTTTGAGCTCTGAGAATGCACAGACTTGCTCTTCAAGTGGGTCCCTGATCACTGTGTAGCCTAACTGGGAGACACCTCCCAGTAGGAGCTGACAGACACCTCATACACCTAGAGGGTGCCCCTTTGGGACAAAGCTTCCAGAGGAAGGATCAGACAGTAATATTTGCTGTTCTGCAGCTTCCACTGGTGATACCCAGGAAAACAGGGTCTGGAATGGACCTTCAGCAAACTCCAATGGACCTGCAGCAGAGGGACCTGACTGATAGAAGGAAAACCAACAAGCAGAAAGGAATAGCATCAACATCAACAAAAAGGACATCCACACCAAAACCCCATCTGTAGGACATCAACATCAAAGACCAAAGGTAGACAAAACCACAAAGATGGGGAGAAACTAGAGCATAAAAGCTGAAAATTCTAAAAACCAGAGAGCCTCTCCTCCTCCAAAGGATTGCAGCTCCTCCCCAGCAATGGAACAAAGCAGGACAGAGAATGGCTTTGATGAGTTGACAGAAGCAAGCTTCAGAAAGTTGGTAATAACAAACTTCTCCAGCTAAAGGAGCATGTTCAAACCCATAACAAGAAAGCTAAAAACCTTGAAAAAAGATTAGATGAATGGCTAACTGGAATAAACAGTGTAGAGAAGACATTAAATGACCCGATGGAGCTGAAAACCATGGTATGAGAACTTCGTGATGCATGCACAAGCTTCAATAACTCATTTGATCAATGAAAGAAAGGATATAAGGGAAGGAAGATCAAATTAATGAAATAAAGTGAGAAGACAAGATTAGAAAAAAAAAAGTAAAAAGAAACAAAACTTCCAAGAAATAAGGGGCTATGTGAAAAGACCAAATCTACATTTCATCAGTGTACCTGAAAGTGGAGGGGAGAATGGAATCAAGTTGGAAAACACTCTGCAGGATATTATCCAGGAGAACTTCCCTAACCTAGCAAGGCAGGCCAACATTCAAATTCAGGAAATACAGAGAATACCACAAAGATACTCCTCGAGAACAGCAGAACCAAGACACATAATTGTCAAATTCACCATGGTAGAAATGAAGGAAAAAATGTTAAGGGCAGCCAGAGAGAAAGGTCAGGTTACCCACAACAGTAAGCCCTTTGGACTAACAGCAGATCTCTCAGCAGAAACCATGGAATCCAGAAGAGAGTGGGGGCCAATATTCAACATTCTTAAAGAAAAGAATTTTCAACTCAGAATTTCATATTCAGCCAAACTAAGCTTCATAAGTGAAGGAGAAATAAAATCCTTTACAGACAAGCAAATGATGACAGATTTCGTCACCACCAGGCTTGCCTTACAAGAGCACCTGAAGGAAGCACTGAACATGGAAAGGAATAACTGGTACCAGCCACTGCAAAAACATGCCAAACTGTAAAGACCATTGATGCTATGAAGAAGCTGCATCAATTAATGGGCAAAATAACCAGCTAACATCATAATGACAGGATAAAATTCACACAAAATAATATTGACCTTAAATTGTAAATGAGCTAAATGCCCCAGTTAGAGTCACAGACTGGCAAATTAGATATAGAGTCAAGACCCATCAGTGTGCTGTATTCAGGAGACCCATCTCATGTGCAGAGACACATATAGGCTCAAACTAAAGGGAAGTAGGAACATCTACCAAGAAAATGGAAAGCAAAAAAAGCAGGGGTTGCAATCCTAGTCTCTGATAAAACAGACTTTAAACCAACAAAGATCAAGAAACAAAGAAAGTCATCATCTAATGGTAAAGGGATCAATTCAACAAGAAGAGCTAACTATCCTAAATATATATGCACCCAACAGGAGCATATATATTCATTCATATGCTTATCTTATCATATTCATATAAAGATTCATACAGCAAGTCTTTAGAGACCTACAAGGAGACTTAGACTCCCATACAATAATAATGAGAGACTTTAACACCCCACTGTCAATATGAAACAGATCAATGAGAAGTGAAGAAGGTTGACAAAGATATCCAGGACTTGAACTCAGCTCTGTGACAAGTGGACCTAATAGACATCTACAGAACTCTCCACCCCAGATCAACAGAATATACATTCTTCTCAGCGCCATATCACAGTTATTCTAAAATTGACCACATAATTGGAAGTAAAGCACTCCTCAGCAAATGTAAAATAACAGAAATCACAAAAACTGTCTCTCAGACCACAGTCCAATCAAATTAGAACTCAGGATTAAGAAACTCACTCAAAACTGCACAACTATATGGAAACTGAACAACCGGCTCCTGAATGACTACTAGGTAAATAACAAAATGAAGGCAGAAATAATGAGGTTCCTTGAAACCAGTGAGAACAAAGACACAATGCACCAGAATCTCTGGGACACACTTAAAGCACTGTACAGAGGGAAATTTATAGCACTAAATGCCCTCATGAGGAAGCAGGAAAGATAAAAAATTTACACCCTAACATCACAATTAAAAGAACTGGAGAAGCAAGAGCAAACAAATTCAGAAGCTAGCAGAAGGCAAGAAGTAACTAAGATCAGAGCAGAACTAAAGGAGATAGAGACACAAAACACCATTCAAAAAATCAATGAATCCAGAAACTGGTGTTTTGAAAAGATCAACAAAATTGATAGACTGCTAGCAAGACTAATAAAGAAAAAAGGAGAGAAGAATCAAATAGAAGAAATATAAAATGATAAAGGGGATATCACCACCGATCCCACAGAAATACAAACTACCATCAGAGAATACTATAAACACCTCTACACAAACGAACTAGAAAATCTAGAAGAAATGGATAAATTCCTGGACACATACACCCTGCCAATACTAAACCAGGAAGAAGTTGAATATCTGAACAGATCAATAGCAGGCTCTGAAATTGAGGCAATAGTTAATAGCCTAACCACCAAAAAAAGTCCAGGACCAGACAGATTCACAGTCAAATTCTACCAGATGTACAAACAGGAGCTGGCACCATTCCTTCTGAAAGTATTCCTGTCAACTGAAAAGAGGGAATCCTCCCTAATTCATTTTATGAGGCCAGCATCATCCTGATACCAAAGCCTGGCAGAGACACAACAACAAAAAAAGGGAACTTAAGACCTATATCCCTGATGAATATTGATGCAAAAATCCTCAATAAAATACTGGCAAACCAAATCCAGCAGCACATCAAAAAGCTTATCCACCACAGTCAAGTCAGTTTCACCCCAGGGATGCAAGGCTGCTTCAACATACACAAATCAATAAATGTATCCCATCACATAAACAGAACCAATGACAAAAAACATACGATTATCTCAATGGATGCAGAAAAAGCCTTTGATAAAATTCAACAGCCCTTCAGGCTATAAACTCTTAATAAACTACGTATTGATGGAATGAATTTCAAAATAATCAGAGCTATTTATGGCAAACCCACAGCCTAGCATTTGAAGTTCTTTCCAGGGCAATCAGGCAAGAGAAAGAGATAGTGTATTCAATTAGGAAAAGAGGAAGTCAAATTGTCCCAGTTTGCAGATGATATGATTGTATATTTAGAAAACCCCATTGTTTCAGGCCAAAATTTCCTCAAGCTGATAAGCACTTCAGCAAAGTCTCAGGATACAAAATCAATGTGCAAAAACCACAAGCATTCCTTTGCACCAATAACAGACAAACAGAGAGCTAAATCATCAGTAAACTCCCATTTCCAATTGCTACAAAGAGAATAAAATACCTAGGAATCCAACTTACAAGGGATGGGAAGGATCTCTTCAAGAACTACAAACCACTGCTCAATAAAAGAAAAGAGGACAAAAACAAATGGAAGAACATTCCATACTCATGGATAAGAAGAATCAATAACATGAAAATGGCCATACTGCACAAGGTAATTTATAGATTCAATGCCATCCCCATCAATCTACCAATGACTTTCTTCACAGAGTTGGAAAAAAAACTACTTTAAACTACATATGGAACCAAAAAAGACACTGCATAGCCCAAGAAAATCCTAAGCAAAAAGAACAAAGCTGGAGGCATCATGCTACCTGACTTCAAACTATACTACAAGACTATAGTAACCAAAACAGCATGGTAATGGTACGAAAACAGAGATATAGACCAATGGAAGAGAACAGAGCCCTCAGAAACAAAGCCACATATCTACAACTACCTGATCTTTGACAAACCTGACAAAAACAAGAAATGGGGAATGGATTCCCTATTTAATAAATGGTGCTGGGAAAACTGGCTAGCTATGTGTAGAAAAATGAAGCTGAATCAAAAGAAGCAACCATCAGAGTGAACAGGCAACCTACAGAATGGGAGAAAATTTTTGCAATCTACCCATCTGACAAAGGGCTAATATCCAGAATCTACAGAGAACTTAAACAAATTTTCAAGAAAAAGAAAACCATTAAAACGTGGGCAAAGGATATAAACAGACACTTCTCAAAGAAGACATTTATGCAGCCAACAGACATGTGAAAAAATGCTCATCATCACTAGTCATCCAAGAAATGTTAATCAAAACCACAATGAGATACTATGTCACACCAATTAGGATGGCGATCATTAAAAAGTCAGCAAACTGCAGATGTTGGAGAGGATGTGGAGAAATAGGAATGCTTTTACACTGTTGGTGGGAGAGTAAATTAGTTCAACCATTGTGGAAGACAGTGTGGCAATTCCTCAAGGATCTAGAACTTGAAATACCTTTTGACCCAGCAATCCCATTACTGGGTATATACCCAAAGGATTACATATTATGCTAAGATAAAGACACATGCACACGTATGTTTATTTGACAATATTCACAATAGCAAAGACTTGGAACCAACGTAAATGTCCATCAATGATAGACTGGATTAAGAAAATGTGGCACATATACATCATGGGATACTATACAGCCATAAGATAGGATGAATTCACGTCCTTTGCAGGGACATGGATGAAGCTGGAAACCATCATTTTCAGCAATCTATCACAAGGACAGGAAACCAAACACCACATGTTCTCACTCATAGGTGGGAATCGAACAATGAGAACACTTGAACACAGTGGGGAGAATGTCACACACCAGGGCCTGTTGGGGAGTGGGGTCTGGGGGAGGGATAGCATTAGGAGAAATACCTAATGTAAATGATGACTTGATGGGTGCAGCCAACCAATATGGCACATGTATACCTAGGTATCAAAACTGCACGTTATGCACATGTACCCTAGAACTTAAAGTATAATAAAAATAATAATAAAATATCAGTGTTCATGTCAAAGCTACAGATATATAGACAACACTGTTACTGACTGTACAGACTGCACCCTGTGGAGGGAAATGAAGCTACAGCAGACAAAGATACACAGGTAATGGACACAAGGGGAGTTTGGAAAATTGTCTTCTTTCCCTGGGGCTGCTATAACAAAACACTACGGACTTGAGGCTTATTAACAGCAGCTATTTATGTCTCACAGCTGGAATTCCAAGATCAAAGTGTGCCAGATGCAATGTCTGGTGATAACCAGCTTCTTTATTCACAGACAGTGACTTCTTGCTGTGTCCTTACATGGTGGAAGGTGCAAGAGAGCTCTTTGGAGTCCCTTTTTATAAGGGCACTCATCCCACTCATGAGGCACCGCCTCCACAACCTCATTATCTCTCAAAGGCTCCATCTCCCAACACCATGATCTTGAGTGTTAGAATTTTCACACAGAAAATTTGGAGGACACAAACATTCACACCATAGATTAGTAATATAAAAAATGAATAGGGTCAGGGCAGCAGCTCACAGCTGTAATTCCAGCACTTTGGGGGGCTGAAGTGGGCAGATCACTTGAGGTCAGGAGTTTGAGACCAGCCTAGTTAATATGGTGAAACCCTATCTCTACTAAAAATACAAAACTCAGCCAGGTGTGGTTGCACCTGCCAGTGTTTCAGCTACTCAGGAGGCTGAACAGGAGAATCACTTGAGCCTGGGAGGTGGTGGTTGCAATGAGACAAGATTGAGACAACTACACTCCGGTCTGAGCAACAAAGCAAGACTACTCAAAAAAAAAAAAAAAAAAAAAAAAAAGCCAGGTTCGGTGGCTCATGCCTGTAATCCCAGCAATTTGGGAGGCTGAGGCAGGTGGCTCACAAGGTCTGGAGATAGAGACCATCCTGGCTAACATGGTGAAACCCCGTCTGTACCAAAAACACAAAAATTAGCCAGGCATGGTGGTGAGTGCCTATAGTTCCAGCTACTTGGGAGGCTGAGGCAGGAGAATTGCTTGAACCTGGGAGGTGAAGATTGCAGTGAGCCAACATTGTGCTGCTGCACTCCAGCCTGGGCAAAAGAGTGAGACTTCATCTCAAAAAAAAAAAAAAGTGAATAAATCATATAGAAAGAAAAAGAAGAAGAGCTGTTAATTCAGTAAAAGGAACTTGGTAACATTTCAGGAACAAAATGGCTTTAGAGTTGGGACTTCCAATGTGTGGGCATTCAGCATACAGAGATGGGGCCAGAGAGGAAAATGATAGTGAGGTCAGAGAGGATGGGAGGAGATAAGTAAAGCAAAAGGATAGAACCAAAAGGAAAAGCAGAATCGAGTCTAGGGGAGAAGGGAACTTGGAAAAGCAGAGGCATTAACCTCTCTATAACTTTGTGAATAACTCTTTGTATTTGTCTGACCTGGGAAAAAGTTCCAGAGCAACCACTTTCAAGCTTGGGCAAATTTCTCAATTACTCTAAGTCTCATCTTTTCTTTTCTTTACTTTTGTTTTTTGGTTTTTACAGTTGTTTGCACAAGAGTAGCAACCATCCAGAGTGGGGTGCATGGAGTAAACTCAGAAAAAGTCATGCTTTAAAAAAATGCTTAGTCCAATGGCTATCATCGAATATGCTCATTAGGAAATAACAAAATACAACAAAAATTTGAAGGTATGGAGTTGACTGATGATCTAAAGAGTCAGCCATGTGTAATTATAAAAGTTTACAGACCTGAGATTTATGAATATTTTGTTTGTTTCTAAGTACAGTTGATTTTCATTATTATAAATTTTGTCTTTCTGAACTTGCCTGCTCACTAAAACTTTGTAACCTCGAAATCAATATGACACTTTTGCAGTCATTTGCAGAGACACACAGAAAGCTGGAAAAAAAATGCAAATTGCTCAAAGTGCATGTTCCCAGCTAAAGTGGGACCTGGCCATTCCCTACCTTCTTGTTTCAGCTGTCATACTTTAAACAAGTGGAATTATTGCAGTCCATTGAGTACCATGTGTTTTGCATGTTTGTGCTTTTTGTTGGTGATTTTGCTGTTTAAAATGGCTTGAAGAACAGAGCTGAAAGGTTGCCTGGGGTCCCTAGTATAAAAAGACTGCAATGTGCCTCACAGAGAAAATCTCTGTGTTACAGAAGCATTACTCAGGCATGAGCCATGGTGCTGCTGGACATGAGTTCAGTGTGAATGAGTCAACAATATCTACTCAGAAATATTTTCTTAAACATAAACATACATAAAACAAGATCATGTATTGACTGATTGATGAAAATGTTGTGACCGGATATCATAGAAACCTAATCTTGTATTTCCCCTAGGAGAGAGAGTTTATGATTTGCTAAGTCAGTGTTTATGGTGATTTTTTTTGTTTGTTTGTTTTTGGAGATGGAGACTTGCTCTGTTGCCAGGATGGAGTGCACTGACACGATCTTGGCTCACTGCAACCTCGGACTCCATGGTTCAAGCGATTCTCCTGCCTCAGCCTCCTGAGTAGCTGGGATTACAGGCATGCCCCCCATGCCCATCTAATTTTTGTATTTTCAGTAGAGATGGGGTTTCACCATGTTGGCCAGGATGGTCTACAACTATCACAAATACTGAGAATTCAATGTAATTTCAATTTTTATTTCTACTGAAATAAATTGGGGATCTCAATCAACCTAGGAGCCTGTTGGGTTTGCCCATTGCTGAATTGCTGATGATTGTTCCAATGCTGGGATTATAATAGGCATTTGATTAACATTAGGTTTATACATCAGGTGAGTAAGGAGGAGACTGGCTTCATTAATACCACATAGTCACCATGCAAAAGTATCACATTTATTAGGGAAGTGTGACACTGGCATGGAGAAATCAAATGAATAAAATTCCTATAGTAAATCATGGCTGAACATAATGTAAAATAGTCATTATAGAAAAGAAATTATAATTACTTCTCCAATATTCCGTACAATAACACTCTAGGAAGGCAATCACATTACTAGTATTGATTTTGACCAATTGTCTTTTCCAGTCATTAAAATGAATGACAACCACAAAACCTAAAGTATGCATACACTTCTTGTATTATTTTTCTGTGGCTGTTGTAACAAATTACTACAATCTGGGTGGATTGTGGAACCAGCCAAAATGCCCCTCAATCAATAGGTTGGCAAAGAAACTACAAAATACACACACACGCACACACACACACACATACACACACACACCATGGAATACTACTCAGCCATAAAAAAGAATAAATTAATGGCATTTGCAGCAGCCTGGATGGGATTAGAAAAGATTATTCTAAATGAAGTCACTCAGGAATGGAAAACCAAGCATCATATGTTCTCACTCATAAGTAGGAGCTAAGCTATGAGGATGCAAAGGCATAAAAATGATAAAATGGACACTGGGGACTTGGGAAAAAGGGAAGGGGGTGAGGGATAAAATGTTACAAATTGGGTTCAGTGTATATTGCTCTGATGATGGGTGCACCAAAATCTCACAAATCACCACTGAATAACTTATGTAACTAGATACCACCTGTTCCCCCAAAACCTACGGAAATGAAAAAAAAAATTTAAAAAGATAGCAGGAATTTGTTCTCTCAAACTTCTGGAAGCCAGAAGCCAAAATCAAGGTGTGAGCAGCAACACACCCTCTCTGGAGACTCAAAGAGAGAATCTTTTCTTTGCCTCTTCTGACTTCTGGTGCCTTTTGATGTTCTGTCTTTTGTCCACATCACTCCAACATCTACCTCCATGGTCACATCACCTCCTCTTCTTCTGTCTTTCTTGCCCTTTTTGCATATTTTATTTAAGCCACCCAGTTTATGTCATTTGACATGCATTAGAGGTAGGTCTGTCCAAATAATCCAAGATGATGTCCTCATCTCAAGACTTTTAGCTTAATTACATCTACAAAGAACCTAATGCCATAGAAGGTCACATTCACAGTGTCTCAGTCAGTTCAGGATCCTATAATAAAACGCCTTAAGCTGGGTGTCTTGAGCAACAAATGTTATTTCCCATAGTTCTGGAGCCTGGGAAGATGAAGGTGCTGACAAATCTGGTGTCTACTGAGGCTCTTCTTCCTCTTTCCTGGTCTGCAGATGGTGCTATCTCTCTGTACCTTCACACAGAGGACAGAGGGAGCTCTGAGTCTTTTTCTCTTCTTATAAAGACACTAATCCCATCATGCAGGTGCCACCCTCATGATCTCATCTAAACCTGCATAGCTCCCACAGGCCCCACCTACTAAGACCATCCCATTGGGGATTAGGGCTTCCACATATGGACTTGGGGA
Organism: Homo sapiens; assembly: GCF_000001405.40. Taxonomy (NCBI): domain Eukaryota; kingdom Metazoa; phylum Chordata; class Mammalia; order Primates; family Hominidae; genus Homo; species Homo sapiens. The sequence goes on from NC_000024.10 coordinate 12,067,221, forward strand.
GGATGTGCTGTATTAGTTCATTCTTAAGCTGCTAATAAAGACAATCCAGATACTAGGTCATTTATAAAGTAAAAAGGTTAATTGACTCACAGTTCCACATGGCTGATGAGGCCTCACAATCATGACAGAAGGCAAGGAAGAGCAAAGCCATATCTTTCTGTTACCTGGCGGCAAGAAAGAGGGCTTGTGCAGGGGAACTCCCATTTATAAAACCATCAGCTCTCATGAAACTTACTCACTATTCTGAGAACAGTATGAGCAAAGCTTTTCCCATGAATCAATTATCTCCACCTGGTCCTACTCTTAACATGTGGGAATTAGTACAATTTAAGGTGAGGTTTGAGTGGGGACACTGCCAAACCATATCACATGCATTCTGTAACTTCAACCAGGGGTTAGAACATGTACTCTGAAATTTAGACCAAGGATAAAACATAGACTTTCATTCTGAGGGCCATTTAACTTTCTACACTTCTATACAGAGAACCATCAAGTTAGAAGAAAGCAGCAAATGCCATTGGGATTTTACACAAAACTAGAGAGAACAGCCACATAAATGCAAAGTAAAACAAAGTAGATCTGAACTTCTCTGGTTGGCAACTTGGGAGTATTTTGTTTCAGTGACATACCAAATTCCTATCTTTGCATGTTCCCAGAATTGAGTTCAAATGACATTAATACTACAAAAGCTCATACAATGACTATTGGTAGCAGTGAAAAAGAATGTGGTAATTTAAAATTTGCATTAGGTTGAAATGCTATGGAAAACACCTGAGGAAGTCTTATCATCTTTGCTGCAAAATTGTGGGTGACAGACAAGGAATATAAATCATAACATCTTATTCAAAGATAATAAATGCACCAACTCAACTAAGACAAACTGATGACAAGCCAAAATACTCTAGAAGGAAAAGAAGGTAACATCTGAACATGATCTCAGCTGAGAAAAGTACACTTGGAAAGGGCATATATTTAGCTGTTTCAAATGCTCCATTTCCGGATAAAGCACATGTTTAAATGTTTGGTTGACATGAATTAAAAGCAAGTGCTCAATGTGGTACTCTATAAGGTAGGTTTCTGAATCTTATTTATATGATGCCAAATGCATTCATTCATTGACAAATTCATTCACTGAACAGATGCTCACAATGTATTCATTGTATGCCAGTGCTATTCTGGGCAATGCTGAGAAGTGTGGATAAATAGGACATACAAACTTCACATTTAGGGTAACTGAATCTAGATGTGCTCCAGCAAAAGTGTAAGGTTCATTTGTCTTCTGTCTCCTAGGAAGTAGTTGAGAGCCGAATTATTACTAAGAAGGAACATTGCAACCCCACCAAAGTTCATGCATACACAAATACATCTGCTTACTGAAAATAATACATCCAGTGAACAGGGTCCATATTGGTCAAAATTTTTCTCTCTTACCTTGGAAAAAATTAGACTCCTAATGTTAACTGGGCAAAGATTTGCTTCTTTCAAGATCTTACATTTAGATTCATGGCCACTGGTTGAACTGTGTTGTACTGTGAGCTCATAGCTCGTACTACCAATGTGTCAATCCTTAGCAAAAACTTTTATTAATAACTATGCTTGTGCTGTCCTAGCCTTCCAGTGGCCATAGGTGATTGACATTGGTAAGAGGGGGATGCAAGTGATTGAAGTAGAGCTGGGGGCATTGTTGCAGTTTCCATTGCTATTGCTCTGTGTGGTTTTAATTCAAGGGCATTTGTTTGGGGAAAAAGCAGTGTTAACATCTTGAATTTGATACTCCCTAGTGAACTAGCTGTGAATTAACAGGTTTTACACTGTAAGAAAGTGAAAAGAAACATGAGCAATAACACTCAAGGAGTTTAGGCATGTCTTAGAAGAACACAAAAAGAAAGAGATCAGTTAAGAGTTAATTTTGTGGAATAGATAGTGCTCTAGGCATGTCGGTTTTCTCCCAACCAAAAGTCAACAATCCATCAAAGCACAGGGCAGCATATAACTGTTGGGAAGTGCATGTATTCTGACATCAGTTAGGAAGTGTCCATATGGTAGTGGGTGGCATATTGGCCCCCAAAATACATGTCCACATCCTAATAGCAGGTATAGAGGGATGAGACCTTATTTGGAAATAGGGTTTTGAAGCTGCAATTAAGTTAATAATTTAGTGATGAGATTATTCTAGATTTAGAGGGCTCTCTTAAATCCAATGACAGGTGTTCCTGTAAGAGACAGAAGAGGAGACACCAATACAGAAGAGAAGTCTGCATGGAGATGGAGGCAGGACTGGAGTGATGTGGCCACAAGCCCAGGGAAGCCTGAAGTCCCCCAGAAACTGGGAGAGGCAGGAAGGATTCTCTTGTAGAGCCTACAAAGGGAACACCACCCTGAGACACCTTGATTTCAGATTTCTGGTGCCCAGAACTGGTAGAGAATACATTTCTGTTGTTTAAGCCTCCTGGTCTGTGGCACTTTTGTTACAGCAGCCCCAGAAAACTCAAACACAACACTCTGGGTGTGTGCTCCTGCAGTAACTTCCATATACCTCTCACAGGAGAGGAAGGGGATTATTCTTCCAACAAGATGGAGACTTGCACACACGCCTTGGAGACACAGAGGAAGCAAAAAGCACAGAACAGTACTGAGAGGCTTCACAGACCCCTGGGAGCTCCTCCTCAGGTGGTAAAATGCCACAGCAATACCTTACAATGGGCACAGAATTGTAACATAAGGAGTGATCTTCTTTTCTGAGGAGCCAAGGCCAAGAAAACTGATTCTTGCTGAAAAAGAAAGCATTTCCAATGCACATCAGACTCAAATAATTCTTGAAAACCGATATGAATTATTTTAGCATGTTGCTTTCATGAACTAAGTTCTTGTCTTCATTTTGTAACCCCTTAAAATTCTCAAAGACTACTCTCAGAGTTGTTAAAGCTGAAAAAGCTTAACTATACATATAAACACTGTCATATGTCAAAGGGATTTTTCAGCTTATAAAGCATGCTCACTAGGGCTTTGTTCATGAAATACATTCAGTTGCACTTCACCCTGGAAACAGAATCTCTTATCCCTGAATCAGAAGGGACGTAGACACATGAAGTCTCAGGGAGAAAAGAGCCATGTTGTATATCATGCTAAATTAACAAGTTTTGGCACTTGTATTTTTCTATCTTTTTTTTTTTAACAAGACTTTTTTAAAAAAATACTTAAAGTTCTGGGGTACGTGTGCAGAATGCGCAGATTTGTTGCATAAGTATACATGCAGCAGGGTGGTTTGCACACCCATCAACCTGTTATCTACATTAGGTCTTTCTCTTAATGTTATCCATCCCCCAACCCCCCACACCCAATAGTCCCTGGTGTGTGATGTTACCCTCCCTGTGTCCATGTGTTCTCATTGTTCAGCTCCCACTTATGAGTGACAATATGCAGTGTTTGGTTTTCTGTTCTTGTGTTAGTTTGCTGAGAATGATGGTTTCTAGCTTCATCCATGTTCCTGCAAAGGATATGAACTAATCCTTTTTTATGACTGCATAGTATTCCATGGTGTATATATGCCACATTTTCTTTATCCAGTCTATCATTGATGGACATTTTGGTTGGTTCCAAGTCTTTGCTATTGTGAATAGTGCCGAATAAACATACTTGTGCATGTGTCTTTATAGTAGCATGATTTATAATCCTTTAGGCATATACCCAGTAATGGGACTGCTGGGTCAAATAGTATTTCTAGTTCTAGATCCTTGAGGAATTGCTACAATGTCTTCCACAATTGTTGGACTAATTTACACTGCCGCCAACAGTGTAAAAGTGTTCCTGTTTCTCCACATCCTCTCCAGCACCTGTTGTTTCCTGACTTTTTAATGATCACCACTCTAACTGGCATGAGATGGTATCGTATTGTGGTTTTGATTTGCATTTCTCTAATAACCACTGATGATGAGTTTTTTTTATATGTTCGTTGGCTGCATAAATGTCTTCTTTTGAGATGTGTCTGTTCATATCCTTTGCCCACTGTTTGATGGGGTTGTTTTTTTTTTTCTTGAAAATTTGTTTGAGTTCTTTGTAGATTCTGGATCATAGCCCTTTTTCAGATGTATAGACTGCAAAATTTTTTCCCATTCTGTAGGTTGCCTGTTCACTCCGATGATAGTTTCTTTTGCCGTGTGGAAGCTCTTTAGTTTAATTAGATGCCATTTGCCCATTTTGACTTTTGTTCCCATTGCATTTGGTGTTTTAGTCATGAAGTCTTTGCTTATGCCTATGTCCTGAAGTTTTGACCCTTGTATTTCTCACAGGAAAAGAAGGAACACGAAAGATAAGGATTTGGGTGGTAGCACTCATTTTTATATGGATTGTGGGATGGATGAACTCTACTGGAGATGATTATAAATACAGTTTGTCTTTTAAACCAGAGTTTTATGAATTCACATAATGCTTTATTTACCTCTTCTGGAGGAGTCTGTGGTCTCCTTTCCTCCTCAGATTCTTGGTAGTGGGAAACTGCTCAGATGTCCTGAGCAAAGTGATCAAATTCCAAAGCCCAGAATTTAAGGAAGCTGACAGCAAGCCACAGGGAGGAGAAGTGGTTAAAGAAAGGGAAGATTCCAAAAAGACAGCCACTTAGCACACCAATTCAGTGTCATTGGTGCCAGAATCCTTTTCACTGTTGGTGATGGGCTTTTGAGAAAAGTGTTTCAAATTGAAGAATTTGAGGTGTTCTAAAAATGGGTTTCAAAAGAAAGTGGAATAGACATGAAAAGATTCCCTTATCCATTTGTGATTGTCAATTATCCCGCTGATCTATGTGCGGGTCTTGATATACACAGCCTTCAGGGACTTGCTGCAAACAAAACCTACTGTGATGGTTAATACTGAGTGTCAACTTGATTGATTGAAGGATGCAAAGTATTGTTCCTGGGTGTTGCCAAAGAAGTTAACATTTGAGTCAGTGGACTGGGCAAGGCAGACCCAACCTCAATCTAGGTGGGCACCATCTAATCAGCTGCCAGCAAAAGTAGGATAAAGCAGGTAGGAGAAGATGGAAAAGCAGGCTTGCTTACTCTTCTGGACTTCATCTTTCTCCTATGCTGGATGCTTCTTGCACTCGAATATCAGACTCCAAGTTCTTGGACTTACACCAGTGGTTTGCTAGGGCCTCTTGGGTCTTCAGCCACAGAGAGACCGCTGCACTGTTGGCTTCCCTACTTTTGAGGTTTTAGGATTCAGACTGGCTTCCTTGCTCCTCAGCTTGGATAAGGCCTGTTGTGGGACTTCACTTTGTGATGGTGTGAGTCAATACTCCTTAATAAACTACCTTTTGTGTATACATCTATCCTATTAGTTCTCCCTCTCCAGAGAACACTGATTAATCCAACTACACAGAGGTCATTTGGCCACATCCAGGAAGAACTACCAGCAAAACCAGCCCAGGACCAGTCAACTGCAAGTCCCAGTGCTGTGGAAATCAGGGGTCTCCAGAGACAGAGCACCCCACATCTGAAAGGGCTGAGACAGACAGCTCTTGGCCACTCTAGGATTCAGTGATTCACAGTGAGTATCCTGAAACTCTGATAAAACAATGCGTCCCTGTCTCTTCTGAGTGAAATCTCTTATGGAGTTAAGTTTACAAGCATCTGTTTATTTGGCTACACTGTGAATGTTAAACAGTTTTTAGAGGTTATCTGAATAATTGGCACAAGTAAAATAAAATGAAATAAAATTCATTCATCAATTCACCCATTCAACAGATGCTTACCAAAGGTCATCACATGCCCAGCATTTTCCTGGTCACTGGTCATACAACAGATACCTTATGGACTTTACAGAGCAGTAAAAGATTCATTTAAGAAAACCACAGAAAATTTGTACTTAAAATTTGTATAAGTTCAACAAAGGAAAATAATTGAGTTCTGTGAAAAAGAAGAGCTTGGGGAGATTATTGAATAGGCAGGAGAAAGACCAGAGTGAAGGTGATGGTGGAATTGGCTTCTATTCTGGCTTGGATGGTGCCCAAAGGACATGTCCTCTTAGCCTCACACCATTTACAGAATGTAGTGCAGCCTCTTTAATAGAGTTACCTAATCTACCCTCCTGAAAAATAATGCTTACACCATTTGGCATAGCAAGTTGAACATCATCTATCCCAGACACTGCTATTTCAAAGGTGAAAGGAAACAGGAACACTCTGAAGACTTCAATCTAAAGTGAAAGAGTACTCGTTGACATTAAAGGCAAGGTTTACATTTCCCTCTGTAGGAAATGTACTCCCCAGAGATCTCCTTGGTTTTTTGCATCTTTTATTTTGAGACAGTCTTGTTCTGTCACCCAGGCTGGAGTGCAGTGGCATGATCTCACCTCCTGGGTTCAAATAATTCTCCTGCCTCAGCCTCCCAAGTAGCTGGGAATGCAGGTGCGCACCACCATGGCTGGCTAATTTTTGTATTTTTAGTAGAGACGGGGTTTCACCTTGTTGGCCAGGTTGATCCTGAACTTCTGACCTCAAGTGATCTTCCTGCCTTAGCCTCCCAAAGTGCTGGGATTACAGGTGGGAGCCACCACACCTGGACAGTTCTTTGCATCTCTATTCAATTATCTCTGCACCTATCAATGTATAGATCAACATGTATAAAAGCTCCTATCAATGTATAGATAACCTTAGAAAATAATAGAGGACATTTAATAGTGAAGTCATAGGAGATGCGGTTCTTTTACTGAGCAGGATATTTTCAGGGTTCATCCATATTGTAGCCCTGTGAGAACTGCAATTCTTTTTATGGCTGTGATATGCTTTGGATTTGTGTCCCCACCCAAATCTCATATTGAATTGTAATGCCTAATGCCAGGTGATTGGATCGTGGGGGTGAATCTTTCATGAATGGTCTAACACTATCCCCCTTCCTATTGTATAGTGAGAGAGTTCTCACAGCATCTGATTGTTTAAAAGTGTGTGGCACTGCCCCGCTCTCTCTTTTGTTCCTGCTCTGGCCACGTAAGATACTCAGGAGTTCCTGCTTCGGCTGGGCGCGGTGGCTCACGCCTGTAATCCCAGCACTTTGGGAGGTCCAGGCGGGTGGATCACAAGGTTAGGAGATCAAGACCATCCTGGCTAACAGGGTGAAACCCAGTCTCTACTAAAAATACAAAAAATTAGCCGGGCTAGGTGGCACGCAGCTGTAATCCCAGCTGCGCGGGAGGCTGAGGCAGGAGAATGGCACGAACCCGGGAGGCGGAGTTTGCAGTGAGCCGAGATCGCGCTACTGCGCTCCAACTGGTAGACAGAGTGAGACTCAGTCTCAAAAAAAAAAAAAAAAAGAGTTCCTGCTTCCCCTTCACCTTCTACCATGATTGAAATTTTCCTGGGGCCTCCCCAGAAGCCAAGCAGAAACCATCATGCTTCCTGTGCAGCCTGTAGAACGGTGAGCCAATTCAACTTCTTTTCTTTATAAATTACCCAGTCTCAGGTATTTCTTTATAGCAGTGTGAAAATGGCCTAATATAGGCTGAATAAGATTTCCTTCTATAGACGGACCATCTTTTCTTAATTCACTCCTCTGCTGATAGACATCTGGATGGTTTTCACTTTTTGGCTATTGTAAATACAACAGCTGTGTATTTGAGATGATGAAAAAGTCCGGAACTAGAGAGTGCTGATGCTTGCACAACTTTCTGGATGGACTTAATGCCACTTTAGAATGGTTCCAATAGTAAATATGATGTTTATATGTGTAAACAAAGGTGAGGAAATTGCAAACGTTTGCATTTTAGACGGAGATAATAGCCGGGTGTGGTGGCTCAGCTTGTAATCCCAGCACGTTGGGAAGTGGCGGGCGGATCATCAGGTCAGTAAATCGAGACCGTCCTGGCTAACACGGTGAAACCCCATCTCTACTAAAAATACAAAAAAAAAAAAAATTAGCCTGGCGTGGTGGCGAGCTCCTGTAGTCCCAGCTACTCAGGAGGCTGAGGAAGGAGAATGGCATGAACCCGGGAGGTGGAGCTTGCAGTGAGCCGAGATTGTACCACTGCACTCTGGCCTGGGTGACAGCAAAACTCTGTCTCCAAAAAAAAAAAAAAAAAAAAAAAAAAAAGAGAGAGAGAGATAATAAAAGACATAAGAATGAACAGACAGGCCAGGAACAGTGACTTACTCCTGTAATCCCAGCACTTTGGGAGGCCGAGGCAGGCGGATTGCCTGAGGCCGGGAGTTCTAGATCAGTCTAACTAACATGGTGAAACCCTGTCTCTACTAAAAATACAAGAAATACCCAGACGTGGTTGCAGGTGCTTGTAATTCCAGCTGCTTGGGAGGCCGAGACAGGAGAATCGCTGTATTAACTGGGAGGTACAGGTTGCAGAGGGCTGAGATTGTGCCAATGCACTCTATGCTGGGAAACAGAGTGAGACTCTATCTCCAAAAAAAAAAAGACAAAGAATTCCCTTACATAATGTCAATCTCTTCAATAACATGCTGGTCACTCTGGAAAAATAAAGAAAGAATAAATAGCTTGTAACAGCTTCCAGACAGCTAGTGCCCCAGTGTGCTATCACTCCTTCTGTCTGTGTCTCTGTTTCTCTCTCTCTCTCTGTCTGTCTCACATACACACCCACTGTTTCTCTTTCTCTTTTTTCTTTCCTTCTCTCTCTCTTTCTCATTCTGTCTCTCTCACTGTTTCTTTCTTTCTGTTTTTCTATTTGTTTTCCTCATTCTCTCTCTCTGGCACTGACTCTCTGTCTCTTTTTCTTACAGACATAAGCCTTCTGTTTCTAACTCTCTCTCTGTCTTCCTTTCTTTCTCTTGCTCTCCCTCTTTTTCCTTCTCTTTCTCAGTCTTTCTTTCTTTTGTTCTCAATTTTTCTTTTTCTTCCTCTCTCTCTCTCTCTCTCTGTCTTTCTCTGTTTCTGTCTTTCTCTGTCTCTGTCCTCTATGTCACTTGCATCATCCACAACATGGAGATGATCTGAAACTCCCATCTCAGCACACCCAGTCAACACCTTCCCACATGGAAACACACCCTAACTCTGAGCCTTCCCTTGATGTCTCACAAAGCTGCTCTGATCTGACATTCATCTCATCAATTTGATCATCCCCCTACCCACCTCAGCTCCATTATGCTGGCCTCCCAGACTTCACTCTTCGGTCTTAGTGCGGGGTCTCTCTTTTCTGTGCTGCTCTTTGTTTCCGCCACCTCCAGTTTGAGGAGTCTCTGGTTTATTTTTTATTATGTAAATTTTTAATCCATCTTTAGAGCCTTAGTTAGTGCAAGCTCCTCCTAAAATATCTCTTCATTTCCCTAAATCAGAATTCATCTCTCTCCCCTCTCCACTCCCACCATGGTGTCTGTTTATGACCCCTCTTACTGAACTTATAGTCTTTAATTCCTTATTGGTTGCATATACACCACTTTTTCCAACTAGATGCTGATATACTGAAAAATAGAAATAATTTTTTCTCTTCTTTGTGACCTCAGCTTTTACAATATCCTTTGAGGTTAGGTTTGAATATATGTATTTTTACATACATATATTCTGGCTTTCACGGTCTTTTTCTTGGGGGAGCAAAAAACAAGACAATATAATTCAATTAGAAACATGATTGAAAATGACATTTCATTGAAACTGGAACCAAAAATAAGCATGATTTCACTTCCTTGAACAGCAAAAATGAAGCAACCTCTTAGCTAAATTTCTCACACCTCAGAGAGGGGAAGTGTCGTCAGTCCTTCTGAGTTAAACCCTGAGGAGACATAGCCATACAGTCTTCCACTGGGTGCCTCTGAGGGGCCGCTGGGCTCTCAGAAACTTGGCAGGCCTATGTCCCTTTACTTGCCTTGATTCATTGAAAGCATGTGAAGTTTGGATCAGATGTTGTGGAAGCAGATTAAACACAAGTGAACAGATCCCAACTTCGGTTTTTGGTAAAACTTCAAACTGTGAAAATGTGTGGGGTTATGAAGAGCTGAACACTGTGTTGCTCCTTGGATGACAATAGTTACTTGATTTCATGCATATTTTATTATTAGTCATGGACTACACGAAAATTTGCCTCAAAATCAAAGACGGGACCAGAATCTAGCTATACTACCTGATAATAGTCCATAATGTTGATACTTTGTTTATATGCACACACACACACACATATCAATATATACACATATATATATACTATGAATACACACAAGCATGTACACACACATATAGGTACTATATATACACACAGATGTACTATCTTTATATATACAAACATATACACACATGTACTTTATATATACACACATACAGATGTATGATATATAACCACATACACACATATATAAGTACTTTATACATACACATACATATGTACACACATATGTATTGTGTATGTACACATATGTACTAATATATACACATGTACTATATGAACATGTATACATATATGTACTACACCCATGTATGTACTTTATATATGAACACATACATATACAAGTAGTTCATATATACCCATACACATATAATGTAGTCTATATAAGCACACACACTTATGTACACATATGTGTTCTTTATATGCACACATATTTACCAATATATACATATATGCTATATACACAAATACAGATACATATATACTGTAATATATGACATATATTGTTATACTGTGTGTATAGTACATAGGTATGTGTGTATGCCTATATATAAAGTAATATATATGGATGTATAAGTGTGTTTGTATATGTATATGTGTATGTATATATATGCACATATGCTGTGTACACAGGCACACACACATACACCCATATATATTACTTTATATATACATACAAACATAAGTATGCACTATATATGCATACACATATACACACACAAATATATTTGTACCGTATAACACACATATATAGACATATGTACTATATATAACACATATATACATGTGTATCATATATACACATACATACACACATACATGTACTATATAGACACACAGAAGTACAATATAAACACACATATGTGTACTACTTATACACATATATACACACACCCATATACATGCACCACGCTCTCTCTATATATATACACACACACACGCACACACAATTAACATGGAACTGTAGGATTTTATATGTATATGTAAAACAGCATAAACACTGTATTTATATTAAACAGTATATATAGTATGTATTTGTAAATATTAATGTTTCAGTGAATTTCAATTTATATCAGAATTTGTCTTTCCAAATAAAGTTCTGAAATTCTGCTCAAGAAATATTTGTGGCTGTAAATCATCTAAATGGGGTCAAATTATGTTAAAGGATTTATGGGATGCATTCATGTCATCCCAAGCTCTTAGTGTGATGAAATAATGCCTTTTATAAAGCTGCCCTTAGGAAACGAAAATTGACACAAACTTGTAATTTATACCTGGTTCTCAACTCGTTACGGCCAGTGCATTTTCTCTGGTTATCTCTGATGTTGTTAATATTCTAAATCTGCCAGATGTTTTTTCTAGTAGGAGAGGGGGTAAATAAAATTCAGGCTGGATTTGAGTATTACCCTAGGACCTGGGAAAAGACCAACTTATATGAATTCAACCTGTCTTCTAGATATGAATGAGCTGAACAACCTTTATTATGTTCTTATAGAACTTTTGATATTTTTTTCTGACTATTCAGTGTATGGAAGTAACCTCCTATGATTAAACTTCTACCGTAGACCAGCGGTATTTATTACAAAGGTTATATGTATTGGCTTTTATTCAAAGAGCTTATTTACTGAAATGTCAAAACAATTTCCTATAAGGTTATTTTAGCTGGAAGACAAACTCACATCTTCTACATAAGAGATGTTGTCTAAGACTTCACCATAGAGTGAGGCTGACATTTTTCTCCAGGTATGAGACAAGATGACCTACAAGCCAAGTGGCCAAAAAAATGATTTTCTTCATTTACTCCCATGATATCATATTTGGAGAAAACTTGCTCTAATGAATATTCTAGGTGTGTTCATATTAAATCCTGGATAAGTTCCACTCGAAGCCCCATTCTGTGAATGACAAACAGTGGATGCTTTTCTCAGTATATAAAAAGGAGGGATTGGGGTAAGGGGATATACCTTGGGTTCATTGTTCATTCTGTTATCATATGTCCAACATTCATGCACTGTCTTTCTTTTGCCCCTTGCTGAATTGGTCACAGAACGCTGACTCTTTTATTTCCTCCAGAGATGAATGAAAGACTAAGTAAAGGAATAATCAAACAAAGTAATTCACACAAGACTTCTTTGTATGCATCGACTTTGTTGAGAATGTTTAGAGAATAAGGGAGACATGAATAGCCAATCTACACAGATGGCTAAAATTTGGGTATACAATATTCTTTTCCTATAAGTTCTTTTTAGTCCCTCTGCTACTGATGATTTGTCATTGGCCCCACCATTCAGGGATATCCCCAGCATCCAATTATTTGTCTTCTCTCCCCTCTTCCACTCCCTCCTCCCAAGCAGGAGCAAAACAAAACAAACACAAAATAAAACCAGAGAGACTTCTTACTCTATTTGTGCACTGTAATCCCCACTACTCTCTACATTGTATCTTTTTAGACCTACATGGCTTCTGTAACAGAGTAGCAGTGCCAAGAGAGCAGCAGTGTCAGCTTTGGCACTGTTGACATTTGGGGCTGCATGATTCCCTGGTGGGGCATCCTTGTGTGCTGTATGTTGTTGAGCAGTGTCCCTGGGCTTCACCCACCAGATGTCAGGACCAACTCTCCACCCAGGGAAGACGTTTCCAGGCATTGCCAGTGTCCCCTGAGGGCAAAGTGAACTGCAATTGGAAACCACTGTGATGACAGATTAGATAGATAGATAGATAGATAGATAGATAGATAGATAGATAGATAGATAGATAGATAGAGATATGGTTTGGACGTGTCCCCACCCAAATCTTATCTTGAATTTTAGCACCCATAATTCCCAACTCTTGTGGGAGGGACTTGATTGGAGATAATTGAATCAACAGGCAGTTTCCCCCATACTGTTCTTGTGATAGTGAATAAGTCTCAGGGGATCTGATGTTTTAATAAGAAGAAACCCTTTCTCTTAGCTCTCGTTCTTTCTCTTAGCTGCTGCCAAGTAAGATGTGTCTTTTGCCTTCCTCCGTGATTGTGAAGCCTCCCCAGCCATGTGGAACTGTGAGTCCATTAAACCTCTTTTTCTTTATAATTTACCCCACCTCAGGTATGTCTTTATCAGCAGTGTGAAAATGGACTAATACAAATGGATAGATAGATAAATAGATAATTAACAGATATATAGATAAATAGTAATAATGATGACCAAATAGATGATAGAGGGATAGATATATCGATGATAGATAGATGACGAATATGTGGACAAAAACATAGAGAGATAAATAAATAGATAATAGACAAGCACACAGAGTCTTTCATGCTAAGGCAGGATTTTGCAGTTGAGCTGGCACTGCTGACATTTGGGGGTGGATGATTCTCTGTGGTGGGGGTGTCCTGTGCACTGTAGGGTGTCGAGTAACATCTTGGGCTCCAACCACCAGGAGTTAGTGAGACCACTCAGTTGTGACACCGAAAAATATCTCCAGACATTGCCAAGTGTCCCCTGGCATGGAACAAAATCTCCCTACCTTGGAGACCATTATTCCACAACTCATAGAGCTCTCTCACTCATCATACACAGCATTTGTGTGACCATTTTTATTGTTTCTCAAAATTATGACCTGATTGTCTCAATTGTTTTGATAAAATTGACGTTGTGAATGTCTCCAAGAGTCTTAGGTTCATTTCCCACCTTAGAAACAAAATAAAGGCCAGGTGCAGTGGCTCACACCTGTAATCCCAGAACTTTGGGAGGCCGAGACAGGCCAGTCACTTGAGGTCAGGAGTTTGTGACCAGCTTGGCCAACATAGTGAAACCCTGTCGCTACAAAAAAAATACAAAAATTAGCTGGGTCTGGTGTCCCATGACTATAATCTCAGCTACTTAGGAGGCCAAGGCAGGAGAATCACTTGAACCTGGAAGACAGAGGCTGCAGCGGGCTGAGATCTCACCACTGTACTCCAGCCGGGATGATAGAGTGAGGCTCTGTCTCAAAAACAAACACAAAAACAAAAAACAAAATAAGGTGAGTCCCTATCCATTTCATTTTGAAGAATTTTCTACATTTCTTATTTTAATTTTGCATGACCACAAACACATCTAATTCAGGTTTGTACTTGAATGTGTGTTGATGGAAGAATTAAAAAATAGCACTTAGCAAATTTCACAAAGCCCACACATGTTACACAGCTATGTAGGTTAATCAAACTTCCTTAAAAATTTCAAACTAATTATATGTATCTACCCTCTTTTTGCACACCAAAGAACATGCTTCCAGGAAAGCCATGCAACCCAATTTCAGATATTATTGTCAGTGCTGAAATTGATCTAATTTCTTCCAGGATGAAAGAAGTCCACTGCATGTGCCTTGGTCCTACAGTTAAATCTGCATGGCCATTTCCATACCAATTGGTTGGGCATATCTTCTGACCACAAAGGATGGTTAGGATCTGGGAATAATTGACTCAATCCACTGTGGATCTCCAGATTGAGTTATTTAATGCATAAAGCAACACCTTCTGCAACCTACCAACTCAGGTGTATATTTATCAACTACGTGTATGCATGGTCTCTATGTTACAGAGTTGAGTTAGACATAGCTTTACTAGTTGTGGAAACATTATTCACAAAGGAAGACTTTCAATATGGTTGCATTGAAAATTCAGGGACTTTGGAAAAATCACGTACTCTCCAATTTTATTCCTGTCTAAATGTCACTTAAATGAAGACAGAGCCATTGAGCAACCCCTCACAAGGGAAAGTAATCTCATTTTTGCACTGAATAACTATTGGATGCTTGCTGGGCTCAAAAAGTGTTTGATCCTCAAAGAATTCTGATGTTATAACTTTGAATATTCATGCTCTTTTACTAGGTTGTTAGTACATAAAATAAAGTAGTATTTTACCCAAAACCTGTGTTCAAAGATTTTGTTATCTTTTTTAATGCAAGAAAACACACGCATACATACACACATACTTACCTAATACATACACACACACATATATATATATACACATACACATATATATATACACATACCTATATGTGTACGCAAATATACATATGTGTGTTTGCATTTAGGCACTTATGTGTATTTTTTTCTTGCGTTAAAAAGGGATAGCATAGGCCAGGCGCTGTGGCTCACTTCTGTAATCCCAGCACTTTGGGAGGCCGAGGAGGGCAAATCACGAGGTCAGGAGATTGAGACCATCCTGGATAACACAGTGAAACGCTGTCTCTACTAAAAAAAAATTCAAAAAAATTAGCTGGGCGTGGTGGTGGGTGCCTGTAGTCCCAGCTACTCAGGAGGCTGAGGCAGGAGAATGGCATGAACCCAGGAGGAGGAGCTTGCAGTGAGCGGAGATCGAGCAACTGCACTCCAGCCTGGGTGACTGAGCAAGTCTCTGTCTCAAAAAAAAAAAAAAAAAAAAAAAGGATAGCATATATATTGGTAAATTGGCAAAGAGCAATCTAAATACAGAATGAAAAATATAAAATGAAGATAAATCACAAGAATTCCTATACAGCAATAATAGGCAAACAGTGAGCTAAATCATGAGTGAACTCCCATTCACAATTACTACAAAAAGAATAAAAAATAAAAAATAAAAAAAGAATAAAATACCTAGGAATCCAACTTACAAGGAATTTGAAGGACCTCTTTAAGGAGAAGTACAAACCGCTGCTCAATAAAATAAAAGAGGGCACAAACAAATGGAAGAACATTCCATGCTCATGGATAGGAAGAATCAATATCATGAAAATAGCCATATTTATAGATTCAATGCCATCCCCATCAAGCTACCAACGACTTTCTTCAGGGAATTGGAAAAAACTACTTCAAAGTTCATATGGAGCCAAAAAAGAGCCCTCATAGCCAAGACAATCCTAAGCAAAAAGAACAAAGCTGTAGGCATCATACTACCTGACTTCAAACTACTCTACAAGGCTACAGCAACCAAAACAGCCTGGTACTGGTACCCAAACAGATGTATAGACCAATGGAATAGAACAGAGGCCTCAGAAATAACACCATACATCTACAACCATCTGATCTTTGACAAACCTGACAAAAACAAGAAATGGGGAATGGATTCCCTATTTAATAAATGGTGCTGGGAAAACTGGCTAGCAATATGTAGAAAGCTGAAACTGGATCCCTTCCATACACCATACACAAAAATTAACTCAAGATGGATTAAAGACTTAAATGTAAGACCTAATACCATAAAAACCCTAGAAGAAAACCTAGGCAATACCATTCAGGACATAGGTATAGGCAAAGACTTGATGAATAAAACACAAAAGCAATGGCAACAAAAGCCAAACCAGACAAATGGGATCTAATTAAACTAAAGAACTTCCATACAGCAAAAGAAACTATCATTGGAGTGAACAGGCAACCTAGAGAATAGCAGAAATTTTTTGCAATCTACCCATCAGACAAAGGGCTAATATCCAGACTCTACAGAGAACTTAAACAAATTTACAAGAAAAAAGCAAACAACCCCATCAAAAAGTGGCAAAGGATATGAACAGACACCTCTCAAAAGATGATATTTATTCAGCCAACAGACACATGAAAAAAGGCTCATCATCACTGGTCATCAGAGAAATGCAAGTCAAAACCACAATGAGATACATTCTCATGCCAGTTAGAATAGTGGTCATTAAAAAGTCAGGAAACAACAGATGCTGGAGAGGATGTGGAAAAATAGGAATGCTTTTGCACTGTTGGTGGGAGTGTAAACTAGTTCAACCATTGTGGAAGACAGTGTGGTGATTCCTCAAGGATCTAGAATTAGAAATACCATTTGACCCAATGAGCTCATTACTGGGTATATACCTAAAGGATTATAAATCATGCAGCACTATTCACAATAGCAAAGTTTTGGAACCAACCTGAATATACATCCAGGATAGACTGGATTAAGAAAATATGGCATATACACACCATGGAATACTATGCAGCCATAAAAAAGGATGAGTTCATGTCCTTTGCAGGAACATGGATGAAGATGGGAACCATTATTCTAAGCAAGCTATCACAAGGACAGAGCACCAAATACTGCATGTTCTCACTCACAGATGGGAGTTGAACAATGAAAGCACATGGACACAAGGTGGGGAACTTCACACACCGGGGCCTGTCAGGGTATGGGAAGCTGGGGAAGGGATAGATAATTTCTAATTATATTTACATTGGGAGAAATACATAATGTAAATGACAAGATGATGGGTGCGGCAAACCAACATGGCACATGTATACCTATATAACAAACATGCACATTGTGCACTTTTACCCTAGAACTTAAAGTATAATTATAATAAAAAAGGAAAATAAGTTCTTAGGTTGTCTGCTAAGGGGTGAGCACAGAGTTTATTCTATCAGTTCAACTAATAGTCAACTAATAGCTATTACTAATGCTGAGTGGGTTGAGGCATCTCTTCCTTTCACCTGCTTTCCAATGAAGTCTGTGGTGTTCTTTATAATTGGCTAGCCACATGGAGGTCTATGGCCTATAAAGGGATCAATGATAATGTCCTTAGAACTAGGCTATTATCCCAGACTGCCTAGACACCAATTCTTCCAGTGTCTCAAAATGAAAATGAGCACATGCTTGTAATATTCTCTGCTTTGGAACCTAAAAGTTGGCTTTTGATATGGATTTTTTTAATGAAAAACTTCAGCCAAACAACTTGTAGGTTACATGTCACTTTGTAAACAAGTGTGCTAGGTGGAAGAGCTGGAATTAAACAGATTCAATCCTTTATCTATGGGACATCTCAGAATTTTATAAATTCAGCTATGTCTGAGGAAACCATCAAAGCATAAACTAGAGCATTGAACACAATCAGGGATGGGTCAAATGTATAAACTCTTTGATTTTGGGAAATAGCTCTATATAGCCCTCATATTATGAAGGCAAACTGTATCTAATTTGGCCAAAAGTAAGTGAAAGAGCTCTCATGCTCTGATGGATGATGTAAAAGATGGCTGATGTGGAATGTGTGCAAACATCTTAAGTTCTTGGTGCTCTTCCCAACATTGTCTTCTGAGTTATGTTTAGTCTGAGACATATGATTAAACTGTTACTTTGCCTGTATACTTCTCTGTCTTGGACATATGTACCCCCAGGTGCTCTAAATATGCCCAGGACAGGTGGGGAGGCCAACAACTATCTGCATTCTGCTGCCAGATTAATCTTATGAAAATACCACTTTGATCAACTTAAGGTAGGAAAAGCCCTTAATCACCCTCCTGCACCAACAGGAAGAAATAAACACTACACAATCCATCATTTAAAGCCCACGGTACTAAGGCTTCAATACCTCTTTTAAATTATCCTCCATTTCTTTCCAAACAAATATTTCCCCAGGAAAGTTGCCTATCATTGTTTATAAAGACTGCCTCTTAACTAGACTTGGACTTGAGAAAGAGACAAGCTAAGTGAAATCAACATCTCCTTATAGGAATGCATGAACTGAATGGGCTTTTATATTCTTATAAGATTTCCCCCCCTTTTTCCCCTAAAGTTTCAATGAATGGAAGTGAACTCCTGTGACTATCTTACCACAGCACGGAAGAATTTAATACAAAGGTTACTTGTGTTGGCTTCTCTTCAAGAGGGTTTATTGTTGAAATGTCAAAACAATTTCCTATAAGATTATTTCAGCTGGAAGTCAAGCCTTTGATGATACAATCACATTGTTGTACCTATCCAGAAGTCTCATGGCTGGGATGAGGCAAGCAGTGAGGAAGTCATGTAAAGAATCAGGGATTGTCAGTACAGTTCAGAAACAGAGAGACTCTGGAGAGCCAGAGAACATGAGTAGGAAGCTTGTACCTATGGTTGTGAGGTCTGCAGTTGCTAACAGTCCTGAAGACAAAACCAGAGCCCACCCGTATTTTAGAACAGGAGCATCATTCATCATCAAAATATCTTCAGGTGGGGGCTAAAGTAACCCCACCTTGAATGCTAATCCACCATGTTGACTTCTGATTGACCCTAGTTCTGGGCAGGCCTCTAAGATTTCTATTCTATCTACTGTTCCTTGTGTTAAGAGAATGTCCTTGCCATAAATCCTGCCCACAAAACAATCATCCTATACACCCCTTACCCCATGGTATATAAGCCCTGGGTTATTTGGCAGTAATGGTATAGAAATCCACTTGACCTGTCTGCCACACAAGACACAAACATGGGTTCTGTTTCTAAGTACCAATTAAGTGTTTTTTTGTTTGTTTGTTTGTTTTTCTAAGAAACTAGATGTGTCAGCTTATTTCTTTGGCATCTCAGCTTTCTTGGGCTTTTGGGGATAGGTTTGCACAGACTTGCCCATTATGGATGAGGTGTTTGGGAACACCTCATCCCAAAATTCAAGCCAGGAGGACAAAAGGTGAAGACAGTATCAGAGATGCAAAACCCAACCACCAAACCAATAGTCTAGTCCACCAAGAGATATCCCATTAACCCACAAACCCAGAAAGGTTTAGGTAAGACATTTGGGCTGAGAGGTGAGTGTCTCATGTTAAGGTCAACTATGTGTAATGGCACATCTGCAGAATAATGCCAGTCAAAGTGTGCACTGCCTTCTGCTCTGAAGTCCATACAGTCAGGGGACATTACATCCATTCTCTCCGTCCAATGTGAGCTGAGTTCCTCCATGATCTAACCCTATCACATCACCTTCATCTTCTTGTCTGATTGTCTGATTGTTATGAACAATCAGAACAAGCCTCATGAAGTTAATCATGGTCTATGTAGCAGCAATAGCCCCAAGCCCCAACCTCCTCCAGACCCTCCAAAACACCTAGGATGGAGACCATGAATTCTCATTAACTTATTCCAGCAAATTCAAGATATTCCAATGGACATGCCCATCTTGAACACATGGGCAAATGAACACTGTTAGATCCTGGAGTTGTTTAGCATAAAATACAGAAAATTTGCCTTTACCTAGGAGATAGAACTTTGAAAATAAAAGGAGCTCTGAAGATGAACCAGGATTCATTCCATCATTTCTCCAAATGAGGACTCTAACACCAACAGGGTTAACAAGTGAGTCTTGGTGATATTGCTTGATCAGAGACAAGCCAGGAGAAATTCTCCAGAAATCCTGTCAGCTCCTAAACAGCTCTTGGAGATCCAACTCTATTACACTATAGGACTGGTATTTCTTGAGGGCTGTTAGGGGGAAAGCCGATGTAACTGTTGTGGCTAACAAGCATGACTCATTGGGTGTAATCACAAAGCAATTTTATTTTGTCTCTTACTAGCTCTTTCATATATATTCACTGGGGCTTAGAGAGTAGGGAGAGTTTTGTTGGCCTCTGGAGGAAATGACAGCCAGCCCCATAACTTTTCTTTAAGCACATGCTCTCTTTCTCCCTCCCTCTTTCCTTCCTTCCCTCTCTTTCCTTTTCTCCTCTCTTTCTCCATCCCTTCCTTCCTCTGTTTATCCATTTGTTCCTCTCTGTATGGCTCTCTGTCCTTCTTTCTCTTTCTCCCTTACCCTCTTCTCTTTCTCTCTTTTACTTTCTCCTCCTCCTACTCCTTCTATCTCTCTGTCTTTCTCCTTCCTCCATTCGTATATCTCTAACTATCTCATCTCTCTCTCCCAGTCTGCACTCCCTCTCCCTTATCTCTTCTCTCTTTCTCCATTTCTCCTTTCTATTTACCATTCCTTCCTCTTTCTCTCTCACCGTCTTTCCCTCTCTTTCTCTTCCTTACTTCTCTTTCTCCCCTCTGCTTCCTATTTTTCTTTCTTTCTCTCTCCTTCTCCTCCTTCTTTTTCTCCCCTTCCCTCCCCTCTCTCTTTCTTTGTTTGGTCCTTTTTATATTTTTCCATTTCCCCCCTTCTTATTCTCTCCTTTCCTCTCTCTTTCTTCCTCTTTTTCTCTCTTTCTGACTCTGCCTCACTCTTCCTCCCTCCTTTCATTTTTTCCTTTCTCCTTTCCTTTCCTTTTCTTCCCTTTCTCTCTCCTTCCCTCCCTTCCTTTCTTCCTTCCTTCCCTTCTTCCTTCCTTCCTCTCTCTTCTTTCATCCCTCTGTCTTTCTCCTTTCTTCTCTCTTCCTTCCTTTCCTTGTCTCCCTCTCTCTTCCTCCATTCTTCTCTCTCCCCTTCCCTTAATTTTTTCCCTCCCTCCATACAAAAGGTGTGTGTCCTATCAGCATCTTCCACATCCACTTGGGAATCATTAAGTCAGAGGAGGATATTAAGAGAAGGCAACTTTGAGCTTCTTTTCATTCCACCCAGTGGCATAGGCCCAAGTGCAGGAGGAGAGGAAACCTGCTTGGCTCATGTGACGAGCTCTTTCTAGTGTAACTGTAGCAATGATAGATAGAAGTCCTTATTTCTCCCCAAGCCCCCTGTAGACATTGCAGCAGGTTCCTAACCCAGTGGGAAGGGACATGCATGACTTACTCTTCAAAGGCTTCAAAGTCATCATCTAGGAGACCCTGAGAAGGATGGGCTGAGAAACAATGAACTCTGAGCTGTTATGCAATATCAGGGTTGCTTATGTAGCCCTATGGAGGCTGCACAAATTTCTGGCTACATTCGCCTGTGACCTTGCAGTTTTTGTCATCTTATGCTATGACTGGGGGTTGCAGCTGCTGGATGTAAGTACAGCCAAAAATACCAACATTGACACTCACAGGCCGCTGAGGACCTTAAACCATAACATCTCTGGCTGCTGGTGTAGGTATTGTGCCTTATCAAGGAAGGGGCATCATTTCAGTGGCCTGAACAGAAGTTCAACTAAGTTTCAATGGGCTAAAATAAGGGTCTCTGCAAGAATGGTTCTTCTGGATGCTCCACGAATGAATCTATTTTCTTGCTTTTTCCAGCTTCTAGAGGTTGCTGTATTCCTTGGCTTGTGGTGCCTTCTTCCTTCTTCCACCATGCCAACTTCTACTCTCCTTGTCACATCTCCTTTTTCTCTTTCTCTGAATCCAAGTCTTCCTTCTATAAGAAGCATTGAGAATACATTGAACCCACCCAAACAATCCAGAATAATCTCCCCATCTCAAGATTTTTAACTTGATCCCATCTGCAAAGTCAGCTTTACCACATAAATCAACATATTCATTGGACATGGACACCTTTGGGGCCATTATCCTGTCTACCACATGAGGATTAAGATATGGACATCTCTGGGGCCATTATTCTGTCTATTACATGGGGATTAGGATGCAGACATCTTTGGAGACATTATTTTGTCCACCACATGCAGATTAGAATGTGGACATCTTTGGGACCATTAGTCTGTCTACCACATGGGGATTAGAATGAGGACATCTCTGGAGGCATTATTCTGTCTCCGACATAAGGATTAGGATATAGACATCTTTGGGCACAATATTCTGTCTATATGGGGATTAGAATGTGGACATTTTGGGGGCCATTTTTTTTTCTGTCTACTGCACAGGGATTAAGACATGGACATTTTGGGGTGGCCATTATTCATCTGACCACAATGGGAGAGTTTTCCTGCTGAGTTAGTATTCATTCCTGCATTGCAGTGAGGCTAAGACCAAGGAGATTTTTCTCTTCTAAAAATATGACCTGAAGACATCCAACTCTTTTTCCTGAGGAGCAATCTCAGATGCACCTTCAAGGAGAGCCCCAATTCCTCTCAAGCACTGATGGAGACTGCCCTAGGTGAAGGTGAAGAAAATTTGACATAGGGGAGAAAAAGAATGTCTTAATATCTGTGGTTTTTAACAAAGACAGGGTACACATTTTCTCTTTGTTTTTCTAACTTTAGATGAATATTAATGGGATAAAAGTGCAACTTTTTTACATGCATAGATTGCATAATGATCAAGGCAGGGTTTTTAGTAATCCATTTCATTGTACCCATTAACTAATTTTTCATAATTCTCCTCCCACCTCCTTACGCTTTTGAGTCTCCATCATCTCATTCCATTCTTTTCATCCACATATAACATATTTTAACTTCCACTTATGAGTGAGAACATGTGACATTTGTCTTTCTGGGTCTGGCTTTGTCCACTTAGGATAATGGCCTCCAGTTCCATCCAAGTAGCTACAAAAGACATAGCTTTATTTTTCTCACGGTGGAATAGTATTCCATTTTGTGTACATGTACCATATTTACTGTATCCAATCTGCCATTGATAGACACTTCCATTGATTCCGTATCTTTGTTATTGTGAATGGTACTGCAATAAACATACAAGCACAGGTATCTTTTTGATACAATGATTTATTTTCCTTTGGGTAGATACCCAGTCGTGGGATTGCTGGATGGAATAGTACTTTTATTTTCAGTTCTTTGAGAAATCTCCATATTGTGTTCCATAGAGGTTGTACTAACTTACATTCACACCAGCAAAGGATACCCATTTTAGATGCTTAATATCCTCAGAAACTTGTTAACAAAAGGACATTCACAACCATCAAATTTGAGTATTATTCCATGACTGGATTCATGTTATCAGCAGCATTTATGCCAATATTTGGGCCTATGATCAACCTCTGATGAGTTATATCAAACTATGTTGGGATGTAACTGATGAAGAAAATAGGATGAAAGATTAATGCTCAGCCCAGGAAGCAGTTTAGCCATGGGGTTGATTGAATTCACCATTGTGAGAGCTGCAGGTGAACTGCCCACCTCCAGCTATAGAGAAACATAAAATGAAGATACTATTACAATTGGGAATAATTGCGCCATTGTGGTGATTTTGTCTCCTCTTCTGAGGGACCACTTGATACCTTGTTTTACTCCTTAGGTCTCTCCTTGCCTTACCTGGACCTGTTCACTTCTGTAGACCTGGAGGTAAAGAATTTAACCTTGTTCAAGGAGAGGTGTGGGCTTTGGCCTTGGCTGGAATTTAACCTTGCTCAGAGAGAGGTCTGGGCTTTTGCATTGGCTCTAGAACTTGACATCTAAGCCTTTGGAATGGGTGCCAAACAAAGACAGGAGTGTATTTGTTTCTGTAGGGGTGTTGGTTCACACTGGGCAGTCTAACAATGTGATTTGGAGTGAGGGTAGCCACATCCATTAGTAACAATGGGATTCAGGTTCCATGGTATTGGTAGACCTTCAGTGAGGCTGGAGAATGATCAGCCACATAGACAATTAGTCAATCACAATGAAGCCTCTGTAAACACTGAACCCCAAGGCTCAGGTGATATGCCCGGTGATATAGTTTGGATATGCTTCAAATCTCATGTTGAAATGTGATTCCCGAGGTTGGCAGTGGGACATGGTTGGAGGTGATTGGATCCTGCGGGTGGATTTTTCAGGAACGGTTTAGCACTATTCCCCTTGGTACTGTCCTTGTGATAGTGAGTGTGTCCTCATGAGATCTGGTCATTTAAAAGTGTCTAGCCCCTCCTCATTCTCTCATTCCTGCTTCCACCATGTGAGACAACTGCTCCCCCTTCACCCCTACCATGACTGAAAGCCTCCTGAGAAGCAGATGCTGGCATCCTGCTTCCTGTACAGCCTGCAGAATTGTGAGCAATTAAACCTCTTTTCTTTATAAATTACCCAGACTCCATTTATTCTTTATAACAAGGCAGGAATAGACTACTACACCCAAGTTGGCAATACTTCATGCATGTTGTCATATATTGATGCCTAGAAACCAACACTTCTCTGACTCCAAGGGGAGAGGATAATAGAAGCTCTGTTTGGTACTTGGCTTGGACCTCTATCCCATGCACCTCTTTCATTTGCTGACTGTGATCTGTCATCCTCTCACTGTAATAAACCACAAATGTGAGTGTAACAGCTTCCAGTGAGTTCTGTCAGTCCTTCTAGGGAACTGTCAAACTTGAGGGTAGTTTTGGGAACTCCTCTCAACCTGCAACTGGTGTCCAAAGTGAGAGTGGTCTTGTGGAAGAGCCCCCTCCTCTGAGAGCTCACTTTCTTGCTTGTTTTACTGGCCTTATGATATCTCTCTGCCTTGGCTGACCCAAGTAGTGTGTTAGTCCTTCAGAAGGACAGCCGTCTAGGGAAGGTGGTTCACACCTATAATCCCAGCATTTTGGAAGGCCAAAGTGGGAGGATCACCAGAGCTCAGGAGTTCGAGACCATCCTGAGCAATATAGTGAAACCCTGTCTCTACAAAAATAAAAATAAAAATATTAGCCAGGCATGATTGCACACACCTGTAGTCCCAGTTACTTGGGAGGCTGAGGTGGAAGGATCACTTGAGCCCATGAGTTTGAGTCTGCAGTGACCTATGATTACACCACTGTACTCCAGCCTGGGTGACAACAGAGTGAAACCATCTCTAAGACATAAAGAAAGAACTAAAAGAGAAAAGAAAAGAAGGAAGGCAGGAAGGAAGGAAGAAAGGAAGGAAGGAAGGAGTGAGGGAGGGAGGGAGGGAGGGAAAAAAGAAAGAAGGGAGAGAGAGGGAGAAAGAGAAGGAAGGAGAGTAGGAAAAAGGAAGGAAGGAATGAAGAGAGGAAAGAAGAGAAAGAAGAAAGAATGAAGGAAGATAAAAAGACAGAAAGAAGGGAGAGAGGGAGGGAGGGAAGGAAAGTACAAAAAAGAAGGAAGAAAGAAGGAAGGAAGGAAGGAAAAAAGAGAAAAAGAAAGACAGAAAGAAAGAGAGAAAGAAAGGAGAGAGGAAGGAAGGAAGGAAGGAAGGAAGGAAGACAGAGAAAAAAAGAAAGAAACAAACAAACAAAGAGAAAGAAAAAAGAGAGAAAGAAAGAGAGAAAGAAAGAAAGGAAAAGAAAGAAAGAGAGAAAGAAAGAAAGAAAGAAAGAAAGAAAGAAAGAAAGAAAGAAAGAAAGAAAGAGAAAGAAAGAAGGAAGGAAAGGAAGGAAGGAAGGAAAGGAAGGAAGGAAGGAAAGAAAGAAAGAGGGGGAATAGAGAAGTCCATCATGGTGTGTTTGCAAGCCCTTTGCTTTTCTACCTGCCCTGTCTGTCTTTAATGAAATAACTCTTTTGGTCAGGATCTGAGCCATGAGTATGCTGCAGTTAGCTAAACCAAGACTTCCCTTCCACATTGTGCTGGCAGCGATCCCACAGACGACTGTGGGGCCCAAGAAAGACAGGTGAGTTAATATCACTCTCTATCCTTACCAGGAACCAGGGCCTGATACAGGCATCAGCTCTGGAGGTTCAGGCAGAATACTTTGCCAAGAGAAATCACACCTAGAATTTGGCCTGGAAAACCTCTATACTTGTTTCTGACTCTTTGAATGTTATCATGAAAATATTTTCTAGCCATATTCCAACAATAGAATATTATCCAGCCTTAAAAAAGAAAGAAGCTTTGACACACACTGCAGTGTGGATGAACCTTGAAAACACTAAGCTCAGTGAAAGAAACTCTTCACCAAGGACCACATATGGTATGATTCCATTGATAGGAAATGTTCAGAATAAGCAAATCCATAGACAGAAAGCAGATTAGTAGTTGCCAAGGGATGTGGGATCAGGAGTAATTGGAGAAATTGCAAGGATAGCTAAAGAGTGTGGAATTTCTTGTTGAATTGATGAGAATGTTCTAAAGTTGATTGTGGTGATTGCTGCACAGCTATGAACGTCCTAAAAATGATTGCTTTGTATACTTTAAATGGGAGAACTGGGCCGGATGTGGTAGCTCACACCTGTAATCCCCGTACTTTGGGAGGCTGAGGTGGGAGGATCACCTGAGCCCAGGAGTTTAAGGCCAGCCGGGGCAATATAGCAAGACCCAAAAACAACAAAATTAGGCAAGCATGCTGGCACATGCTGGTAGTTCCAGCTTCTTGGTAGGCTGAGGTGGGGGGATCACTTCAGTCCAGGATGTTGAGGCTGCAGTGAGCCATAATCGTGCCACTGCCCTCTAGCCTGGATGACAGAGTAAGAACACATGGACATAGGAAGGGGAACATCACACACCGAAGCCTGTTGTGGTGTGGGGAGAGGGGGGAGGGATAGCATTAGGAGATATACCTAATGTTAAATGACAAGTTAATGGGTGCAGCACACCAGCATGGCACATGTATACATAGGTAACAAACCTGCACATTGTGCACATGTACCCTAAAACTTAAAGTATAATAAAAAATAAAAATAAAAAATAAAATAAAATAAAAATAAGAAATAAATGGGTGAATTGTGTGGTATGCAAATTATATCCCAAAATAGCTGTTTCAAAAAAAAACATAATGAGCCTTTCTTCTCCTCTGTCCATACTAGTTACTGAGCCCTATCTGTCTCTGGACATCAGACGCCACATCTCTCCTCCTAGGTGCTCTCACACACTGCAATTTTCTGCCACAAACCACAAAACTGCCTAGGATTGCCAAATGTATGCTCATTTATACATAATTTACACTCCATGTACTTCCACATAGAATCAAAGGATTTGATGTGGCTTATAATAAAATCACATGAACATACGGTTGCTAAAACTAAGTGTCAAGAAACACCACAAAGCAGGTATGAAAAAAGAGAGACAATTTTTTTCTGGAGCCTAAAGAAATTCTCATCATAATCTTCTAAGCCTCCTAAAACTACAAACCTGAAAATCCCCTGGTTCTTCCCATATTATTGAGGTTTACAGATGTTTCCTTGAGATATCAAGGACACTGTGCTTCCCATTGCAAAATGTTTAAAATTTCCGCAAAGCTGACCTGTATATTTACATAGTAAAAAATATTTAACACCCTTTATGTCCTTCCCTGGAATAAAATCTCACAACTCCCTCTAACTTGTGGAATTAAATGCAAGTTCATGCAAGAAATGAATTCCAAATGAATCTTGGAAATTATCAATGATTTAACTTTAATCATTAAAGTTAAAAACTTTTAATATCTTAAAAGTTATTAAACATGCCTTCATGTCGCAGCTGTGAATCTTCTTGTTACAAAATTATCAATGATTTATAACAATGCATCTTGAAAGTTATTTAATGCATGCCTTCATGTTGCAGCTGAAAAAAAATGATGCCAACAGAAATGACTTTCATAAAGACAGATAGCTAACAAAATACAGAGCAGAGATATCAGCCTGGATCTACCACACTTTCACTACATCCTTGTGAGTTATTTCAACTTGACACCAAACATTTTCTAACTTGAGTGAAGACTACATTAGAAATAATGCTTAAAGAGCATTTAAAAGCAAATTCAATTATGTTATTTGTGTCCATTTACGGGGTACAATGCAATTTTCTTACAGGCATAGATTGCATAGTGGTGAAGTCAAGGCTTTTAGGGCATCCATCATGTGAGTAATGTACTTCGCACCCATTAAGTCATTTCTCATGCATCCTATCTTCCCACTCCTTCACCTTTCTCAGCACTTGTCATCATAGCTAACAATTTAATTTTTGTTTAATGGAGATTGTTTGGTCAGTCCCAGGCATATAATAAGAAATATTTGTCCTAATTTTGATAATATAAAGCAGTCATGGTTTAAGACCTGCTTCTTAGTTTTTTCAGCTACTATAGCAGATTATCATAAACTGAGTTGCTTATAAACAGAAATATATTGCTTACAGTTATAGAAGCTGGGAAGTCCAAGATCAAGGTGTGGCAGATTCAGTGTCTGGTGGGGACCCACTTCCTGGTTCATAGATGGCACCTTCTTGCTGTGACGTCACATGGTGGAAGGAGTGAGGGAGCTCTCTGGGGTCCCTTTTATAAAGACACTAGTCCCATTCATGAGGCTACACCACCTTATGAGTCTCAGAGGACTCAACCATAACACCATACTTGGCCAATAACTTAGACTTATCTTTTGCTGGTGAGGGTACTACTTTTGTTTGCTACAGTTGCTTCAAAGTTTCACAGACTTGGAGGCTTAAAAATCAGAAATATGTCTTTTTATGTATCTGAAGGCTGGAAATCTGAGATCAAGGTGTAGGCAGAGCTGGTTGCTCTTGAAACCTCTCACCTCAGCTTGCAGACATAATCTTTTCCATGTGTCTTCACGTGGTTGTCCCTCTATGTGTGCCTTTGTCATTTCCTTTTCTTATAAGGATACCAGTTCTATTGGATCAGGGCCCACTCTAGTGACCTCATTTTACTCTAAGTACCTCTTGAAAGACCCTGTGTTCAAATGCAGTCATTTCAGTCATAGCATCTTGAACCGTATCTTTAAATCAGGTCCTGGGGTTTAGGCTTCAATGTATAAATTTAGCAGGGACACAAGTCAGTCCATAAGTGGTAGGTAGGGAGGTAGAGCAGTGAATGAACAGCGTTTCTACTGGAAATGCCCCAAGAAGAAAGGTGATGTTTGCCATTGTCCTTCTAGGTCACCTCTCCTAGATTCTAGCACCTTTCTGTGGTCACACCAACTGATGGGCTAGAGAGTCACCAGTTACAAGCTAGATAAATGCTGTACTTAGACCAGGTCTTTATGATACAAAATAATAGACGACTGTGGATGTTTAAATTATTGTGTCCAACCTCTACATGGTCTCCCACAATGAAAGTGATTCTGAGCCCTTTGAAGCTCCAGAATCCATGGCTAGACCTTCATGTAGGGATTGGTGTCATCCAATCAGATTTAGGAGAAAAGAGTGAGGTCCCTGCAGAAGAGGGACTGCAGCCTCCAATGCCTTCAGACTCAAGCTGCAACATCAGTCCTTCCCTGGGTCTCCAGCTTGCAGGTGGCTCTCATCCATTCTTTCTGACTGCTGTGTAATATTTCATAGTGTGAATAGTCAATTGTAGGAATCAGAATTCAAAGATGGCTGCCAAGACTTTGGGCCCTGATGAGCACACAGATTGTTCAGTCAAACATGAATCTGGGTGTTACTGTGATGGGATTTTGCAGACATCGTTAATGTTCCAAATAAGTGGACCCTAAGAAAGGGAGCTTGACCTAATCACATGAGCTATCTAAACCTGGGCCTAGAGTCAGACACAGGGAAGTCAGACATCCAAAGTAGCAGTGAAATTCCCCTGATGACTTTGCAGATAAAAAAACTGCCATGTTGTGGAAAGGGCCATGGGGCCACTACCTGTAGAAGCTGAGAATGGCTCTGGCTAACAGCTAGAAACATGTTGGAGACACACTCCTTCAGCCTCTAGGAACTCAATTCTGCCAACAACCAGGGAGCTGAGAAGAAGGCACCCAGCTTCAGATGACACTGCAACCCTGACAACACATGATTTCAGCCTGGGGAGACCCTCAGTAGAGAACTCAGCCAGGACATGTTCAGATATCTAATGTATAGCACTCTGAGATGATAAATGGGGATTGTTTCAAGCCACCAAGTTTATAATTTGTTATGTAGTAGTAAAAAATACACACAACCAATGTGGTGATTCCTCAAAGATCTGGAACCAGAAATACCATTTGATCCAGCAATATCATTACTGGGTATATACCAAAAGGATCATAAATCATTCTGTTACAAAGATACATGTGTGCATATTACTATTCACAATAGCAAAGACATGGAATCAATCCAAATGCCCATCAATGATAGACTGAATAAAGAAAACATGGTACATATAAACCATGGAATACTATGCAGCCATGAAAAGGAATTGTCCTTTGCAGGGACATGGATGGAGCTGGAAGCCATTATCCTCAGCAAATGAATGCAGGAACAGAAAACCAAACATGGCATGTTCTCACAAGTGGGACAGAAACAATGAGAATGGACACAAGGAGGGGAACAATATATACTGGGAACTATTGGGGGAGCAGGGGGAGGGAGAGCACCAAGAAAAATAGTTAACACATGCTGGGCTTAATACCTAGGTGTTGGGTTGATAGGTGCGGCAAACCACCATGGCACACATTTACCGATGTAACAAACCTGTACATCCTCCACATGTACCCTAGAAATCAAAATTAAAATTAAAATTAAAAAAGAGAAAATGCATAAAAGCATAAAAAAGTCTACCAGTCTGTCTGCTGGACCTATCTAATAAATCTAGTATTATAAGAAGATCCATAGATTTTTCAAGCCATCTAAGAGTATTTTGTAAATCATGGCTTGGTGCCCGAGACTATTGTGTTCTTTCAGAAGTTCAGATTTTGGCTTGTTATTTGATTGAGGAAAACTTCTACTATTCACCTGCTTTATATTGTTAATTTAGACTTGAGTATCAGTAAAGTATATCAGTTTCTGAAGGGCATGTGGCATGTGAGGAAACTTTTTCTGCAGACATGAGATCTCATTACATTGCCTAGGTTGGTCACGAAATCCTGAGCTCAAGCGATCCTCCCACCTGAGTTTCCCAAAGTGTTGGGATTAGAGGCATGAACCAGTGCACCCAGCCAAGATAACTTTTGAGGTGACTTATAAGAGGCTGTGGAAGAATTTTATTTTAGAATTGTCTATTTTATTTATTTCTGAATTATCACTATTATTATTATAATCATTATTATTTTGTATTTGGTAAGGTTATATTTGATTTTGTAAATATGTTTATATTCCATATGTTTTATAAAGGGAAAACTGGCTGGGCTCAGTGGCTCAAGCCTGTAATCCCAGAACTTTCGGATGTCAAGGCAGGAGGATCACAAGGTCAGGAGATTGAGACCATCCCAGCCAACATGGTGAAACCCCGCCTCTACTAAAAATACAAAAAGAAATTAGCTGGGCATCGTGATGGGTGCCTGTAGTCCCAGCTATTCAGGAGGCTGAGGCAGGAGAATGGCGTGAACTTGGGAGGCGGAGCTTGCAGTGAGTTGAGATTGCACCACAGCACTCCAGCCTGGGCAACAGACTGAGACTCAGTCTCAAAAAAAAAAAAAAGAAGAAGTAGAAGGAGAAGGAGAAGGAGAAGATTACAAGAAAAAAAAAAATCAATGCTGCTAAAAGAGAATACATTGATGCTATGATGCTTAATCCTTATTTTTAATAAGTTACTTTTTGAATATTATTGCTGTCGTACCTTCAGCCAAATTTGCTAAAATGTGAGCGAACACAAGGCCAGGTGCAATGGCTCATGTCTGTAATCCCAGAACTTTGGGGAGCCAAGGCAGGAGGATCACTTGAGCCCAGGAGTTCGAGACCAGCCTGGGCAACATAGTGAAACTCCATCTCTACAAAGAATTAAAGAAAAGTTTAGCTGGGAACAATGGTGTGAGCCTGTCGTCCCAGCTACTCAGGAGCCTGATGTGGGAGGATTGCTTGAACCCAGGAGCCTTTCCAGTCTCCAGTGAGCTATGATTGCACCACTGCCCATTAGACTGTGTGACAGAGTGAGACCCTGACTTTTACAAGGAAAAAAGTAAAATGTAGAAGAACACATAAAGTCAGCAGGGCCAGTTCACATGAAGTAATGCACCAACCATTACCACTAAGACATCTCAAGACATAATCATAATATTAGCCAACAAATAGGACTTTTCACTAGTAGGATGCTTTCTTCATTTCTATGTGCAGGGGTAGAGAACATAGCCTTATGGTGTCTTCTAGTTCTCAAATTTCATCTGCAATTCCATACTTTAGCCAATGGGGAATTGCTAAAACATTTTGGAAATGAGAACTGGCAAGAGCAAAACAGCAATTTAGGAAGACTGATCTATGAAGATCCCATCAAATAACTTTGTGGATGGAGACAGTGGAGGGCATGGGGTCTACATCTGTTTTGTGTTGCTATAGCAGAATACTCAAGACTTGGGTAATTTATAAAAAACAGAAATTTATTCCTTCAGTTCTGGAAGCAGGAAAGTCAAAGATCAGGGTGATGGCATCTTGCAAGGACCTTCTTGTGGCATTCTCCCATGGTGGAAGGGAGAAGAGCAAGAGAGGAACCAAGCTCCCTTTCTCTCATTTATTTTATTAATCTGCTCATAAAGATGAAGCCCTCATGACTTAAACATCTTCCAAAAGCCCCACCCCCAAGCACTGAAGATTAAGGGGTTTTGTTGTTGTTGTTTTGAGATACTGTCTCACTCTGTCACCCAGGCTAGAGTGCAGTGGTGCTATCTCAGCTCACTGCAGCCTCTGACTCCTGGGTCCAAGCTATTCTCCTGCCTCAACCACCTGAGTAGCTGAGGTTACATGTATGAACCACCATGCCTGTAGTTTTTATATTTTTAGTAGAGATGGGGTTTCACCATGTTGTCCAGGCTGGTCTTGAACTCCTGACCTCAAGTGATCTGCCTGCCTCAGGCTCCCAAAGTGCTGAGATTACAGGCATGAGCCACTGTGCCCAGCCAGGATAAAGTTTTAACATATACATTTTGGGAGATACATTCAGACCATGGCACAGGGTAACTTCTTAGAAATTGATCATGTGTGATCTTGACATTTCAAGTGTGGGCATCTGGACATAATTATTAGCACTCAAAAATTATAAAGGGGATTGTCTGGTTTAAAGAAGTGTGGTCATCACCATTCATGTTTAGTTGAAGAATATTGAAAATATCAAAAATAATAATACATTCTCACTAGGCTCATGTTTATAATCCCAGAACTTTGGTAGGCTGAACCAGGAGGATCATTTGAGACCAGGAATTTGAAGTCTGCCTGGAAAACACAGACACCTAGTTTTTTAAAAAAGTTTTTTTAAAAAAAACTTATGAAGGAGTGGTGACATACACCTGTAGTTTTAGCTAGTTGAGAGGCTGAGGCCAGAGGATAGCTTGAGTTCTGGAGTTCCAGGCTGCACTGAACTATAATTGTGTCACTGCAATCTAGCCTGTTTCACAAGAAAAGAAACCCTAATTTTATCAGCAAGGTCAAACAATTTATTTAATTGTGGAAGCATACATAGTAATAATGAAGAAATAATCTAATCAGGACACAGTTTAATCAAACTCCTTAGATGTCTGGCTTCTTTAAAAAAATAACCTGAAGTGTACCCAAGTTTGATTCTGGAAAATATGATACTTTCTTTTTATAAAAACAGGACTCAGATATCTCTTTATGTCAGAGATGGATGCCAAATATATCTAGAAAACAATATTTTGATGAGTTAGCTATAAATTTAAAAATAGAAATAAAATCATCTACTTATAACATTTTAAGAAAATCTGAAGAAAATAGTTCTTTGCAAAATTTGTTTTGTGTTTGACAGAAGTGAAATGTTTGAATATATTTGGTTCACTCTAATCAGTAAGATTTAACAACTTCTATCATCTAGTACTATTTTCCAAGAAAAACAAAATAATTTCATATTATCCAGGACAGCATTTTTCTAACATAAAAAGTCATAGGACTGCAGGTTAAAATTAAGCTTTTACTTGAAATCTCTTATTCACATTTTTATTTCAGGTGTCTTCTGATATTCGTTTAAAAAATGTAAAGATGACAATGAGCATGAGTTTTTAAAATGCTAGTTACAATAGTTGCAATCTTAACAAAATGGTCTGGGTTGGAATTATTTACTTCAGTAGAGACAATGAAATGATACAAGAATAATAGCTGAAGAAGTCTTAGATATGGCTTGCTTTTCTATTTGATGTAGATGGAACCTGACCCTCAGAGACGCTCATGTCACCGCAGAGATAAGAAAAAAAAAGAATCACAAGCTTTTTCAATTCATGCTACATCACTAAGTCACTCATGAATTACAATAATCCCCTCTTATCTTTAGTGTTACTTTCTGCAGTTTAACTTATCATGGCAGACTGAAGTCTGTAGATATTAAATGGAATATTCCAGAAATAAACAATACATTTTAATATTTATTTATTTATTTATTATTTATTTATTCTGACAGAGTCTCACTCTATTGCCTAAGCTGGAGTGCAGTGGCACCACTTTGGCTCACTGCAAATTCTGAGTCCCAGGTTCAAGTGATTCTCATGCCTCAGCCTCCTAAATAGCTGGGATTACAGGCACACACCACCACACCTGGATAGTTTTTGTATTTTTAGTAGAGACAGGGTTTCACCATGTTGGTCAGGCTGGTCCTGAACTCTTGACCTCAGGTAATCCACCTGCCTCAGCCTCCCAAAGTGTTGGGATTACAGGCATGAGCCACCATGCCTGGCCTCACAATGCATACATTTTAAACTATGCACCATTCTGAGTATTGTGGTGAAATTTCACACCATCATGCTTCATTCCATTGAGGGAGAAGTTGTTTCTTTGTCCAGGGTATCTATGCTTTATACACCACCCACTTACCAGTCATCACTACCATCTGCTCCTAACATCCCTGCCTTGATACCATGGCCCAGTGACCCAAAATCACCCAAAGTGGAAGCCACTCCTTCTACGGTATCATCAGAAGGTATTTTAGAGCAGTAAACTAGGACCAGATGAATCGAAGGGGTTAAATCTCACTGTTTAGAGTGAACCAAATATACTCAAACACTTCACTTCTGCCAAACATAAAACACATTTTGCAAAGAATGATTTCCTTCAGGTTCTCTTAAATTTTGCACTAGGGCCATTTTAGTTCTATGTTCTTACATTTAGAGTTACTCATCAAAATATTGTTTTCCAGATATCTTTGATGTCCAAGAGACATTTGGGTTCTGTTTTTACAAAGGAGAACATCCCATTTTCCAGAATTCATGCTACATCACTAAGTCATTCATCTCACTTCATCTCATAATGTTCATTCTGTAGGCTTTTATCATTGCATATCATCACCGAAGAAAGGTGAGTAAAATGCAGTAAGAAATTTTGATGGAAAGAGACCACATTTATACAACTTTTATTATGTCATATTGCTATGATTGTTCTATTATGAGTTCTTGCAATTCATCTCTTAGTGTGCCTAATTTATAAATTAAATTTCATCATGAGTTTATTTGTGTAGAAAAAACCTAGTATATGAAGGGTTTGGATACTATCCACACTTTAATGCATTCATTGGGGGTCTTGAAACATATGCCCCTGAAGACAAGAAAGAACTGTAGCACTGAAATACTCAAAAAGGCCAGTCACAGATGCTGAGTTTAACATTCATGTTCTTAGTCATGATATACTTAGTGAATCAACACTATTTCCATTTCAAATTCTACTGTTGAATTATTTGCCACTTTCGCCATTAAAAGTAATAGCAACAGGCCAGGTGCGGTGGCTCATGTTTCTAATCCCAGCACTTTGGGAGACCAAGACGGGTGGATCATGAGGTCAGGAGATCAAGACCATCCTGGCTACCACAGTGAAACCCTATCTCTACTAAAAATACAAAAACTGAGCTGGGGGTGGTGGTGGGCACCTGTAGTCCCAGCTACTCAGGAGGCTGAGGCAGGAGAATGGCATGAACCTGGGAAGTGGAGCTTGCAGTGAGCCGAGATCACGCCACTGCCCACCAGGCTGGACAACAGAGCAAGACTCCGTCTCAGAGAAAAAAAAAAAAAGTAATTGCAACAACCGCAATGCCTTTTTTTTTTCCTTTTTTGAGATGAATTCTCATTCCATTGCCCAGGCTGGAGTGTAGTGACACAATCTCACTCACTGCAACCTCTACCTCCTGGCTTCAAGCAGTCTTCCAGCCTCAGCCTCCCAAGTAGCTGGGACTACAGACACACGACACCACACCCCAGCTAATTTTTGTATTTTTAGTAGAGACGGGGTTTCCCATGATGGCCAGGCTTGTCTCGAACTTCCGAGTTCAGGTAATCCACCCATCTTGGCCTCCCAAAGCACGGGATTACAAGCCTAAGCCACAACTCCTGGCCAAAAACTGCAATGATTTTTGCAACAACCTAATAGTTTTTGTTCATCTCAAAACAAACTTCACACAATGGTTATAATTCCTAGATTTCAGTTCACTGTCTTCCTCAGCTTCCTCCCTTAGAACTCTATGGTTTTTAACCTAAATGTACTGCAGAAACCTAAGAGCTACAGAGAAAATAGCACTACATATTCTTTCAACAGCTCTTCTGGGCTTCCAATGAATAATGACTTTATACCAAAAAAATCATCTGAGTTTTTATGAAAAAGTTGGAAGGAAATGGAGAATGAGAAGATTGGTGACTTTTCATTTAAAATTTATTTCCTTGGAATGTTATGTGTTGCGAGAAATCTCAAATCCTGTTTTTTCAAGTGAAAAAAAGGGAGATAAGAGAAGTGGGGTGAAAAAAGACTTTAGAGAAGATAGAATCAGTGTCAGCCATATCTTCTTCCCCAGTGGAGAAGAAATCATCTCTTTTAAAATCCATGTGCTATAATGAGAACACAGGCCAGATTTTGTGTAGCAACACATTTTCTGGCCACATCAATTCCACTTTTGAGACTTTGGGACTTGGGCTGAGCCACTATTGTCTTCCTACTTCCTCAACTTGCAGATGGCCTATTGTGGAACCTCACCTTGTGATCGTGTGAGCCAATGCTCCTTCATAAACTCTCTTTTATATACACATAGATCCTATTAGGTTTGTCCCACTGGAGAACACTGACTAATACACAAACCTACTTAGCAAAAAAAATAGTCTAGTTAAGAAAGCAGAACAGTGCATTATATAATGCAGATTACAAATGCTATTGACTGGCTTATGGTAGACTTTCATGTTAGTGGACTTTCAATGTACTATTTGAGGGCTTCCTGTTTTCCTGAACTTCTCCAAATATAAACACATCTTCAAACAAAGTGAATCTGTATTTGCTTCTTCCTAGGTAGTTAAAGAATCAGCGCTTTTCTCTGGAGTCAGTCTTCTTACTGACATTAATTCTTCATCTACTTTGTTATTTGCAGTGTGTCTGTAAACTTCATAAAGAGAGTGAATGTGTCATCCATGTGATCATTGTATTCTTGGCCCCAAGCAAAATGTCTATGGCAGAGAAGGTTCTCTGAAAACAGATTATTACAAAAATAAACAGAAAAGCCTTATAATATCCTGGTACTGAACTGAATTTAGGAATGCTAAGCCATCCTGCAGAAAACATTAAATGAGTCTTAAAAAAATCTGCTGTAATGGAAATCCCAAAACTTTTCTTAGTTGTCCATTATGATAGAAACTTAATTCTCGATTTAATTCTCTCCCACATTATCCTGAGGTTTAGCCAGAGCTCATATTTCATAATGATGTCAAGTCATAAAGAAGAGACTGTATTATTACACACCCATTAACCAATTTAAACACAGCTCTTTTATGATTAAAAACAGCTATCAACATAGCATTTGACTCTTACCTTTTAAGAAGAACCCATTGCATTTCATGGTGAACCCTCCTGAACCTAGTGGATTGTATGAGAAGCCCCTTTAGCCAGAAAAAGAAGTGAATTCTGGAGTCAAACATCTACAAAATGATGCTCTGTCCATTGGGAATTCTTCTTGTATTGTAGATACCTCTTTGTATGCATAGATAGAATGGTTGTATCTACAAACCTTAAAACAAAATTCTAAGTCCCCTCCCCTTGAGATCTGATTGGACTCTTCCTCTGGGCAAGCGCATTCCATTTTTCAGGAATAATCTGAAAAATGTGTTCAGGCCATGAAGGGGAAGTTGGGCATCCCTCATGATACCCTCCTCCATTTTGGAATTACTGAAAGAACAGACTCTAATAAGGAACATTTACAGTTTATTCTCTGAAGCCTGTTACCTGGAGGCTTCCTCTGCATCATAAAACCTAGGTCTCCACAGCCCCTGACCGTAACCCAGACATTCCTTTCTATCGATAATAATTCTTTCAACCAATTGCCAGTCGTAAAATCTTTAAATCTACCCATGACCTGGAAGTTCCCACTTCAAGTTGTCCTGCCATTCTGAACCGAACCAATGGACATCTGATACGTATTGATTAATTTCTCATGTCTCCCTAAAATGTATAAAACCAAGCTGTAGCCCGACCACCTTGGGCACACATACTCAGGATCTCCTGAGGCATGCGCATCCTTAACCTTGGCAAAATAAACTTTCTAAATTGCTTGAAACCTGTCTCAGAAAATTTTCATTTGCATATCCATGGATGGAAGTGGATTCAAATCCACATTAGTAACCAGAGGTGTGGATTGAGGTCAGGACTCTTGTTGGTTTCCATGAAGATCTCCTGCACCTTATCCCCCCTCTTTCCCCATCCTCCAATCCTAGGTTTCCTCTCTTCAATCTTTAGACATAGATTAGATTGTGTCATCTGCTCACCTCTGGACAAATGATGGGAACACAACAAACTCTCTGGATTATTCCAAACAGAACATTCCCCAGAGCTGACATAGGGATGATGTGTGCATGTACATGTACAGGACTCCAGTAGGAAAAACAAAAGAATGGCTGATAAACAAAGCTCCTTCTCTCTAAAGTTATTTGGTTAGAGCACTTCATAACTATCTACTTTCCAGGGAACTCCCAGGTAATTGAGGAGAACCCTTAGGGCCTTATTTAAAGAATTTAGATATTGTTGAACATGTGGGACATGGTTTAAGAGGAAAATGTGATATGAGTAATCACACATCTTATCTTGCTTTGGTTTAAGAAGTAGGATCCCCATAATTACTCATTTTCTATTCTGAATATTACCACAAAGTGGTCTCCATTCAGACCCCAAGAGAAGGATTTTGGACCTCATGTAAGGAAGAATTCAGGGTAAATCTATAGAGCAAAGTGAAAGCAAGTTTATTAAGAAAGTAAAGGCATGGCCAGGCATGGTGGCTCATGCCTGTAATCCCAACACTTTGGGAGGCCAAGGCAGGTGAATTACCTGAGGTCAGCGTTCAAGACCAGCCTGGCCAATGTGGCGAAACTCTGTTTCTACACAAAAATTACCTGGGTGTGGTGGGGCACACTGTAGTCTCAGCTACTTGGGAGGCTGAGGCAGAATCATTCAAACCCAGGAGGTGGAGGTTGCAGTGAGCCGAGAGAGCGCTACTGTACTCCAGCCTGAGTGACAGAGCAAGACTCTATCTCAAAAAAAGAAAAAAAGAAAAGGAGTAAAGAATGGCTATTCTATAGGCACAGCAGCAGCTTGGTCTGCTGGACAAAGGATACTTATAGTTATTTATTGATTATATGCTAAACAAGGGGTGGAATATTCATTATTTTTCTGGGAAAGGGGTGGACAATTCCCAGAACTGAGGGTTTCTCTCCCTTTTAGACCATATAGGGTAATTTCCAGATGTTGCCATAGCATCTGTAAACGGTCATGTTGCTGGTGGGAGAGTCTCTTAGTATGCTAATGAATTATAATTAGAGTATAAAGAGCAGTGAGAATGACCAGAGATTGCTTTTGTTTCCATCTTGGATTTGGTGGCTTTTGGCTGGCTTCTTTACCACATGCTGTTTTATCAGCAAGACCTGTATCTTGTGCCAGCCTCCTATCCCATCCTGTGACTTAGAATGCCTCACCTCCTGGGAATGCAGCCCAGTAGGTCTTGGCCTCGTATTACCCAGACCATATTCAAGATGGAGTCGCCCTGGTTCAAACACCTCTGACATGAGTACTTTCCTTAGATCCCTCCCTCCTACCAATAAATGAAGGCTTTCTCAGTACAAGGTGGACGCTCCTCATCTGAAAATCCAAAATCCAAAATGTTCTAAAATCTTTAACTTTTGGAATGCTGACCTGACATCGGATTTTCTGCATGTATGGCTGAGAGACTGACAACTTACACCTTTGCTTCCTCTTTCATTTTTTTACTTTCTTTCAGACAAGGTCTCACCCTGTTTCCCACCATGGCTGTAGTGCAGTGGTGTGACAATAGCTCACTACAACCTCCACCTCCTGGGTTCAAGAGATCCTCCCACCTCACCCTCCTAAGTAGCTGGGACTACAGCTGTGTACCATCACACCATGCTAATTTTTGCATTTTTTGTTGAGATGGGATTTTGCAATGTTGCCTGGGCTGGTCTTGTACCCCTGGGTTCAAATGTTCCACCCACCTTGGTCTCCTGAAGTGCTGGGATTACAGGTGTGAGCTACCACACCCAGTCAACCTTTTCTTTCTGATGTTTCAGTATAAACAAACTTTGTCTCATGCACAAAATTATTTAAAAATTTTGTATAGGTTGGGTGCAGTGGATAATGCCTATAACCCCAGCACTTTGGGAGGCTGAAGTGGGAGGACAGCTTGAGCTTAGGAGTTTGAGACCAGCCTGGGCAACATAACAAAACCCCATTTCTGGAAAAAATTAAAAATATAGGCCTGGTGGCATGTGCCTGTAGTCCCAGCTACTGGGAAGGCTGAGGTTCAAGGGTCACTTGGGCCCAGGAGATTGAGGCTGACATGAACTGTGGCTGCACCACTGCACCACAGCTCGGGTGACAGTGAGATCCTGACTCTAAAAGTATAATGATGATAATAATAAAAATAACAGTATTGTATATGAAAATGTATACAATACAATAGTCTATGTGTTTAAAGTATATATTAAACATAAATTAATTTTATGCTTGTACTTATGTCTTATCCCCAAGACATCTCCTTATGCATATGCAAATATTCCAGAAACTGAACAAATCTGAGATCTGCCACTGCTTCTGGTCCCAAGCATCTCAGATAAGGGAAACTCGGCATGTGGTAGTGAAAATGCTAAGTGTAGGTGGAGGATGTCTTGCTTTCCATGAGATGGTGCATTCTGAAGTGGACATAAGCCCAGGTGGGACTCTGGGCATCCCAACGATGGAATTTCCCCACATTCCTACTCATGGCCCTCACCCCATGTCTTCTTTAGAGTTTTCTGAGCATCAGGGAAATCCGATGTAACGGCAATCATCAGCACCCATCCCTTGCAAATAACACAAATAACCTCATCTGCCTATCATCTCACCAGATGCCACTTGTCCCAGGATGAGCTGACATGCCACTTCTGCAAGGAACACAGCATTGTTGATGCTAAAAATGGCGAAACAACAAAATGAAAAAATCTTGCTTCTTCTTAAACTCCTCTTGAAAAACTAAATCAAACCTGTGAGTCTGGCAGGGCATGGTGTCTCAAGCCTAGAATCCAAGCACTTTGGGAGGCTGAGGCTGGTGGATCACTTGAGATCAGACTGAGGCTGGTGGAGTTTGAGACCAGCCTGGGCAACATGACAAAATGCAGTCTCTACTAAAAATACAAAAATTAGCTGGACATGGTGCCAGGTAGCTGTAGCCCTGGCTACTTGGAGGGCTGAGGTGGGAGAATCACTTGAGCCTGGGAGGTCAAGGCTCTAGTAAGCCATGAATGTGCCACTGCACTCTAGCCTGAGCAACAGAGCAAGATCCTGTCTCAAAACAAACAAACAAACAAACAAAAATCCTGTGGATCATCCTGTGGGGTGCTGTGATCATGACTCTAGGATATGAGACAGATATGTACCTTGACCACCAATAATCCCATTGCCACCATGGGCAACATGCAAATGAAGGGACTCTGAGGCTGGCTAAGAATTTTGTTCTTGAAGCTATGATTGCAGATGACTGGAGGAGGAATCATAACAGTAATAATAATAATAATAACTCTTGACTTCAAAGGATCAGGCAAGAAAAAAGAGAGTTCTACAACAGCAGAAGTTTCTTTGCATTAAGCTGTTGGGAGGGAGGACTGGAGGGAGGGAGGACAGCCATCTCCATTGCTGCTGCATGGTACAGCTTAGGCTATCATCACCAGGTGTTTTATTCCCCATACACTAGTAAACTGAACTTTGCAACGACAAATATTTGTGGGAAGAAAAGGATTTTAAAGATAGAAATTGAAAACAACAACCTGGGTCAGAGGAGTGAGAAATCTACATCAATTCAAATGCAGAGGACATCCCACCCAGTGTTCACTGGTAAATCAGAGAGGCTGTATTCATCTGTTTTCATGCTGCTGATAAAGACATAGCTGAGACTGGGCAATTTACAAAAGAAAGAGGTTTAATGGACTCACAGTTCCATGTTGCTGGGGAGGCCTGATGGATCATGGCTCATATGATGGCAGACAAGAGAAGAGAATTTGTGTGGGGAAACTCCCCTTTATAAAATCATCAGATCTTGTGAGACTTATTCACTATCATGAGACTAGCACGGGAAAGACCCGCCCCTGTGATTCAATTACCTCCCACTGGGTCGTTCCCACAACACGTGAGAATTGTAGGAGCTACAATTCAAGATGAGATTTTGGTAAAGACACAGCCAAACCATATCAGAGGCTAA
Organism: Homo sapiens; assembly: GCF_000001405.40. NCBI lineage: Eukaryota > Metazoa > Chordata > Mammalia > Primates > Hominidae > Homo > Homo sapiens. Next base: position 12,110,232 of record NC_000024.10, read on the forward strand.
ATTTGAGCTGTGTCTTCATGTCAGGGTCTTACTCCACAGTTTGTTTGTCCTCATTCCTTCTGCAAACCCTGGAGGTACTCAGCCATAAGGATGCATCTCGGGGACCCTTCCTTGCTCCAGTTGAGTTCTGCACATTGTCATTTGCTATGATGATGGGTCCAGCCCCTACAGCAACTCCAGGACACAGGTCCAGACAGCCTTGGGTGCAGAAGATGCCAGAGGCTTGAGACTAGATTTAACACAAGTGAAAACATCTGGAAGCATGTCCTGCTTCCCCTTTGAGTTTTGAAGAGCCAAGGAAAATTACTGTCATGCATCTTCAAAGAGGATAAATGAAAGTTGGCATGCATGGGCATATCATTGCATACAAAAATGCAATGCTTCCTCCAGGTCACCAATAGGGAAAGTGAGACATAACCCTATGCATAGTCTTTCTAGATGGATTGATGGAAACAACATCTGTATTGCATAATGTGTCACTAGATGCAATAAAAATAACCTCAGAAACATCTCTTGGACCATCTCAGAATAAAGCACTTGGAAACGCTCAGTGGGCACATGCTTTGATAAGCAATCTAGCTTTCCTTTTAGAAATCTTATAACATCAACCTTACCATCATTTAGAGAGGAGGACATCTAAAAACGTTGGGCAAATTCTTGGGCTCTGAACTTGATCAGTCCATTGAAGAAACACGCTGACTTAGAGTGTCACTTCCTAGAATTTACAAAAAAATAATTCTTGCTTTGTTAAACAGCATCACATTCTGCACTTGTACTGTTCTACTATTTTCACATCAACCCATGCATGTCTCTTCCAAACATGACCTCACTTGCTTGGGTGTTGGTGGGTCTTTGAACGTCCGTAGCAAATGATTTCAAAATCACTTTCTCACCAAGGATCCTAAGAATCTGGATGAAATTGGAAATCATCATTCTCAGTAAACTATCTCAAGAACAAAAAACCAAACACCGCATATTCTCTCTCATAGGTGGGAATTGAACAATGAGAACACATGGACACAGGAAGGGGAACATCACACTCTGGGGACTGTTGTGGGGTGGGGGGAAGGGGGAGGGATAGCACTAGGAGATATACCTAATGCTAGATGACGAGTTAGTGGGTGCAGCGCACCAGCATGGCACATGTATACATATGTGACTAATCTGCACATTGTGCACATGTACCCTAAAACTTGAAGTATAATAATAAAAAAAGGGGGGGAGGCAGTGAAGAAGAGGAGAAAAAGCATCTGCAATTATCATTCCCCCGCATATAATCACAAAACATACTAATGTGTTTAAGTTGATGTGGGAGTTACCATGCATTTCCTGATCTTACCTCATTGCAAAACATCTTTTCTTTCCTTTCTTCCTTTTCTTTCTTTTTCCTTCCTTCCTGCTGGCTTTTCTTGCTCTTTTTTCTTTCCTCTTCCTTTTTCCTCTTTCTTCCTTTCCCCTCCCTCTCTTTCTCCCTCTCTCCTTCCTTCTTTCTCTTTTTTCTTTTTCTTTCTTTCTTCTTTTTCTTTTCTTTCTTTATTTCTTTCCTTTCTTTTTTCTCTCTCTTTCTTTTGCTTTATTTCTATTTTCTTTCCTCTCCTTTGTGCTCTTCCTTCCTTTCCCATCCCTCTCTTTCTCCCTCTCTGTATCCTTCCTTCCTTCCTTCTCTCTCTTTCTTTCTCTTTATTTCTTTTTTCTTTCCCCTTCCTTTTTGCTCTTTCTTCCTTTCCCCTCCCTCTCTTTCTCCCTCTCTCTCCTTCCTTCCTTCCTCCCTCCTTCCCCCTTCCCTCCCTCTCTTCTCTTTTCCCTTCACTTCCCTTCTCTTCTCCCTTCCCTTCTTTTCTCTCCTTCCTTCCCCCCCTTTCTTTCTTTCTCTCTCTTTTCTTTGTGTCTTTCTCTCTCTTTTTTCCTTCTTCTTTCATTCTTCTTCCCTTTTTCTTTCTTTCTTCCTTTCCCACTTCTCTTTTTCCCCCTCAATTTTCCTTCCCTCCCTTCCTTCTTTCCTTCCTTCCTGCCTTCCTCCCTTCCTGCCTTCCTCCCTCCCTCTCTTCCTCCCTCCCCCTCCTTCCCTCCATCTCCCTCTCTCCTCCCTTTCTTTTATATTCTTTTTTCTCTTTTCTTCTTTCTTTCTTTCTTTCATTCTTTCTTGCTTGCTTGCTTGCTTTCTCTCTCTTTCCTTTTCCTTTTTGTTCTTTCTTCCTTTACCTTCCCTTTCTTTCTCTCTCTCTATCCTTCCTTCCTTCCTCTCTCCTTCACTCTCTTCTCTCTTCTCTTCTCTCCTTCCTTCCTTCCTTTCCTCTTTGTCTTTCTTTTTTCTCTCTTTCTTTTTTTTCTTTCTTCTTCCTTTTTTCTTCTTTCTGTCTTCCTTTCCCCTCCTTCTCTTTTTCCCTCTCTCAATTTCCCCTCCCTTCCTTTCTTCCTGCCTTCCTGCCTTCCTTCCTCCCTCCCCCTCCTTCGCTCCTCCCCCTCCTTCCCTCCCTCCCCCTTCCTCCCCCCTTTCTTTTATATTCTTTTATTTTCTCTTTTCTTTCTTCTTCCTTTTTCTCTCTTTCACTTTCTTTTCTTTCTTCTGTTTCTCTCTTTCTTTCTTCCTTTCCCCTACCTCTCTTTCTCTCCCTCCCTTCTTCCCTCCCTTCATCCGTCTCTGTCTTTCTCCCTTCCTCTTCCTTCCCTTCTCTTCCCTTCCCCTCCCTCCCTCCCACCCTCCCTCCCTTCCTTCTTTTCCCTCTGTATTCCTTTTTCTTCTTTCCTTCCTTTCTTTCTCTTTCTTCCTTTGCCTTTTCTCTTTTATTCTTTCTCCCTTTCTGCCTTTCTCGTGTACCTCCCTCCCTTCGTTTCCCCTTTCTTTCTTATTTCCTTCCTTGCTTGCTTTCTGCCTTCCTTTTTTTTTTTCCAGAGCCCCTGTTAGTATCTTGAAGAACCAGACCCTTGCAGAATAGCCTGGGAGAAATGTTGCTGTACCATTAATGTCTCCCATGTTTTTTACTACAGTCTTCATGAATTCCACAGTAAACTCCAATTTCAAACTTCCTCTTGAGTTTTCGATCCACCTAGTGACTGTCCTGCATGCTCAACACAAAGATCATATGACACTGCATTATCTCAACCCTCCAGATTATCCATTCCCAGGATCTCCTATTTCTCAAAATTTTTACCTGAAGCTTTCATCTCTCTTTCTCTAACATAATAATCTCTCTATTTTATTTTCTCTTTCCCACCAGAAGCCAATCACCTACTTTGATTGAATAATTATTATGAACTGAATTAAACCCTTTTGCTCCAAATTCATGGGTTTCAGCAGTATAAATCCTCATGTGAGATTATGTGAAGACAAAGCCTTCAGGGAGGTGATTGGGTTTAGGTAAAATCATAAGAGAGGGGTGTTAATCTGATATGGCTGGTGAATTTATAAGAAGAGGAAAACATTTCAGAGTTCTCCATCTGCACAAACACAGAAGGACAAACTGTGAAGACATGGTGAGAAGACAACATCTACAAGTCAATGAGGGAGGCCTCAGGAAGAACCAGCCTTGCCCACACCTTGATCTCAGATGTCCAGCTTCCTGGACTGTAGAAGAGTAAATGTCTGTTGTTTAAGCCTCCCTGTCTATGGCATTCTGTGATAGCAGTCTTATAAGGAGAGGAGATGAGGACACAGACACAGGCACAGAGACAACCATGTAATGACACAGGGAAAAGATGATGTCTACAAAGTAAGGGGAGAGGCCTCAGGAGGAACCTTCCCTGCCTACACCTTGATCTTGGATGTTCAGCTTCAAGGATTGTGGGAGAATCAATATCTATTATTTCTAAGCCACCCAGTCTATGGTATTCTGTTATAGTATCCTGAAATACACTAAGATATCTCATTAGAAGATAAGATGAGGACACAGACACACACAGAGGGATGACCCTGTGAGGATACAACCCTGTGAGGACACAAGGAGAAGGTGGCATCTACAAGCCAAGGAGCAGGTCTCAGGAGAAACCAGCCCTGGGTACACCTTGATCTTAGACTTCCAGCTTCAAGGACTGTGGGAGAATCAGTGTCTGTTGTTTGAGCCATCGGGTCTGTAGGACTTTGTTACGATAGCCCTAATGGATGGATATGCTGTTCTTTAAGCCTGTGGCCATCACCATTCCTCTCCTCTGTCACCACCCTCAACCAGGCCTTCATCAACTGCAGCACAGCTCATAAATAGTTCCGAAAAGATTCTTCTGAGCTTTCCATGGGCTCACTGCCCATGGAAATTGAGCTGATTGAGCTTCAGAGTTTTTTTTTATGTTCAATTATATGCAAGTTATGTGGGATTCCACTCTATGGTGCAGAAGTGGAATAAAGATGACTCTTTTAATCAGTTTCATTTCCTTCTAAAGTTGTGGTTGCTGTTCATTTTTTTTTCTTTAAACATTCTTTGAACAATTTACCACCCTTTTGCCAAAGCTTTCATCATTTTCCATTTCTCCCTAGACTCCTATCTTCTCCAGATCTGAGTTCACCATAGCCTGCATCTCAGCTGCAAGTCTACAAGCCGGCTCTTCTTGGAATTGAGGTCTAAGAACACTGGAGATTTTTCGGAGTCCATGGAAGTATTAAAAAATGCAACTCAAGTGCATTCATGGCTTGGTCTTGCTAGATGAGGTGACTTATTCTACAGTAACAGAAACATACTATCTAAACTAGAGTTTTAGTTTCTCAGTCGTTTAATGTGTATCTCATGTCTAGAGCTGTTCAAAGTACAGATGCTCCTCAACTTTAACAATAGGGCTACACCCCATAAACCCATTATAAGTTGAAAATAGTGTAAGTCTAGGCTGCACACAGTGGCTCGTGACTGAAGTCCAGGAACTTTGGAAGGCAGAGATGGGAGAATCACTTGAGCCCAGAAGTTAGAGACCAGACTGTGCAACATACTGAGACTCTGTCTCTGCAAAAGAAAAAAAAAATGAACTGGGCATAGCGGTACACACCTGTAGTCCAACTTGGGAGGCTGAGGCAGAAGGATCACTTGAGTACCGGAGGTTGAGGCTGCAGTGAGCTATGACTGTACCGCTGTCCTCCAGCCTGGGGAACAGAGTGAGACACTGTCTCAAAAAAAAAAAAAAAAGAAAGAAAGAAAAGAAAAAACTCAAATTGTAAGTCTAAAATGCATTTAATACACCTACCCTAATGAATCCTGATACAAAGATTCTATTAAGCTGTTTATTTGGGTGGGGAGCAAGGAAGAACAAACAGAAATTGGAGAAATGAGCTAGAGAGTGGAGAAAGTCCTTGGTCATCTTTACCAAGCAGGTGACCACCATGGATAACCAGGGTGAAGTCCCTGGCTGAAGTAAGCTCCAATTTCAAACTTCCTCTTGAGTATTTCAAACCACCTAGCCACTGTCCTGCAGTCTCAACACAAAGATCATGTGATACTGCATCATCTCAACTCTCCAAATTATCCATTCCCAGGCTCTCCTATTTCTCAAAAATTTTACATGAAGCTCTTATGTCTCTTTCTCTAATTTAATACTCTCTACATTTTTATTCCCTCTTTCCCACCAGAAGCCAATCATCTACTTTGGTTGAATAATTACTATGAGCTGAATTATGCCCTTTTGCCCAAAATTCATGGGTTTAAGCCAGAAAACCCCATGTGAGATTATGTGAAAACAGAGCCTTTAGGAGGTGATTGTGTTTAGGTAAAATCATAAGAGAGGAGTCTTAATCTTTATAAGAAGAGTAACCATTTCAGAGTTCTCCCTCTGCACACACACAGAGGGACAACCACCTGAGGATACAGGGAGAAGATAGTGACTACAATCTACAAGCCAAGCAGAGAAGCCTCAAGAGGAAGCAGCCCTGCCCACACCTTAATCTCAGACTTATAGCCTCCGTGACCCTGAGAGAATCAATATCTGTTGTTTACAAGCCACTCAGTCTATGGTATTCTGTGATAGCAGACTGAAATGGACTAAGACACTTCATAAAAAGAGATCAGGATGCATAAGGATTCATAAGAAGAGATCAGCTTTTCCAAAGCTGCAAGCTTTGGAAAGAGAACAGAATACTCTTTCCAGCTGTGGGATGGGTGAATGAGAGTACTTGCCCTTCAACACTCATTAGTCCTTAGCTGAGGGCAGTTCTTTGTGGGACCTCCTAGATTCTCGGCACTCTGGCTTGACTAACACATGTCCAACTATCAGGCTCCCCCGGTCACATAAAGACCTCAAGCAAAGGAGCACAGGGGCACCCTGTTGGAAGCATTAGGGTCAGCGTGTGCTATAATATAATGCAGGAAGGATGTGACATTACAGATCAGTGAGCAAATGAGGAACTATTCAATAAATAGAGCTGAGGCAATTGGTTTTCCATATGGAAAAAAATGAAAGCAATATGAACCCTCCCTCCACTACACATATACATATTTCCAGATGGATTAAAGTTAAACCTCTAGAAAGAAATATAGGAAAAATATCTCTCTCATCTTGGAGTCCAAAAGCATTCTTTCTTAAAGACACAAAAATATTAACTGTTGAAGGAAATGCCATGCTAACAACTTACCCATAAGAACTTTTGTTTTTCAAAAGACTCCATAAATAAAATGAAAAGGAAATGCCAATATAGGAGAAAAACTGCACAAAGCCTTCAGAAAAGAAGATATCAAATGATTTATATCCAGACATATACAAACCTTGAGATACATAGAAAAGATACAACTTCTTAGAAAACTCAGAAAGTCAAAGAGGAGGTATTACACGCAAGTGACCTCAAAATGTTGGAAATGATGCTTGATTTTGTTAATTCAGGGAAAGATAAAACCACAATGTGATAAATATCTTATCCATTTAATTAGCAAAAGTTTCAATTTTCTGAAAATTCAAGCATTGAAGAGAATCTAGCTCAACAGAGAGTACTTAGATAATGATATTGGCTGTGCAAATTAATACTAACTCTGGAAAATTTTTTTCCTTGAGACAGAGTCTTGCTCTGTCCCCCAGGCTGAGCAGGTAGGAGTGCATTGGCACAATCTCAGCTCACTGCAACCTCTGCCTCCCAGGTTCAAAGAATTCTCCTGCCTCAGCCTCCCAAGTAGCTGGGACTACAGGCAAGCACCACCACACCCAGCTAGTTTTGTATTTTTAGTAGAAACAGGGTTTCACCATGTTGGCCAGGCTGGTCTTGAACTCCTAACAACTTCAAGTGATCTGCCTGCCTCGGCCTCCCAAAGTGCTGGGATTATAAGTGAAGCACCATCCCCAGCTGAAAACTATTTTTACATCATCTCTCAGCTACATTCACATGCCTATGCTTCAGCACTTCTTCCCCTGACTGGATATCATAGGTAAACACTTGCAGTCATGCCTCCAAACACACGTATTATATGGTGTCCTTGTTGGTAAATAGTCACCCCTGGAAGGGATCCAAATACCCATGGACAGGAAAATGTACAAATATAATGTGGTCCACTCATTCAATGGGGTATTTTGTAGCCAAAAAAAAAAAATGAAGAAAAAGAATGAAATACAGACACATGCAACAATATGAATAAATGTAAGCAAAAGAAACTGGAGTGAAAAAGGACATCCACAAAACTATTACCAAGTATAACACTATTTTTGTTGTTTTCTGTTTTGGTTTCTTGTATAATTTATTATTTTATTTTATTTTATTTTAAGTTCTGGAGTACATGTGCAGGGATGTGAACGTTTGTTACATAGGTAAATGGGTGCCATAGTGGTCTGCTTCACCTGTCAACCCATCACCTAGGTATTAAGCCCAGAATGCCTTTTTGTATAAATTTAAGGGGTGTAATTTTGTTACATCGACATATTCCATAGTGATAAAGTATTGGCTTTTTGTGTGACCATCACCCAAATAACTTACATTGTACCCATCAAGAGCTTTCTCATCCCTCACACCCCTCCCACCCTTCCAAGTCCCCAACGACTATTATTCCACACACTGTCCATGTGCACACATTATTTGGCTCCCACTTATAAATGAAAACATGAAGTATTTGGCTTTCTGTTTCTGTGTTGTTTCACCCAAGACACAAGTATGGCCCCTAGTTCCATCTGATGCTGTAAAAGACATTATTTTATTCTTTTTTATGACTAAGTACTATTCAATTGTATATATATATATGTGTGTGTATATATTATGTGTGTATATATGTATATATACATATACATGTATACATATATGTGTGCATATATAGGTATATATACATATAAATGTATACATATATGTGTGTGTATATACATACCACATTTTCTTTATCCAATCATTCACGCTAAAGTTGATTCCATGTCTTTGCTATTGTGAATATGCTGTAATAAACATGTGAATGCTCAGTGTCTTTTTGATATGATGATTTCTTTCCCTTTGGGAAAACACCCAGTACTGGGATTGCTGGGTGGAATGGTAGTTCTGTGATACCATTTTTTAAAGTGTCAAATGAAGCAAATTCTATATTACCTATTAAGAATATAGATGTATGTCTAATTTAAAATCAAATATGTGTATCTACACAAATACACACACAGTTTAGACTTATTAGAATATATAGTAACATAATTTTTAAAATAAGGAAATGATAAAATCTAAATTCAGGATAGTGGTGAATGCCAGGTAGAAACAGAGAATAAGGGATGAAGCAGAGAAAAAAAAAACAGATAAATACAAGATATTGTTAATAACATAATTCTCATGCTGAACAGTAGGTATTTTACAGTTCATTATATTATTATGCCTGACATACTTCATATTTTGTATATGGCAAATACTGCATTTAAAATAGAACAAACGCTGGGCATAGTGATTCATGCCTGTAATCCTAGCACTTTGGGAGGCCAAGGCAGGAGGACCATGTGAAGTCAGAAGTTCAAGGCCAGCAGGGGTAACATGGCAAGACCTAATCTCTACAAAAAATTTTTTTAAAAAAGCCAGGCATGGTGGCACAAGTTTTGTATTGGCCCATTCTTACATTGCTATAAAGAAATACCTGAGACTGGATAATTTCTAAGAAAAGAGGTTTAACTGGTTTGCGGTTCTGCAGGCTGTACAGGCAGCACAGTGGCTTCTGCTTCTGGGGAGGCCTCAGGAAACTTACAATCATGGTGGAAGGAAAGGGGAAGCAGGCGTCTCAAATGACAGAAGCAGGAGCAAGAGCGGGGTGGGAGGTGCTACACACTTTCAAACAACCAGATCTCGTGAGAACTCACCATAACACAAACAGCACTAGGGGGATGGTGCTAACCCGTTCATGAGAAACCGCCCCTATGATCCAATCACCTCCCACCAGGCTCCACCTCCAACACTGGGAATTACAGTTCAGCATGAGATTTGGGCAGGAACACACATCCAAACTAGATCACACTTGTAGCCCCAGCTACTCAGAAGGCTGAGGCAGGAGGATTGCTTGAGCCCAGGAGTTCAAGGCTACAGTGAGCTATGGTTGTGCCACTGCACTCCAGTCTGGATAACAGAGCAAGACCTTATTTCTTAAAAAGAAAATTAAATAGATAAATTAATTAAATAGAAGAAACTGTTCTTTACAAATGTAAATAGCAATAGCATTCTTGCAAACTTTTAATCTGTTATATGTATGCATCTTGTGAGGTCTAATTATGTTGAAGAAGTGCTGCCCAAATCACAGAGTACCCAGAAAATTGTCCTTCTATTACCATTCTGTTTGTTCCCGTTCAATGCTCAATATGAGAGTGTGAGTTGAATATTTCTGTAAAACAATACATTTTCTTACTAATAAACTTTTGATTTTTTAAGGATAAATATGATGAGACATAACATATTTGAAGTTTCTCATCTACGTAGAAAATGATGGCTGGAAAAAAATGAAAACAAAGTAAAATGTCTTTGCTCATGAAAAACTTTAGAAAGAGTTGTTATATATCAAGAGCGCTGTCAGCTTCAAATCACCTTTAGAGAGAATGGAGGGCATGGCCTTAAGAAAAACCTGCCAAAATATCTGACGCAATTCACCAGGAAACATTCACATGAATTTGTAGTCGGGTTTGCCATTTACTGTAATACTACCAGCTTCCTATTTACATTCTGAAATGGATTGCGATAGACACATGAAGGGCCTTTACAAGAGCTTGTCAATTTCTATTTCTTTCATTGTGTCTGCCTTCTAATATTCATGAAACCTAACCCACATTGTATTTTTCTATGTTTCTATTGTATTTAATAATAAAAATATAAGCCAAGTGCAGTGGCTCACACCTATAATTCCAGCACTTTCGGAGGCTGAGGTGGGAGGACTACCTAAGCCTCAGAGTTCGAGACCAGACTTGGCTACATAGGGAGACCTTGCCTCTGCCAAAAATTTTAAAAGATAGCTCAGCATGGTGGCACATGCCTGTGATCCCACCTAGGTTGAGGTGGGAAAATCGCTTGAGCCTGACAGTTTGAGGCTGCAGTGAGCTATGATCGTACCACTGCACTCAGCTTGGGTGACAGAGTGAAACCTTGTCTCAAAAATAATAATAATGGCAACATGAACTAATAATAAAACACACATTTAAAGAAAAATAACAAAAATGTAAGCACTGATTCATTTTCTATACTTTATAATATGGCTTCAGAGCTGATCTGGTACAGATACTAGCTTACCCTGGGATGCTTTAGAGAGGAAAACTATAAAGGGGTTTGAACTGAATTTCAAAAGAGAAATTTAGAAATGAAGAGGAAGAATATCTGGGAGCAAAGAGAGAAGACATGCATAAGTTACAACTGAATACATGACTTTGGAATTCAGAGTTGGTTATGAACAAGGTGTCATGAGATGACTGGGGGAAATGGCTTGCTTTAAGTAGGGGACAGCAGAAGGAATGGGGGAATTTGTAAGCCAGATGTAGCAGTTCCCATATGGCAAATCAGAATGTAGGGAGACACGAGAGACTCCAGTTATGGGGTAGCAGGAGAGAAAGCAGTGTGTGAGGTGGACTGTGCGAGCGGCAGATTGGACTTGGGAGTGGTTGAGTTCTCTTCAAAGCAGGCTCTGAGGTGGAATTTAGTTCACCAGATGCTTATTACAAATGCTGATTATTGGAAAGGAGAATTGCATTTGACATGAGGCTGTGTGGTCCAGAAAAATGTCTTTCTTTCTTGAGTGATGGCTTATGCACTATGCCTGAGCCACAATAAATTTTACCTCCTGCATTTTTCTTCCAAGAAGTCAGGCAGCTCATTAGCTGCCAAAAAGGAAGGTTTTGTCCCATTCTGACTTCTCTGGTTAGTGGAGAGAACACTTGCAAATTTCCAAATTGTCCCTTTGAAACTTTCTAGGAGTGTCACATTGATTATAGATAGAAAAGTGAGAAGGATAATAGGTGAGTCAACAGATTATAGATGATTAGATAGATGAGATAGTTAATAGATATTAGAGATGGATAAATGATAGAGATAGATGGTAGATTAGACATATGATATGATATGATATGATATGATATGATATGATATGATATGATATGATGTGATATGATATGATATGAGGATAGATGGATGGATGGATGTTGGATGGATGGATGATGGATTGATGGATGGATGGATGGAGAGACTGACAGACAGAAGAATAGATAGATACAATAGTTGGATACATACATAGATATGACATATAGATAGATAGATGAGATACACAGATATAGATGATAGCTATATAGATATGATACATGGATAGATACATGAGATACATAGATATAGATGGATAGATACATAGATATGATAGATGATAGATACATAGATATGATGGACAGATGAGGTGCATAGATATAGATAGATACATAGATGTGATATATGGATAGATGAGATACATAGATATAGATTGATATATATGATGGATGGATTGGTACATAGATATGATGGATAGATAAGATGCATAGATATAGATGATAGATACATAGATATGATATATGGATAGATGAGATACATGGAAGATATATGGGTACAAAGATTATCAAATAAATGGATGGTTGATAGACTGATAGATATAGATAGGTAGATATATAGCTAGATAGATGTAGCTTGTTACGAACACTTGAAATTCTTATTCCAAGTGCCAATTCCTCACCTTCCTCAATCAGGCCCACTTCAGTGACACTTAATCATTAGAAATGTTGCAACTGGCATGTGGTTGGAGGTTGGTTCTTAATGGGGAAGGGCCATGAGTAGTGGGCAAACAAGAGAGAAAAGGAACCCAGAAATGCAGAGGACATGGCAGTGAAGCTGTTTCATGTCTTGTACACTTCGGCAAGCCATCCTCCCTCCTCCATGGCAAAGGGCATCTGAGGTCGTGTAGGAGACAAGGAGCACCAGGGGGAAAGAGTGGCAATGACAAGTTGGCACTGGCTAGGAGGTGCTGTGGAAACAGGAGCAGGAGCACAGCTGTGATGAGGCAACAGCTGACACAGTGTGGTTTGGATGAAGCTTGTGTGGCCAGGAGATTGTGGGCTGGTTAAAGGGGACCAAGAGAGTGAAAATGAATAGAATGAAGCCAGGAGTTGGGATATGCCTTGAGCAACACCTCACCCAGTCTTTCATTTTCCTTCTGGAAACACTGAAAAAAAATAAACTGGCAGGAAAAACAAATGTTTCACCACCTGGCTTTCCCAATTTATTTTGCATGAATTGCATGCATTGTTTTTGATATCATCCCTGTGACTGAATTCACTAGTGATGGTTTCAGAAGGAAAATAGTTTGATGGTCTGGAAAGGAAAAAATGAATAGAAAAAATCACTTAAAATAATGGATCTAGCATTAACCTTCTTCAATCTCTCTTGTGTGTGTGTGTGTGTGTGTGTGTGTGTGTACTCTTTAAGAAATTAATAGAAAGCAAATAACAAAATAATTCCCTCTAAATAATGTAGAAAAAAAGCTTATGATCTAACAGAGGGATTTTGTAGATATTATCAGACAAAATGAGACATGGTCTCTTTCTCTCTGCCACCCAGGCTGGAGTGCAGTGCTGCAATCATAGCTCACTGCAGCCTCAACTTCCTGGGCTCAAGCAATCCTCCCACCTCAGCCTCCCAAGTAGCCTGGGACCACAGATGTGTACCACTCTGCGTGGCATTATTTTTTTGAGAGATGGAGTGTCACCATGTTGTCAAGGCAGGTCCTGAACTGCTGTCTCAAGCAATACTCCCACATCAGGTTTGAAATAAAGAAAAGAGAATAGCAAGAATTAATTACACAATCAGCCTTCTATTCTGTGTATTCAAACTCTCATGGATCAGAAATATGGAAAAAAAAAACATCTGAACTAAACAAGTACAGATTTTCTTTGTCATCATTCCATAAATAATTCAGCATAGCCACTATTTACATAACATTTACAGTGCATTTGGTAGTATAGGTAATCTAGAAATGATTTAAAGTATACAAGAGGTTTGCACAGGTTATACACAAGTATTACACAATTTTATATCAGGATCTTGAACATCCATGGGTTTTAGTACCTCTGGGAGCTGGTGGAATCAATCCCCCATGAATACCAAGGGAAAACTGTATTTCACAGGCAAATCTGTCTGTTTCTATTAGGTGAGGACTATGTGATAAGAATAGCTGGTAACATTTAACAATCCTCCCCCTACCTGTACAGCAGATGGAAGGCCAATTACTTTTGCTATTCATGACTATGATGTAGAGAACATTTCCTGTCTGAGTTGAGATTTTCACTCTAAAGAAGCACATTTGCTTATTACTAAACTCTCCAGGTCCAGTTAAGAGCATGACTCTATCCTCAAATATGATATACAACCTACCTTTATAAAAAATCAGTTCATAACTGTCCCCTAGCCCAAGGGCAGGGTCTATATGGTGATGGTAAGGAACTCAAAAGGCTTCTCCCAAACTCATTCCTGCCAAGAAGGAGACACGGTAGCTGCTAATCTGAGAGTCACATGACCAGAACATTTTAGGTCAATCCGTATTTAAGATATTCTCTCAGGCAGGTCATCGTGGCTCACAGCTGTATTCCAAGCACTTTGGGACACCAAAGTGGGAGAATTGTTTAAGACCAGGAGCTTGAGCCCAGAAGCTCAAGACCAGGCTGGGCAACACAGTGAGCCCCCATCTCTAAAAAAATAAAACAAAAATAATCAGCTGGGCATGCTGGTGCATGACTATACTACCAGCTCCTTGGGAGGCTGATGTGGGAGGATCACTTTAGCCTAGGAGGTCTAGGCTGCAGTGGGCTGTGATTACACCACTGCACTTCAGCCTGAGTGATGGAGAAAGACCCTGTCTCAAAAAAAAAGAAAGAAGGAAAGAAGGAAGGAAGGAAGGAAGGAAGGAAGGAAGGAAGGAAGGAAGGAAGGAAGGGAAGGAGGGAGGGAGGGAGGGAGGGTGGGAGGGAGGGAGGCAGGAAAGTCTCATTTTACCTATACGGAGAAAAAAAAGGAAAGATTGGAATTGCTCAAAGAAGAGAAAGATGGAATAGGAAGAGAAAGAAATGGATGAAGATGTGCACTTATTGAATCCTAAGTCACACCAAACATATAACAAAAAATAGCAAACACATATAACAAATCTTACTCTATAGATGAGGAGATGCAGGTTTAAAGAGCAACTGGAAAGCAGATGGCGTAGGAATAAAAGATGAGTTCCAAGACAAGACCTCCAATGTGAGTTTTCCTGGCTTTAACATCTATCTTTCTCCCATACTGCCTTAGGCCTTTGGTGTGTGGGTTGAGCTTGGTTGGGAAAATATGGCCACCATATTGCTGGGAAAGCCACCAAGAGTGGACTGTTACCAATATCCAAGGGACATGAGTCACTTCACATTTTCTTTCCTCTTGACTTTAAATACTCAGTGCTTTAATTTCAGACCAAAATTTATTTTTTTTTTCCAGAGGGTGAAGGATCCTAAAATATTGTTGCCTTTGCTCCATAAACCCAATATTTTAGAAGAGTAATTCAAAGAGAAGTGTCATTAAATGATTACTCCATAGTGGAAAGCCTCAATTGCCCTCTGTTTGCCTTAGGGGAAGACCACAAAACAAAAGATGACAGCCAACCAATCATCACCATCCCTGTGGCAGTTCTGAGCCTTGGTCATGCCACATGTACCCTCCAGATAGCACACATTTCTCATGGGGCAGCCTGGGTGGGTGATGGGAAAGTAAAGCCACTTGTTCCAACACATTCCCAGAAGTATTAATTTTTGAAAATGATGCATGTGTAATTTAAAAATAAATATTCACCCACAGTAGAGTCAACAGGAATGTCAGTATGTCACGATCTCCTATACTTATTTCTACTGCAAATAAGAGAGGGAAAAATTGCAAAGCCTGAGATACACATTTATAAATGATAATATAATTATCCTCCTCCAATAATCAGGATGTTATAGTCAAAAAAAAAATACGCTGTCAATGTTCAACTCACTAGGTTATATAGGCAGTATAGGCAGGTATGTATTTAAATTTATTCAAAGGTGATAAAAGGGGATTCAAACGTAAGAACTAATGAGGATGAATGTTATACAATATTCTCACCTGAGATGAAAAGAGAACTAAGTTTGAAGATATTGGACTTTAATTGAAGACATAGCTGGGTGCGGTGACTCACACCTGTAATCCCAGCCCTTTGAGAGGCCAAGGTGGGCATATCAATTGAACCCAGGAGTTTAACAGCTTGGGCAATGTAGCAAAACCCCACGTCTACTAAAAATGCAAAAATTAGCTGGCGTGGTAGTGCGTACCTCTATTCTCAGCTACTTAGGAGGCTGAGGCTGGAGGATAACTAGCACCCAGGAGGCAGAGGTTGCAGTGAGCTGCACTCCAACCTGAGTGACAGCATGAGACCCTGTCTCAAAAAATAAAATAGACACATTCTATAAGGTATAAGGACACAGGTATTGGGCGAAGGATATGAACAGACACTTCTCAAAAGAAGATATTTATGCAGCCAAAAAACACATGAAAAAATGCTCATCATCACTGGCCATCAGAGAAATACAAATCGAAACCACAATGAGATACCACATGAAACCAGTTAGAATGGAGATCATTAAAAAGTCAGGAAACAACAGGCACTGGAGAGGATGTGGAGAAATAGGAACACTTTTACACTGTTGGTGGGACTGTAAATTAGTTCAACCATTGTGGAAGTTGGTGTGGTGATTCCTCGGGGACCTAGAGCTAGAAATACCATTTGACCCAGCCATCTCATTACTGCATATATACCCAAAGGATTATAAATCATGCTGCTATAAAGACACATGCACACGTATGTTTATTGTGGCACTATTCACAATAGCAAAGACTTGGAACCAACCCAAATGTCCAACAATGATAGACTGGATAAAGAAATGTGGCACATATACACCATGGAATACTATGCAGCCATCAAAAATGAAGAGTTCATGTCCTTTGTAGGGACATGGATGAAGCTGGAAACCATCATTCTCAGCAAACTATCACAAGGACAAAAAACCAAACACCACATGTTCTCACTCATAGGTGGGAACTGAACAATAAGAACACATGGACACAGTAAGAGGAACATCACACACCAGGGACTGTTGTGGGGTGGAGGGAGGGGGTAAGGATAGCACCAGGAGATATACCCAATGCTAAATAATGAGTTAATGGGTGCAGCACACCAACATGGCACATGTATACATATGTAATAAGCCTGCATGTTGTGCACATGTACCCTAAAACTTAAAGTATAATAATAATAAAAATAAAAATAAAAATAAATTTAAAAAAAGGACACAGGTATTAATTATTATACTCCATTAAACTCCTATTCATTGTATCTAGGATTTAATCTTTTGCTTAATTTTACCAGGAGATATGAAGAACTCATAGGAAAGCAGAAAATGTATCTGTAGAAAAAAAAAAGGATATAAGAAAATAAATTAATCCACAAGTATTTAGTCAACGTGGACGCTGATTAATTTGGGAGAGTTATAAAACATAACCCACAGCCTCCAAGAATTAAAATATTGCAGCTTACTTTTTTTAAACATTCATATTGTATTTTTATTGTCTCTAACATATACCAGATATGACCACATAAGTAACATAAAACTGAGATTTCTATACGTATCAATTAACATTGAAGACTAACAAGCTTTACTGATGATAGAATCCATTTTTTTCTTCAACTTTTAAACACAAAGTATCCAAATAATTGCATAATTTAATCTCAAACATTAAGATTAAACTTCACATTATCAAGATGAAATTAATTAATTATGTGAAGTACTGTTTCTGTATTAATATATGTGATAAGGCTATTCCTATCCCTCAGCAGGAATTTTCACTTAGAAGTAGAAAATTATTTTCGTTTAAACCTTGAAAAGATGAACTCTGCCCTCATTCTTATCGAAAGATAATATTGCTATGAAGATAGAGATTCTTCTTGCCTATGCAAAATATAACCAAATAGAAATTACTATAGAAAGTCATATGACATAGTTAAAAAGTTCACGTTTCATACAAAGGAAATTTGAATCTTCATCTCCCATTATCTTTGCATCCAAGGCTGACCTCAGGGCTGGGCTGGCTACCTATAACTTTGGTTCTGTCAAAAGATAGGGATTATCATTGAAACCAAATGGATTTAAAGATCCAAGAACTGTGGAAATGGGACTCAAAGGAATTCCAGCTCTGTGTGAACTACACGTATTCAAGCTAATGTGAACTGCAATTTTCATAATGTTGGATACACAGTATTTCAAAATTACCCAAGGCAAGTGTCCAGACAGAAGTTCTGGCTAATTTTAACCGGTTATGCAAGAAAGAAAATGGAAATAGGTCAAGAATTTCTGAAGACAGAAGGAGAAAAAAAAGCTCTGTTGATTTTTACAGTCAACTGTGTGTGTCCTAGAAAAACTCGAGCATACTGGTCCTTGTAGCTCCTCAGCAAAGTAATTTTATATAAGGATAATTTTGATGATACAGATACTGCATACATTCAGCAAACACTTACTGAGCCCCTGCTACCAATCTATGTCCTGTCTCTACATAATTGTTGGTGGTAGGGTCCATGTTTTTTGGAGGGATTAACATTGTACTTCTCTGAGGTCATATATTCCAAGAGAGGCTTTTGACCAAATGCTGTTCAATCAAAGCTAACCATGAGTGGTTCCATTCCTTCTGCCATGTGTGGGTTGAGCATAGGCATACAACACCACTTTGTCTAAAGGCACATAAGGTTAGATTTTCTGGGGTGCTATATTAGTCTGCTCTCATGCTTCTAATAAATACATGCCTGAGACTGGGTAATTTATAAAGGAAAGAAGTTTAATGAACCCAGCTCTACATGGCTGGGAAGGCCTTGCAATCATGGCAGAAGGTGAAGGGGAAGGAAGATGTATCTTACATGGTGGCAGGCAAGGGGGTATGAGAAGGGGAGCTGGTTTTTTTAGAAAACCATCTGATTTTATAAGACTTATTCGCTATAAAAAGAACAGCAGGGGAAAAACCCACACCCATGATTCAATCATCTCCCACCAGGTCCCTCTCACAACACATGGAGATAATTACAATTCAAGGTGAGATTTGGGTAGGGATACAGCTAAACCATATCAGGTGCTATTAGGAAATGTTTCTTCTCCCACCTGGGCATGGCGGCTTACACCTGCAGCCCCATCACTTTGGGAGGATCATTTGAACCAAAGAGGCAGAGGTTGCAGGAGCCAAGATGGGGCTGCTGCACTCCAGCTTGGGTAAAAGAATAAGACTCTGTCTCAAAAGAAAAAAAAAGTACCTCTCTCTTTCTTGCCAGCTGCAGACACTATCAGGCTGGTTGGGACACCTGGCCTCTATCTAAAGAGCATCAGTGGAGTCAGCATGTAGGCAGAGTTAACATTAAGAGCCAGAGTCTCATCAGCCCATGCCTAGCACCTTCTTATCATGTGCATCCCTATTGTGTGAATTCATTAAGTTGACACTTTATGTCAGTTTCAGCTACAATTGATGGAAAAAATCCAAATCATCCCAAACATAATCTAAACAGAACCAATGACAACAACCACCTCATTATCTCAATAGTTGCAGAAAAGGCTTTCAATAAAATTCAACACCCCTTCATGCTAAAAACTCTCAAAAAACATAGGTATCAATGCAATCTATCTCAAAATAATAAGAGTTAGTTATGACAAACTCACAGCCAATATCATACTAAATGGGCAAAAGCTTAAAGCATTCCCTTTGAAAACAAGCACAAAGACAAGGATGCCTGGTCTCACCACTCCTGTTCAAAATAGTATTGGAAGTTCTGGCCAGGGCAATCAGGCAAGAGAAAGAAATAAAGCGTATTCAGATAGGAAGAGAGGAAGTCAAATTGTCTCTCTTTGCAGATGAGATAATTGTTTATGTAGAAAACCCCATCGCCTCAGCCCTTTAAGCTGATAAACAACTTCAGCAAAGTTTCCTTAATCTCCTTAAGCTGATAAGCAACTTCAGCAAAGTTGCAGGATACCAAATCAATGTGGAAAAATCATAGGCATTGCTATACTCCAATAATAGACTTCTTTAAATTTCATATGGAGCCAAAAAAAGAGCCTGTGTGGCCAGGAAAATACTAAGCAAAATGAACAAAGCTGGAGGCATCACACTAACTGACTTCAAACTATACTACAAGTTTACAGTAACCAAAACAGCATGGTACTTGTACCAAAAGAGAGATATAGACTATAGACCAATGGAACAGAACAGAGGCCTCAGAAATAATACCACACATCTACAACCATCTGATCTTTGATAAACCTGACAAAAACAAGAAATGGGGAAAGGATTCCCTAATTAATAAATGCTGCTGGGAAAACTGGCTAACCAAATATAGAAAGCTGAAACTGGATCCGTTCTTTACACCTTATACAAAATTTAATTCAAGATGGATTACAGACTTATATGTTAGACCTAAAACCATAAAAACTCTGAAGAAAACCTAAGCAATACCATTCAGGATCTAGGCATGGGCAAGGACTTCCTGACTAAAACAAAAAAGCAATAGCAACTGAAGCCAAACTAGACAAATGGGATCTAATTAAACTAAAGAGCTTCTGCACAGCAAAAGAAACTACCATCAGAGGGAACAGGAAACCTACAGAATGGGAGAAAAATTTTGCAATCTACCCAAATGACAAAGGGCTAATATCCAGAATCTACAAAGAACTTAAACAAATTTACGAGAAAAAAATCAAACAACCCCATCAAAAAGTGGGCAAATGGTATGAACAGGCACTTCTCAAAAGAAGACATTTATGCCAACAGACACATGAAAAAATTTTCATCATCACTGGTCATCAGAGAAATGCAAATCAAAACAACAGTGAGATATCATCTTACATCAGGTAGAATGGAGATCATTAAAAAGTCAGGAAACAACAGGTGCTGGAGAGGATGTGGAGAAATAGGAATGCTTTTACACTGTTGGTGGGACTGTAAACTAGTTCAACCATTGTGGAAGACAGTGTGGCAATTCCTCAAGGATCTAAAGCTAGAAATACCATTTGACCCAGCTATCCCATTACTGGGTATATACCCAAAGGATTATAAATCATGCTACTATAAATACACATGCACATGTATGTTTATTGCAGCAGTATTCACAATAGCAAAGACTTGGAACCAACCCAAATGTCTGTCAGTGATAGGCTGGATTAAGAAAATGTGGCACTTATATACCACGAAATACTATACAGCCATAAAAAAAGGATAACTTTATGTCCTTTATAGAAACATGGATGCAGCTGGAAATCATCATTCTGAGCAAACTATCACAAGGACGGAAATCCATACACCGCATGTTCTCACTCGTAGGTGGGAATTGAACAATAAGAACACTTGGACACAGGGCAGGGAACATCACACAACAGGGCCTGTCATGGTGTTGGGGAGGGATAGCATTAGGAGAAATACCTAATGTAAATGACGAGTTAATGGGTGCAGCAAACCAACTCGGCACATGTATACATATATAATGAACCTGCACGTTTTGCACATGTACCCTAGAACTTAAAGTATAATAATAATAAAAAAAAAAGAATAGTGGACTTTTCTGTAATCTATGGCAGTCAGCCTTCTTGCACGTTTTTTCTTAGTATGATTTAGTAACAGTTTTCAATTCAAAGGTGTAAGTGGATGTTTTCTGCCAAATATACATGTATTTATACTAAATATGTGTAATTACTATGTATTAATTATTATAGTTTACCCTGGAACAATGCGGGGGTTAGAAGCACTAACCCCTGCACCATTGAAAATCTACCTACAACTATGGATTCTCCCAAAACTTAAATACAAACAACCTACTCATATGTTTCATATATATATAAAATCTCTTTGACCACCTATACATATATGTATATGTCTATTTCATAACAAAATATTTTAATGTTATAAATATAAATAAAATAAACTTTAGATATATAGCTATATAAGTATTAACACTTACATACATATATTTCATAATATATAGTTATATTTATGTTATATCTAAATATTATATTACATATAATATTTATATATTAATATATACATTATATATTGATGTACATTATAAATTGTTGATTTATTATGAATTAGAAATTATTTATTTATTATATTGTTAAATTTATAATTTATAATATACAGAAATATTAATTTGTACTTTATAAATGTATACGTTATATAATCCTTGAACAACATGTTTTCAGGAAGCATTTTTGAATGTCAGAACTGGAAAGAAAACTTGGTCAAAAATCTCACTGATACTATAAACAGTACATTAATACATATCATGTATGTTTACATGTATTATATATGGTATTCTTATAATAAAGCAAGCTAGAGAAAAGAAAATGCTTTTAGGAAAATAATAAGGAGGAGGAAACATATTCACTATTCATTAAGTGGAAGTGGGTCATCATTAATGTCTCCATTCTCATCATCTTCACATTGAGGAGGCAAAGGAAAAGGAGGGAGAGGAAGGGTTGATTTTGCTGTGTCAGGTGGCCGAGGTGGAGGAAAATCCTCATATATCTGTGTCGTTCAAGGGTCAACTGTAAATTAATTATAGAAATATATGTACTTGGCCGGGCGCGGTGGTTCACGCCTGTAATCCCAGCACTTTGGGAGGCCGAGGCAGGCGGATCACGAGGTCAGGAGATCGAGATCATCCTGGCTAACACGGTGAAACCCCATCTCTACTGAAAATATAAAAAATTAGCCGGGTGTGGTGGCGGGCACCTGTAATCCCAGCTACTTGGGAGGCTGAGGCAGGAGAATGGCGTGAACCCGGGAGGCGGAGCTTGCAGTGAGCAGAGATTGCGCCACTGCACTCCAGCCTGGGCGAAAGAGCGAGACTCTGTCTCAAAAAAAAAAAAAAGAAATATATGTACTTAAATGTTAATATTTATAAAGCTTCATCTAATTATGTTTAAATGTTTTATTTATATCCATAAAATTAATAGATTGTGTTATAATATAGACATCCATATATGTATATGTGATCAAATAAATTATAAGTATTTTAAATAATTGTTTAATGT
Source organism: Homo sapiens (assembly GCF_000001405.40). NCBI lineage: Eukaryota > Metazoa > Chordata > Mammalia > Primates > Hominidae > Homo > Homo sapiens. The sequence goes on from NC_000024.10 coordinate 12,132,726, forward strand.
TATATATTTATACTTATATAGAAAATATACATTTATATTTACATATATACACACACATACTTTCATGGATTATATTCTTCTAATCATTGTGTTTTTCCTCTATGTTTTGAAATACATACTAAGGAGACGTTGGCTTTTATGAATACCATCCAGTGTTTCTCAACCTCAATACTACTGAGATTTGGGGCAATTATTACTTTTTTTTTTTGAGGCAGGTTCTCACTCTGTTTCCCAGGCTGGAGTGCAGAGACATGATCTCTGCTTACTGCAACTTCTGCCTCCCAGGTTCAAGCAATTCTCCTGCCTCAGCCTCCCGAGTTTCTGGGACTATAGGCGGGTGCTCCTATGCCCAGCTAATTTTTGTATTTTTGGTAGAGATGGAGTTTCACCATATTGGCCAGGCTGGTCTTGAACTCCTGACTTCAAGTGATAAGCCTGCCTCAGCCTCCCGAAATGCTGAGATTACAGGTGTACCTGTAATTACCACACCTGGACATGGGGCAGAAAATTCTTTACAGTAGGGGCCGTCCTGTGCATGATCAGATGTTGAAGAGCATCTTTGGCTTCCACCCATGACATGCCAGTGACACATCCCAGTTCACACACGCAAAAATGCTTCCAGACATTTTGAAATATCCCTGGGGTGGAGGGGTACACAGTCATCCCCAGTTAAGCATAATTTATCTAGGTTTTAGTGGAATTATTTTTTTCTATACATGTATATTTTGTTCTGCATTATACAAGGTATCTCTCACCTAATGCGTTAATTTGTCATGAATTAAGGCATATGCAGTCTCCATTCTAAAATTCAACTCATCTTTTTTTTACCTTCATCATCAGCAACTGCATCATTATTTTCTGAGTATTCTGATATTTTTATACCAAGTCCCTAAAGGGTACCAATTCAGTTTTCTGAATTATTTTTGTTTCTTTCATATGACCAGCATTCCTTCCAGAAGTATTCTTGTATAGAGCACGATATTAGTCCATTTTCATATTGCTATGAATAAATACCCAAGACTGAGCAATTTATAAAGAAAAAGAGGTTTAGTGGGCTAACTGTTCCACATGGCCAGGGAGGACTCAGAATCATGGCAGAAAGTGAAGGAGGAGCAAAGGTATGTTTTACATGGTGACAGGTAAGATGGTGTGTGCAGGGGAACTGCCCTTTAGAAAACCATCAGATCTTATGAGACTTACTATCATGAGACCAGCACAGGAAAAAACCTGGCTTCATGATCCCATTACCTCCCACCATGTTCCTCCCACAACACATGAGAATTATGAGAGCAACAATTCAAGATGACATTTGCATGGGGATACAGCCAAACTATATCACAGTCATCACATAACTAATTGCATGTTAGAAAAAGACTCTATTTGATGTTTCAGAGGGCCCTGTGCAAACAAGGATAAGATGCTTTGCTTAATAAATGAATGAAAAAAAAAAGACTGCATCCAACCAGATAAGGACATAACCAAGTGAGAGGTGAAGCCAGCTAGACTTCCTGGGTCGAGTGGGGACTTGGGGAAATTTTCTGTCTTACAAGAGGATTGTAAAATGCACTAACTAGCACTCTGTAGCTAGGATTTTTTGTAAAATGCACCAATCAGTGCTTTGTAGCAAGCAAGGGGATTTTAAAATGCACCCATCAGCACTCTGTAAAAATGCACCAATCAGCACCCTGTAGCCAGCAAGATGTTTGAAAAATGCATCAACCAGTGCACTGTAAAATGCACCAATCAGTGCTCTGTAAAACACACCAATCAGCACTACACAAAATGCACCAATCAGCAGGAGTCTAAAAGTAGCCAGTTGTGGGGAGGATTGAAAAAGGAGGACATGGATGAAATTGGAAATCATCATTCTCAGTAAACCATCTCAAGAACAAAAAACCAAAAACCGTATACTCTCACTCATAGGTGGGAATTGAACAATGAGAACACATGGACACAGGAAGGGGAACATCACACTCTGGGGACTGTAGTGGGGTGGGGAGAGGGGGTACGGATAGCTTTAGGAGATATACCTAATGCTAAATGACGAGTTAATGGGTGTAGCACACCAGCATAGCACATGTATACATATGTAACTAACCTGAACATTGTGCACATGTACCCTAAAATTTAAAGTATAATAATAATAAAATATAAAAAAATACAGAAAAGTAGATCATATTTTCCCACCAGGGACAATATTGTCACCAATGAGACAAAAATTGGTTCTTGAGGAGTGAAAAAAAAAAGGGCACTCTGCAGACAGTGGGCGCATGACAGTGAGTGCGGTGCACAATGCACGAGCCGAAGCAGGGCGAGCATTGCCTCACTCGGGAAGTGCAAGGGGTCAGGGAGTTCTCTTTCCTAGTCAAAGAAAAGTGTGACAGACGGAACCTGGAAAATCAGGTCACTCCCACCCCAATACTGCACTTTTCTGATGGGCTTAAAAAACAGTGCACCAGGAGATTATATCCCGTACCTTGCTCGGAGGGTCACACGCCCACAGAATTTTGCTCATTTCTAGCACAGCAGTCTGAGATCCAACTGCAAGGTAGCAGCGAGGCTGAGGGAGGGGCGCCCACAATTCCCCAGGCTTGCTTAGGTAAACAAAGCAGCCGAGAAGCTCGAACTGGGTGGAGCCCACGACAGCTCAAGGAGGCCTGCCTGCCTCTGTAGGCTCCACCTCTGGGGGCAGGGCACAGACAAACAAAAAGACAGCAGTAACCTCTGCAGACTTAAATGTCCCTGTCTGACAGCTTTGAAGAGAGCAGTGTTTCTCCCAGTGCACAGCTGGAGATCTGAGAACGGGCAGACTGCCTTCTCAAGTTGGTCTCTGACCCCTGACCCCCAAGCAGCCTAACTGGGAGGCACCCCAAAGTAGGGGCTGACTGACATCTCACACAGCCAGATACTCCTCTGAGACAAAACTTACAGAGGAACGATCAGATAGCGGCATTCACGGTTCACAAAATCCGCTGTTCTGCAGCCACTGCTGCTGGTACCCAGGCAAACAGGGTCTGGAGTGGACCTCCAGCAAACTCCAACAGACCTGCAGCTAAGGGTCCTGTCTGTTAGAAGCAAAACTAACAAACAGAAAGGACACCCACACCAAAAACCCATCTGTACATCACCATCATCAAAGACCAAAAGTAGATAAAACGACAAAGATGGGAAAAAAACAGAGCAGAAAAATTGGAAACTCTAAAAAGCAGAGAGCCTCTCCTCCTCCAAAGGAATGCAGTTCCTCACCAGCAACAGAACTAAGCTGGATGGAGAATGACTTTGATGAGTTGAGAGAAGAAGGCTTCAGACGATCAAACTACTCCGAGCTACAGAAGGAAATTCAAACCAAAGGCAAAGAAGTTGAAAACTTTGAAAAAAAATTTAGACGAATGTATAACTAAAATAACCAATACAGAGGAGTGCTTAAAGGAGCTGATGGAGCTGAAAGCCAAGGCTCAAGAACTACATGAAGAATGCAGAAGCCTCATGAGCTGATGTGATCAACTGGAAGAAAGGGTATCAGTGATGGAAGATGAAATGAATGAAATGAAGCGAGAAGGGAAGTTTAGAGAAAAAAGAATAAAAAGAAATGAACAAAGCCTCCAAGAAATATGGGACAATGTGAAAAGACCAAGTCTACGTCTGATTGGTGTACCTGAAAGTGACAGGGAGAATGGAACCAAGTTGGAAAACACTCTGGAGGATATTATCCTGGAGAACTTCCCCAATGTAGCAAGGCAGGCCAACGTTCAGATACAGGAAATACAGAGAATGCCACAAAGATACTCATCAAGAAGAGCAACTCCAAGACACATAATTGTCAGATTCACCAAAGTTGAAATGAAGGAAAAAATGTAAAGGGCAGCCAGAGAGAAAGGTCGGGTAACCCCAAAGGGAAGCCTATCAGACTAACAGCGGATCTCTTGGCAGAAACTGTACAAGCCAGTAGAGAGTGGGGGCCAATATTCAACATTCTTCAAGAAAAGAACTTTCAACCCAGAATTTCATATCCAGCCAAACTAAGCTTCATAAGTGAAGGAGAAATAAAACACTTTACAGACAAGCAAAAGCTGAGAGATTTTGTCACCACCAGGCCTGCCCTAAAACAGCTCATGAAGGAAATACTAAACATGGAAAGGAACAACCGGTACCAGCCACTGGAAAATCATGCCAAATTGTAAAGATCATCGAGGCTAGGAAGAAACTGCATCAACTAATGAGCAAAATAACCAGCTAACATCATAATGACAGGATCAAATTCACACATAACAATATTAACTTTAAATGTAAATGGACTAAATTCTCCAATTAAAACACACAGACTGGCAAATTGGATAAAGAATCAAGACTCATCAGTGTGCTGTATTCAGGAAACCCATCTCACGTGCAGAGACATGTAGGCTCAAAATAAAAGGATGCAGGAAGATCTACCAAGCAAATGGAAAACAAAAAATGGCAGGGGTTGCAATCCTAGTCTCTGATAAAACAGACTTTAAACCAATAAAGATCAAAAGAGACAAAGAAGACCATTACATAATGGTAAAGGGATCGATTCAACAGGAGAGCTAACTATCTTAAATATATATGCACCCAATACAGGAGCAACCAGATTCAGAAAGCAAGTCCTGAGTGACCTACAAAGAGACTTAGACTCCCACACAATAATAATGGGAGACTTTAACACCCTACTGTCAACATTGGAGAGATCAACGAGACAGAAAGTTAACAATGATACCCAGGAATTGAACTCAGCTGTGCACCAAGCGGACATAATAGACATCTACAGAACTCTCCACCCCAAATCAACAGAATATACATTTTTTTTCAGCACCACACCACATCTATTCCAAAATTGACCACATACTTGGAAGTAAAGCTCTCCTCAGCAAATGTAAAAGATCTGAAATTATAACAAACTGCCTCTCAGACCACAGTGCAATCAAACTAGAACTCAGGATTAAGAAACTCACTCAAAACTGCTCAACTACATGGAAACTGAACAACCTGCCCCTGAATGACTACTGGGTACATAACGAAATGAAGGCAGAAATAAAATGTTCTTTGAAACCAATGAGAACAAAGACACAACATACCAGAATCTCTGGGACACATTCAAAGCAGTGTGTAGAGGGAAATTTATAGCACTAAATGCCCACAAGAGAAAGCAGGAAAGATCCAAAATTGACACCCTAACGTCACAATTAAAAGAACTAGAAAAGCTAGAGCAAACACATTCAAAAGCTAGCAGAAGGCAAGAAATAACTAAAATCAGAGCAGAACTGAAGGAAATAGAGACACAACAAACCCTCCAAAAAATTAATGAATCCAGGAGCTGGTTTTCTGAAAGGATCAATAAGATTGATAGACCACTAGCAAGATTAATAAAGAAGAAAAGAGAGAAGAATCAAATAGACACAAATAAAAAATGATAAAGGGGATATCACCACCAAACCCACAGAAATACAAACTACCATCAGAGAATACTACAAACACCTCTACACAAATAAACTAGAAAATCTAGAAGAGATGGATAAATTCCTCGACACATACACCCTCCCAAGACTAAACCAGGAAGAAGTTGAATCTCTGAATAGACCAATAACAGGATCTGAAAATGTGGCAATAATCAATAGCTTACCAACCAAAAAGAGTCCAGGACCAGACGGATTCACAGCCGAATTCTACCAGAGGTACAAGGAGGAACTGATACCATTCTTTCTGAAACTATTCCAATCAATAGAAAAAGAGGGAATGCTTCCTAACTCATTTTATGAGGTCAGCATCATCCTGATACCAAAGCTGGGCAGAGACACAACCAAAAAAGAGAATTTTAGACAAATATCCTTGATGAATATTGATGCAAAAATCCTCAATAAAATACTGGCAAACTGAATCCAGCAGCACATCAAAAAGCTTATCCAGCATGATCAAGTGGGCTTCATCCCTGAGATACAAGGCTGGTTCAATATACACAAATCAATAAATGTAATCCAGCATATAAACAGAAACAAAGATAAAAACCACATGATTATCTCAATAGATGCAGAAAAGGCCTTTGACAAAATTCAATAACGCTTCATGCTAAAAACTCTCAATAAATTAGGTATTCAGGGGACGTATCTCAAAACAATAAGAGCTATCTATGACAAACCCACAGCCAATATCATACTGAATGGGCAAAAACTGGAAGCATTCCCTTTGAAAACTGGCACAAGACAGGGATGCCCTCTCTCACCACTCCTATTCAACATAGTGTTGGAAGTTCTGGCCAGGGCAATCAGGCAGCGGAAGGAAATAAAGGGTATTCAATTAGGAAAAGAGGAAATCAAACTGTCCCTGTTTGCAGATGACATGATCGTATATCTAGAAAACCCCATTGTCTCAGCCCAAAATCTCCTTAAGCTGATAAGCAACTTCAGCAAATCTCAGAATACAAAATCAATATGCAAAAATCACAAGCATTCTTATACACCAATAACAGACAAACAGAGAGCCAAATCATGGGTGAACTTCCATTCACAATTGCTTCAAAGATAATAAAATACCTAGGAATCCAACTTATAAGGGACGTGAAGGACCTTTTCAAGGAGAACTACAAACCACTGCTCAATGAAATAAAAGAGGATACAAACAAATGGAAGAACATTCCATGCTCATGGGTAGGAAGAATCAATATCATGAAAATGGCCATACTGCCCAAGGTAATTTATAGAATCAATGCCATCCTCATCAAGCTACCAATGACTTTCTTCACAGAATTGGAAAAAACTACTTTAAAGTTCATATGGAACCAAAAAAGAGCCCACATCACCAAGTCAATCCTAAGCCAAAAGAACAAAGCTGGAGGCATCACGTTACCTGACTTCAAACTATACTACAAGGCTACAGTAACCAAAACAGCATGGTACTGGTACCAAAACAGAGATGATCAATGGAATAGAACAGAACCCTCAGAAATAATGCCACATATCTACAACTATCTGATCTTTGACAAACCTGAGAAAAACAAGCAATGGGGAAAGGATTCCCTACTTAATAAATGGTGCTGGGAAAACTGGCTAGCCATATGTAGAAAGCTGAAACTGGATCCCTTCCTTACACCTTATACAAAAATCAATTCAAGATGGATTAAACACTTAAATGTTATACCTAAAACCATAAAAACCCTAGAAGAAAACCTAGGCATTATCATTCAGGACATAGGCATAGCAAGGACTTCATGACTAAAACAGCAAAAGCAATGGCAACAAAAGCCAAAATTGACAAATGGGATCTAATTAAACTAAAAAGCTTCTGCACAACAAAAGAAACTACCATCAGAGTGAATATTCAACCTACAAAATGGGAGAAAATTTTCACAACCTACTCATCTGACAAAGGGCTAATATCCAGAATCTACAATGAACTCAAACAAATTTACAAGAAAAAAACAAACAACCCCATCAAAAAGTGGGCGAAGGACACGAACAGACACTTCTCAAAAGAAGACATTTATGCAGCCAAAAAACACATGAAAAAATGCCCACCATCTCTGGCCATCAGAGAAATGCAAATCAAAACCACAATGAGATACCATCTCACACCAGTTAGAATGGAGATCATTAAAAAGTCAGGAAACAACAGGTGCTGGAGAGGATGTGGAGAAATAGGAACACTTTTACACTGTTGGTGGGACTGTAAACTAGTTCAACCATTGTGGAAGTCAGTGTGGCGATTCCTCAGGGATCTAGAACTAGAAATAGCACTTGACCCAGCCATCCCATTACTGGGTATATACCCAAAGGACTATAAATCATGCTGCTATAAAGACACATGCACACGTATGTTTATTGTGGCACTATTCACAATAGCAAAGACTTGGAACCAACTCAAATGTCCAACAGTGATAGACTGGGTTAAGAAAATGTGGCACATATACACCATGGAATACTATGCAGCCATAAAAAATGATGATGTCATGTCCTTTGTAGGGACATGGATGAAATTGGAAATCATTATTCTCAGTAAACTCTCACAAGAACGAAGAACCAAACACCGCATATTATCACTCATAGGTGGGAATTGAACAATGAGAACACATGGACACAGGAAGGGGAACATCACAGGCTGGGGACAGTTGTGGGATGGGGGCGGGGGGAGGGATAGCTTTAGGAGATATACCTAATGCTAAATGGTGAGTTAATGGGTGCAGCACACCAGCATCCACATGTATACATATGTAACTAATGTGCACATTGTGCACATGTACCCTAAAATTTAAAGTATAATAAAATAAAATAAAATAAAAACTTTAAAGTCACAAATGTAAAAAAAAAAAGGTGGAAGACTGGAGGAGGGTGAGGATGAAAAAACTATCTGTTGGGTACTGTGCTCACTACCTCGGTGACAAAATTATCCATACATGAAACCCCTGCAACATGTAATTTGTGTATATGAAAAACCCACACATGTAACCCTGAATCTAAGATAAAAGTTGGAAAAAAAAGAAAAAATAGAAGAGGGTGGAAAGAGGCCTGTAATTTAAATAGGGTATGACATCTTTAAGATGGAGGCAGAGGTGAAGAGGAGAAAGAAAATACAGATTAAGGATGGATATTGATGATCAATCCAAAAGGCCTTATTTTTTGTCATTCCTGGTGGAAACACCCAACTACAAGAACGGTGGTCCACTTCTCGCCTACCTTAAAGAAAGAAACTCCCAAATGAAATGTTCTGCCCTCTTTCCCAAGACTAGTCTTACGTCTTCTAATTCCTGAGAATACCATTGACATTGAATATCTTCCATAAGCATCTGTAAATAAGTTGTAAATAAGCTCTTTCCAGACTCCTAATATCTTTTCTTACATTCGTTTTTTATTTGTTCTTATTTTTGTTAGCTATTTATTTCTTTTTTAAACCACACAAGCAGCAAAAATGGACCTCTAGTTTCTTTCTTTCTTCTTTTTTTTCACATTTCTTTCCTTTCTTTTCATTTAACTTTTATTTTAAGTATAGGAGTACAAGTGCAGGTTTGTTACATAGATAAACTAGTATCATGGGGGATCCCGTACATATTATTTTGTCACCTTGATAATAAGCCTAGTTCTTATTAGTTGTGTTTCCTGATCCTCTCCCTCCTCCCACCCTCCACCCTCTGAAATGTTTTTATATCCAGTATCCCTGAGTCATTTGCAAGACGTCATACTCCACTAACTTGGCTTCTTAGCTTACATAGTTCCAGAAAAAGTGTGCTCAATTAATGTTATAGGGGCATTTTTTGCCAACCATAGTAATAAACTAATGAAGATTCAAACATTTAAGAAGTCATTAAAAACCTGAGAAGATTAATTGTGCTCAGATTTTCTCTTAAGCTATGCTATTGTTTTGGGAGATACATTTTATTTTTCTTTTCATTTCCTTAAGTTGTAATAAAACAATCTTACTTGTGGTTAAGAGGATCGATTCCAAACCAATGTTAGCTCCTTTCGACACACTTAAATAATCAAATCTTTCTTCACATTTACTCATGGAAAATTACATAATCTGTTTTTCATGTCAAAATGCTGCATCGATTACTTGAAAGGATGCTTACAAATGCCAATAACTAAGTACTCCACTCTAAGATTAAAGAATAAGTAATCTTCTAAAAGTGCTAGTTCAGCATTTGGACATCAATTTACTTTTGAGGAAGCAATGTACTGGGTTATTGCATCTGAGGTTGCAGAGACTTCAGGAATTGTAATAGACTCCTCATTTAATAACGCAGCTGCAAAGATCTTCAATGTCACCTTGTCAAGCATAATATACTTTCATAAGAGTAGAGTCTAACAAGACATCTTTGCTGTGGGAAAAATTCAGAAGCCAGTAAAAATATAAAAGATACATGCTGTCTGTTCTCACTCATAAGTGGGAGTTGAACAATGAGAACACATGGACACAGGGAGGAGAACATCACACACTGGGGCCTGTTGGGGCATGGAGGGGCAGGGGAGGCATAGCATTAGGAGAAATATGTAATGTAGATGACAGGTTGATGGGTGCAGCAAACCACCATGGCACATGTATACCTATGTAACAAAACTGCACATTGTGCACATGTACCCCAGAATTTAAAGTCTAATAAATAAATAAATAAATAAATAAACAAATAAATAAATAAATCGATACATGTTGTCTTGGAAATTTTACCCTCGCCATTGTGAAATAAACCAAATACTTGATTATTATGTTTATGTGGTATTTTGTTGTTGTTGTTTTTTGAGACACAGTCTCACTCTGTCACCCAGGCTGAAATGCAGTGGTGTGATCTTGGCCCACTCCAACCTCCACCTCCCGGGTTCAAGTGATTCTACTGCCTCAGCCTCCCAAATAGATGGGATTACAGGAGTATGCCACGACAGTTGGCTAATTTTTGTGTTTTTGATAGAGACAGGGTTTCACCATGCTGGCTAGGCTGGCCTCAAACTCCTGACCTCAAGCGATCCACCTGTGTTGGCCTCCCAAAGTCTGGGATTACAGGCATAAGCCACCATGCCTGGCCAATATTTTTGAATGAAAAAAATAGTCAAATCATAAGAATTTTCAAATCCCCAAGATTGATTCAATGCTAGAGGCTAAGAATTTGTACTGCTTCACTCGTGGGATTCTTCCTGCTTCACCCTACAGCAAAATTGCTGCAGGACTCCATTTTGTCAGTAAAATAAATAGAGTTTATGGAGCATAAAAATTATGCCAAGTCAACGTTGGCTCTTTTGAAACATCAATAACTCAGCCATGAATGCAACTTCTCCCCTACTCATCACACACTTCTGAAATATTTGCCTTCTTGAAATATTTATAAAAACAATGGTATTGAAGTGGATATGTGCATCTTTCTCAAGGCAGCAAACTAAAAAAGTTTATTCTGCTCATTCACAGCTGTTCCAGCCACAAAGCATGTGGGTGTAGGCGTTACTGAAAGAAGCCATTCCCTGAAATCTGAGACTGTGGTTTTAATTCACCTGGCAGTCGCCAGACCCTGCTGGCCCCTACCAGCACACAGTACAAGGATTAATGACGCCATAACCCTCACACACTGCATCACCCACAAAAATCCTGCATCTAAAAATGGTCTTTAGGTTTTGTCCACTATTTTTCTTGGAAAGCCAGAACTGCAGTTCTATATTATAACCCATTTCTGATTTCATCAAGTTCAAAGCAGACACAATAATAATGAGGAAATTGTCAGAACTTTTGGAGGTTCAGAAATCTGGGATTTTTAAAATCTTTCTTTGTACTTAATCTTTCCAACTATTTAAAACCATTTGTATCAAAATACGTGAAAGGGTTATTGCAATTTATCACTTGCCTTTCTAAATATGAAAGCCAGGCTGGGATAGAAGTCTGTTTAGAAACAAATTTAATTAACAACAAAAATATCCATGCAAGAGTGTGGGGCACTCACAGTGTGAGGGGGGTGTGTGTGTGTGTGTGTTTGTGTGTGTGTTAATCAAAAACTGATGTAAATATAATGGGACAATGGTTCACTTCCTAATTCCTCCCTGAAAGATAAATTATAGGCTCCTGATGTCTCTTCCTTTGGATCTAAACACAAGCAGGGGTGTGGGGGCAAGGAATTAAAGAGGATAAAATAACAGAAAGATGTGCAAACTAAAAGCTCATTATGTACTGCCATCAACTTCAAAGTTGATAGTTTGAATTCCAATCATACTACACGGTTCTTAGTAGAACTTTATTCACTACCTCCAAATCACAGAGAAATGAGATGGGCTCTGTCTTCCTCATCTCATGTTTTCTTACTTGCTTTTTCTTTTTTCTCTTTTTCTTTCTCTCTGTTTCTCTCTCTCTCTCACACACGCCCCAAAAAAATAGAGTTTGTTTTGATAAAATCATAAAATCCAAGATTGAAAGGAACATCTAAAGTCTCCATTTCATGCATTCCAACTAAGACAATGTAGGTGCAAGGGTTGATCAAGTTCATATGACCACCCGTGCTTCTGACATTAGCTGCAAGTTTTGGGGCCCCCAAGACAATCCTTGTTTGGCTCATTGGATAGAAGAATGACAGACCTCACCCATTACACTCTCAGTTGTGGTTTATTATGTGGCAAGGACACAGATTGACATAGTAGCCAAGAGAAGAGGGAGGTGGGACAGATAGAGTCCAGGAAAAGTGGCAAACTTTTGTCCTCTCCATGTGGAGCTGTGGGCAGCACTGAGCCTCACAGTCTCAGCTTGTGCAGAACGCCTGAAGCATCACCAACCAGGGAAACCAGCCCAAATCCCAGTGTTAGAGTCTTCATTTGGGGTGTCACTGTCAATGGCCCACAGAGCTGACCTCAATCTGTAGCCCCTTCAGAGGTTTCAGCCATTACTTCAAGACCAAAACCTCCACCCTTAATCATATTGTTAGTACCTAGTATGTCCTTCTCATACCATAAAAACCTCTGCTATGAATAGCCCCCTCCACCCTAAATCACATTGCTAGATTGTCCAGTTACCCCAGAACCCCTGGTACATAAACACATTCCTACTAGGCAGGACATTCCAAAGGCTAGTGTGCACCTCTCAGGAGCTGAGGGCAAATGTCCCACCCCTCTTTGAGCAACATTAACCCTTTAATTTCATGGCAGGGCCCACTGCAAAAGTCATTTTGTCTACATTATGAGAAAAAAGGTAATGGTCTCTGAGCACTGTCTGTACGTATGTGTATAATTAAAACACTATATTCGTCTTGAATATTTATCAGTATTGTGACTACGGAGTTAATTTTAGTTTTTTGGTACCTCCTGAAATTTGTGCCTGATGAGATTGTGTCATTAGACTTATTCTAGCCCTGCCCTATGTACCACCATGGACAATTTTATTAAAATATTATATATATAGTGTGTGTGTGTATATATATATATATATATATATATATATGTATTATGTAGTTTACATGCTCATATAAAGTTTTAACCAACCCTATACAAAATATATAATTTATATAAATTTATAATTTATATATCTTTTATATTTATATAACTTATTTATGTATTTATATATTTGTATATTTATATAACTTTTATATTTGTATATATTATATATTTATAATTTACATATACCTTTTATATATGTATAATATTTTAAGCAACTATATAATATAGACATAGGTATGTGAATTAAACATATGTATGTAGATGCAGAGGTAATTTTTAATCCATATATATACATATATATATAATATATATACACACACACACTCACAGATGTATACAGAAGCTCCTAGATTTACAGTGGAGTAATGCATTGATAAAACCATCATAAAGTTGAAATATTTTAAGATGAACCTGCATTAAGTCCAGATACTGTTTGTTTAACAATAGGGTTACATGTTTAACAATAGGGTTACATCTTGAGAAACCTATCATAAAGGCAAAAAAAGTCCTAAATTGGCTGTGTGTGGTGGCTCCTGCCTGTAATCCCAATGCTTTGAGAGGCCAAGGCAGGAGGATCACTTGAGGCCAGGAGTTCAAGACCAGTCTGGACAACACAGCAAGACTTCATCTCTATTTAAAAACAAAAAAGTTAAGAATATCTAGGCCAGGTGTGGTAACTGACACCTGTAATCCTATTGCTTTGTGAGGCCATGTCAGGAGGCTTGCTTGAGACCAGGAGTTTGAGACTGGTCTGGGCCATATAATGAGATCTTGTGTCTACAAAAAAATAAAAATTTAGTCACGTATGTGGCTCTCAGCTGTAGCCTCAGCTACTTCAGAGACTGAGGCGGGAGGATCCCTGAGCTCAGCAAGTTGAGTCTGCAGTGAGCTGTCACTGCACCACTGCACTCCAGCCTGAGCCACAAAGTGAGATCCAGTCTTAAAAAAAAAAAAAACTGTAAGTTGAACTCATCTTAAATTAGGGACCATCTATATATGTACATACATATATACATACATACATACTCATATACATAATTTTTATATGTACAAATATTATATGTCTAAAAATATTGTAGCAGGATGAGCCACAGACAAAACTCCTCAGACACCAAGTTGTAGAAGGAAGGGCTTTATTCAGCTGGGAGCATTGGCAGACTTGCATCTCCAAAAACTGAGCTCCCCAAGTGAGCAATTCCTGTTCCTGTTAAGGGCTTACAAATCTAAGATGGTCTGCGTGAGAGGGTCGTGACTGATTGAGCAAGCAGGGGGTACATGAATGGGGGCTGCAGGCACCAGTTAGCAGAATGGAACAGAACAGGACAGGAATTTCACAATGTTTCTCTATACAATGTCTGGAATCTATAGATAACATAACCGGTTAGGTCAGGGGTCAGTCTTTAACCAGGCCCAGGGTGTGGCACCAGGCTGTCTGCCTGTGGATTTCATTTCTGCCTTTTAGTTTTTACTTCTTCTTTCTTTGGAGGCAGAAATTGGGCATAAGACAATGTGAGGGGTGCTCTCCTCACTTATTCCTCACTTTTGAGAACCTCACTCATTAGTTGGAGTTCTCACTTTCATTCTCACTACCCATGTCTTCTTGCGAGACAGATCGATAGTGATTCATATAGTACATTTGTGCTGAAGCATATTGATGAACTAAGGTAGCAATGAAGTTTTTTATCATCTGAAGAAGTACAGGTAGCAAACAAGGGAGCAGTAAGCAGTTTTCTACTACTATTATAACTCCTATTATAAGAATTTTAAATTATCCTAGTGCTGGGAACCACTTTCCAAACATGGCCCCAGGATCAAATCCATGCCACACTTGCATGGGCACATGTGCTGGTATTGTCATATCTCTAACTATGTCTTCAACTACTTATCTTTGATCATCAATGTGTGGACAGCAATTAGTAAGGTTAACTTTCCCACAGATGCCACCTTCAGCTGCTGGCAAGTAGTCAAGAGCCAATCTCTTTTGATAGATAGCATTTCTCATCTGAGTTTCTTGCTGTGCCAGAATAGTCAAGGCTCTGACAGTCCTATTAGTGATTATTTTTAAGACAGATTGTAACCATATGATTTGGTTGAGCATGTAAATGGGGGTCCAGTATCCCCATGAGCCATCTTGTGCCCAAGTAGCAGGCCCACAATATTGTATGATTCTCTCAGGGGCCACTCATCATCATTCCAATTTCCTATGGCTATGCTTCTCTTTTCACAGGTCAGCATAGCAGGGAAGCCCAGGAGTTTGCCTGTCTTTATGGGCAGTAGGAAGAAAGATGTTTTAATAATGCCAATAACACTACTACCTGCCCACTGGTTGGGTAATTTCATGTAAGCTCCATGTCTCCATATCCAGTATAATCCAGTGGGGGCTGTCGAATCCTGGTGGGACTCTGGGTGGGTCCACACAATTTGCAACTTTGGGAATTTACCAAGTGGATTTTTCTTAGTGTGGTATGAACTCCACTAGGTGGTTGTTTTTGTAGTACTGTTATACAATTTTGCCCAAGGCACCTGAGTCTTCCCACAGGAAGGGTGAAGTCCTTCCCCACTCTTGCTATACAGTATTGTCTAATGATTGAGGCTTTTAGGACCCAGTTATTAGATTGATTCTTTTGAGCCAGGAATTCATCAGGAACTGGGTCTGTAGGTAATAATTCTCAGGCTTCCCATGGCCATTGATCTTCCATTACAGTTCCTCCACATACATAACATGAAGTCACATTGAGAGACGGGCTACATGGTTGGCTAATTGCAAAAATAAATTTCTTGTTTTTCCTGGAATTTCTGATACTGGCACATTCAGTTCATCATGGAAGCTTTGAAATACTGGCTCGTGGCCGGGCGTGGTGGTTCATGCCTGTAATCCCAGCACTTTGGGAGGCCAAGGCGGGTGGATCACAAGGTCAGGAAATCGAGACCATCCTGGATAACACAATGAAACCCCATCTCTGCTAAAAATACAAGAAATTAGACTGTAATAGGACTGCAGCAAATTTTTGTCCTACCTAAGTGACTTGATGCATACACTAGGAACAGTCCTCATACTGAGGAAGATCAGTTGAAGTTCTTACTGTACAAGTCCAAATTTAAAGGAAAATGAGTCTCGCAAATTTTCTCACGCTTCAGCCATGCATGGACCAGTCAGCTTCCAACTGTGACTGGAGCAGGGCTTGTCGTCTTCTTCAGAGTCACTTAGCAGGGGTTAGCAAAGCCGCTTCTGTCCACGTACACCTCACAGTCTACTGATGTTCAAGTATGGTCTCGGAGGTTGGGCCCACTAGAATAAACTGAGTCCAATACCTCTACACTGTTACGTTCAACTGGGCTCTCTGATACTGGGAGCAAGGTGGCAGGGTTTAGGGTTTTGCAAACTTCAATGGTTATGCAGGAATTTTCAAATAGCAAGTTTTGGTACTTGGTTAATCTAGCATTTGTTAGCCAATGATGTCCTTTGGTATTCATCAAAGTTACCACAGCATAGGGGGCTTTTAAATTCAGGTTTTGCCCAAGAGTTAATTCATCTGCTTCTTGTGCTAACAGGGCCATTGCTTCCAGGGCCCTTAAACATAACCCTTCTAGTTGTTTTGAGAGATAGGCCACTGGCCTTAGCCAGGGCCCCACAGTCTGGGTTAAAACTTCAACTGCCATTTTTGTTTCTTTCTGACACATAGAGTGTAAAGGGTTTTGTCAGTTCAGGTAGCCCTAGGGCTGGGGCTGACATGAGTTTTTCTTTTAACTCATGAAAAGCTTGTTGCTGTTGGTTTTAATAGATGTAGTTTATCCAATCTACATTTTCATTAACTGTCACCCACCAAAATATTGACTCAAATCCTGCAGCTATTTGATTTCAAGCTTTAAATTGATCTGGTATTCCTCATGGGACTCCAACTATGTCTAAATAGATGTGAGAGTTGAAAGACCAATAAGGGGCTTATCTCGCTTTACAATGTCTTATTTTTTTTTCCTTCTGGTTGATGAAATGCCAGGGTGAAAGGGATAGCCAATTGGACTAAAGTACAAGTGCCACTCCAATTATTTGGCAGAGTGGCCAGTAAAGGTCCACCACAATACCACTACACATCCACTCTGAGACAAAAACAAGGGCTGACTGATTGATAAGCTAGTGAAAATTCTTAAGCTTACTGCATCATTTCAGGTCTCCACGGAACGCTGTTTCCTCCCTGTCATGAGAGACACGAAGGGAATTTAGTGTTGGGAAACAGAAGCTGGATGGTCCTTGGGAGCTGACCCACAGGCTGCTGAACTTTGGGATATAGCAGAGAGAGCTTGGCATGACTTATTACTCCAGGCTGTAGAATCCTGGAAAAGAGCTACAATGCAGCCCATGCCTGGTCAACTGGAGGCCCACCTTAGTGGAAAGGGGACAATCTGGGCCTCTGGCCAGCCCTGTGCATTCTATGTTCCTCTAGTAGAATGAATGTATGATTTTAGGAAGCTACAAAAACCTTTTGGGGCAGTCCATCCTTGCTCTTTAGAGGTCCACAAAATGTTGGACAAACTATAGCATAAAAGCTCTACAGTGGGGGCAAGACTTCTGGTAGACACAGGAGTCTTCATTGAAATTTCCCCAGATTAAATGGTCCTCATTTATTAATGCCCAGTCTGAGGAGAGTCAGGAGGGACAGAGGTACTTTTCTGAAATAGAGAGCTGTCTTTGACTTGGCAAGTCCCACAGGGAATAACAAGGCAAGCATTAAATGCAATAGTTTGAGGCAAAATTGACTCGGTTATGTTAATAACTAGATGGTCAGCAATAGAGCAAGGAAAGAAGAAAGAGTAATGAATAGACAGAAGAGTTAAATTTTTCTTAGCTTTAGTTTGGTAGGGTTTCCCCCGGGACTATGGCCCATGACTCTGGAGGGGTTGGCACTTTCTTGACTCAGTTGTGATGAGTCCATCCTTTTTTTTGCTGGATGAACAGCAGTCTCAGTGGTTAGCAGCACAAGGTAGCGTCTTTCCCAGGCTGGTTTGAGTTTCCTTTCTTTTCACCCTTTGATGAGATCATGATCTTCAGGCTGGTGCTGGTGCTGGAAATTCTAGGGGTGGTACATGTGTTAAAAGACTTTTAGTTTTGAAGTAAAGGAAAGTGGAAGATAAACCAAGTATACAATTTTTAAGAAATTAACCTTTTGCTTTAAGTGTGGGGACATCAGCAGTGGACTTTATAGTCCTTGGTGCATTTCTACTGAGAAATTTCCTTTAGCACCTCTTTCTATTAGTTTCTGGACCAAAGAAGACAAACACAATTTTATATTTGACAATGCTTCCTGTATGATTTTTATACCAGATAAGCTAAAATTTCACCCTTATATTAGCGTGTTATTAATATTAAACTTAGTTTTAGTAAAATCTTCTACACATATTTATTCAATTTATAGTGTTGGACCATAAGGAAAGATTTTTACAGACTCTTTTTAACCTTTTATAATCTTTGTTAACGAGGAGGTTAGTGCTTTAAGAAAAACCCATTGTGTTTTTACTTTAATGTCCAGTTCACAGAAAAACTGGATGATACTCCTTTAACTTTAGCCAATATGTTTACACACAGAATTTTCTTTACAATTAATGTTTTAAAACTTGCTTGAACCTTCAAAACAAATTTTTTAACCTTTTAATGTAAATAAAATTTTACATTCTTAAAATCCTTTTATCAAAGGTATATTTTACTTTCCTTATACACCTTGCTTATAAACTGTTTCTTCAGTAGTACTCAGGAGGCCTAATTACTTTTAAATTATACAACATTTCTTGTGTAAATTCTTTTTATAACTTTTTTTCTCTTTCATGACTTTCACAGACAGTTCTTTGACGTGCCTCAACTTAATGACTTAATACAAACATTTCTTTCTTTAAACAACCAATTATATTTATTTCAGGACAAGAATTTAACACACAACATTTTTTTACATAAATTTTGCCCACCTTTTTTTCCCTTTTTTTTGAAGATGATAACAATTCTTTTCCAAAGCGAACTTCCTTTATCTGTGGACTAGACTGTCTAAGGCCACAAGATTAGAAGTTACTATAATACATGTTACATTGTAAATTTTTAGCAAACTTTACTTTTGTTGAAAACCCAGTAAGTTTGGGATTTCAATTATCCCTTGCTATTAATAAGATCTTGTTTAGTCCAAATTAACTTAGAATTGGTATAGATGGTTTTGTTTTTATTTCAATTACCCAGGAGGAAACATCTATCATCCTGTCCTGAAGCGAATTCATACTACATCTGGTCGGACCTTTGTATAGTAATTAAGATTTAGATACCCTGTTAGAAAACCTGCTGGGTTAAGGGAATTTTCAGTGGTTAACGTTAAATCATCTTTTTTTTTTTTTTTAACTTAGGATACTTCTAAACTGTTGAAGTGTGCCCACAATGAGGTTTCCTCTAAAAGCTATTTTCTACTTTCTTCTGCTAGCAAAGAAGGTGCCACTACAGATTGAATTCATTTGGACCATCTACAGGTTACTGGGTTAAGGATTTTTAATAGGAAGGCTACAGGTTGCCGGTGGCCTCAGTGCTTTCGGGCTAAGCCCTTGTTTACACTTACAACAGGATTGTATTGGAGTATTGGCGGGTCATGGAGAAAACCATCAATTATCAATTACAGGTTTTAAATTTACCGTGGCTTTTAAAGGAATAGCATACACTTTATTTTTTCTTAACTACTTGTATATTTCTTTCTTTCTTTCTCTCTTTGACTCTCCATCTCTCTCTGTTTGACTTTCCTTTTGCCTCGGTCTCTTTCTCTCTCTCTCTGCCTCTGTCTCTCTCACTCACTCTTGAATCCCTCTTTGTCTTTCTGTCTCTTCCCCTCTCTTTCTCTCTGCTGGTCTTTCTTTGCCTTTGCCAGCCGTTTATGCTGCTGTTCTCTCAACCACTGTGAGGGGTGGTCTAAAACCAGCTGTAACCAACTCTCTATATATGGGAACTGGTCTGGGTGCCCTGGCTTACAGGTTACCTTGTGCCATACCTTTGAAACAAGGGACCTGTCCAGGCTTCCTTCTGATGGCCAACCCACCTCTAATACTGGCCAGTCTATCTTACACAAAGTTTTAAGTTTTCTTGGTGTCATAGTACTCTATCGTCTCCCTTAAATCTTTTCTTGAAATTTTTCAACATGGTTCCTTGTCATGTGGGCTTACTTTGTGCCTGACCCATGCTTCCTTGAGACAAAACACCGTGCTCACACCACATGCACACCACAAAACAAAGAATGGGGAAAAGGGGCACACACACACACTTTTACAGTATACACCAAACCAGAATCAAAACTAAAATCAGAGTATCAAGAAATCCAAGCCAGGTCAAAACCAAAACCAAACTAGCAAGTGATCCAAGTCATGTCAAAAACAAAACCAAAGTGCTGGTACAGGCATGCTGTGGGTGATTAGGGCATGCTTCCACCCAAATGGAGTGGGCAAGTTCCAAAGACCAGTCTTACCAAGTTTCAGATGTCCAGACTCCAAGTGCCAGTTCCTGCCTGGTGTTCAGCCACTGCATAGATTCTCTGCAAGGGCCTGCCATGCACTGCTCTGGCAAGGCATTCTACTGGGGCAATTGTCTACATGGGAGTGCTCTCAGGTTCCATGTTGCTCAAGCTGGCCAGAGTCCCATGCAGGGAAGCTCCACAGGGCAAGCCTAAGCCACCTAAAGGACTGCCTCGACCATCCATTAATCACCTTGCTTCCTGGTCAGGGAACCAAGAAATGAAGCAGAACAAAACCCCTTAAACACCAAGTTAAAGAATGAAGGCCTTTATTCATCCAGGAGCTTCAGCAAGACTCATGTCTCCAAAAACTGAGCTCCCTGAGTGAGCAATTCCTGTCCCTGTTAAGGGGTTACAACTCTAAGGGGGTCCACATGAGAGGGTCATGATCAATTGAGCAAGCAGAGGATACAGGATTGGGGGCTGCATGTGCTGGGAATCAGAACAGAATAAAACAGGACAGGGATTGCCACAGTGCTTTTCTACAAAATGTCTGGAATCTATAGATAACATAACAAGTTAAGTCAGGTGTCGATCTTCAACCAGGCTGAGGATACAGCACCAGTCTATCTGTCTGTGGATTTCATTTCTGCCTTTTAGTTTTTACTTATTCTTTCTTTGGAAGCAGAAATTGGGCATAAGACAATATGAGGGGTGGTCTCCTCCCATAATGCAATATATGTGTATGCATAAATAGAATTTTTAACTGACAGTTGGGGTTTAACCAGGAATAAGGTGGGGAAATTGAGCCAACTACTTTGAGCATAAAATTTCAGTGGGCACCAAAACTTCAGCAGCCAAAATGTGAAATACTTTAATTCCATATCACAAAAAATCAAAGTGGGCTGGGTGCAGTGGCTCATGCTTGTAATCCTAGCACTTTGATAGGCTGAGGTGGGTGGATCACCACAGGTCAGGAGTTCAAGACCATCCTGACAAACATGGAGAAACCCCATTTCTACAAAAAATACAAAAATTAGCTGAGTGTGGTGGTGTATGCCTGTAATCACAGCTACTCAGGAGACTGAGGCAGAGAATTACTTGAACCCAGGAGGCAGAGTTTGCAGTGAGTGAGATCACACCACTGCACTCCAGCCTGGGCAACAGAGTGAGACTCCACCTTAAAAAACAAAAACAAAATGAATGCAAAAGAAATTGTGATGAATAAAAGATCCAAATTTTTAGTGAAGATAAATTCCCTTACTCCGAAAGAGCCTATTTTCATGTCCACATGCCCTTTGGAGGCTAAAACATACCCATGAATGGACAGGAAATGGACACACCTTTTTTCCTGTATTGTCCCAGGAATATTGATGGGATAAAGAAGGTGATGTGGGATGAAGATGTCATCGTTGGACTAACACCCTGAGGGCTTAAATGGGCTTCATTTGTGTTTCATTGATTCAAAACCAGAGCAAGCTGGTATTGAAATGACCACCTTTATTGTCATTTTCTTCTTCTTGTTTTGTTTTGTTTTGTGAGATGGAGACTTGCCCAGGCTGGAGTGCAACAGTGTGATCTCAGCTCACTGCAAACTCTGTCTCTGGGTTCAAATGATTCTCCTGCCTCAGCCTCCTGAGTAGCTGGGATTACAGGCATGCACCATCATGCCTGGCTAATTTTGTATTTTTAGTAGAGATGGGGTTTCTCCACTTTGGTCAGGCTGGTCTCAAACTCCTGACTTCAGGTGATCCACCAGCCTCGGCCTCCCAAAATGTTAGGATTACAGGCGTAAGCCACCATGCCTGGCCACATTTTTTTAGAGTCTGAAACAAACTCCACTCTGTCTTGCTAAAATTGCTAAGGTAGTTTTAAAGCAGAGCTGAGTATAATTGCATAGAATTGTTTAAAGACAGAACTTTACTTCTGTGGTCTTCCCCCAAGATCCTGGAAGCCTGTCTAATCATGAGAAAAGAATCAGTATTAGAGGGTCATCTTACAAGATAAACTGTCAAGGCCATCAAACACAAGATACATTTGAGAAACTGTCACAATAAAGATAAGCCTAAAGAGACATGACAACAAAATGTAATTTTGGGGTTCTGGAAGGAATCCTGGACCACAAAAAAGACACTAGGGAAAAACTGACAAAATCCAAATAAAGCTTGTACTTTAGTTCATAACATAGTATCGTTATTAGTTCATTCGTTGTGATACATTTATCGTATAAATATCAAATATTAATAATATGTAAAACTGATTGTGGGTATAGAGGAAGTCTCTTTACTATCTTCACAATCTTTCTATAAATGTAAAGCTGTTAAAAAATAAACTCATTTGCCAGGTGCTGTAGCTCACACCCAAGGAAATCTCAGCACACTGGGAGGCCAGGGTGGGAGATCACTCAAGTCCAGGAATTAAAGGGCAGCCTGGACACTATAGTGAGGCCACTTCTATGTAAAAAAAAATAAAAGAAAAATTAGCTGGGCATGGTGATGAGTGCCTGTGGTCCCACTACTCAGGAGGCTAAGCCAGGAAGATGGCTTGAGCCCAGAAGGTTGAAGCTGCACGGAGCCATAATTGCACCACTTCACTCCAGAGCCTGGATGACAGACTGAGACCCTGTCTCTAAAAAAAAAAAAATAATAAGATAAACAATTAACTTATTTTAATTTCTTTCAACAATACATTCCAAACCTATCTAGTTTATTTTAAAGTACTCAAAGATGTTAAAATAACCCCAAAACTATACCCATATGCTGTAACTCAACCACTGCAAGAATAGTTGTCTTGTGTTGATGTCTCCTCTTGCAGAGACCCATGTGCGTTTTCAGGCCCCTCAGTTCATGGCCTCTTCCATTTGTGGTACTCTAGTTGCCACGCTACTTCCAGAGAAAACTGATTGTTCCACCTGGACTGTGTCTGTCAACATTAAAAAAAATGACTGGAGAAAATTATATACTGTATCCTGCAGATATTGCTTAAAAGTAATCTTAAAAGCAGAGCTGAGCATCACAGCATATAATTGTTTAAAGATACAACATATTTTTTATATACTTTCGGTGTGCAACTGACCCCAAAATGCACAACCAATGTTTCCCATCACAAGGGAGGAAAAAATAAGTTTTACTCTATCCTTTCTGAATTCCCATAATAAAAGACAGATTAACAAGAGGAAGACATATACAGGTTTGCGAACATGTACACTTCTTGGGTCCATGAAAGATACCCCAGATAAAAGTGAGTACTTCTCAAAGAGGTGACTTTGACATCAGTGGATACATAAAAAATGTACCTTGGCTTGACATAGAAGGGAAAAACAACTTGAAGTGGGGGCTTCCAGGTTACAGATGGCTTTAAAAGTTTTCTGATTCGCAATAGGTTGAAAGGGTTAATATCAATAGAAAGGAATGTCTGGGTTATCATAAGGGGTTGTGGAAACCAAGGTTTCATGAGGCAGATGAAGCCTCCAGGTAGCAGGCTTCAGAGAGAATAAAATGATAAATGTTCAAGAACTTAAAAAGTTGTTTCTATCAGTAATTCCAAAACTAAAGAGGGCATCATAAGACCTGTCTGACCCCTACATCCCATCATAGCCTGAACTAGCTTTTCAGGTTAACTCGGAATGCCCTTGGCTGAGAGGAGGGATCCATTCAGATGGTTGGGGCTAAGGGGGTCTTAGAATTTTATTTTTTAACTAGAATGAACTGTGTCTCAAGTCTCACAATAATAAATGAGTGTTTCAAGTACCAGTTGGATGACTCTCATTGCCTTTGTAGGCATGATGAGGGAGCTGGTTTCTGCTACTAAATGATTGCCTGATTCTTGTAGCAGCAGAGAAATTTCTGCTCTAGGCTGTGGGCTTATTTATTACTATCTTCCTTTGGGCTTTGCCCTGTGGAAACAACTTTAAACAACTGAGGTAGAATTTACATACTGTAAAACCCACTTGTTTTCAGTGTAACGAGTTAATGATTTTTAGTAAGTTTACAGGGTTGGACCACCACCACAAGAATGATTTGCTGTATAACATTTCCATCAGTGCAAGAAGTTGTCAGGTGTTCATTTATATCTATATTTTTAAACATAGGGTCTTGCTGTTGAGGACTAAGCTCTGATTTTTTTCTTATGTTGCCCAAATTCCTAAGGGGTCTGAGGTATCATGCCCTACAATCCATAAATTCTCATCAGATGGGTTTTATTCAACATTATATATCATAACTTACATTCCAGTCTGAATCTGGCATTACATTACAAGACAAGAAAATTGAAATAAAAGTGTTTCTTTGCCATACTTTGAAATGGCCCTGCAAATCTATCTTTTGCAGAGGAAAATTTACATCTGTAAAGAACATCTATTATTGTGTCTGAAATTGGTGGTTTCTTGGTCTTATAGACTTCAAGAATGCAGTCGCGGACCCTCACAGGGAGTGTTACAGTTCTTAAAGATGGTGTGTCTGCAGTTTGTTCCTTCTGATGTTCAGACATGTTCAGAGTTTCTTCCTTCTGGTGGGATTTTGGTCTCTCTGGTTTCAGGAGTGAAGCCGCAGACCTTCGCAGTGAGTCTTACAGCTCTTAAGGCAGCGCATCTGGAGTTGTTTGTTCCTCCTGTCTAGAGTTGTTCATTCCTCCAGGTGGGTTCGTGGTCTTGCTGGCCTCAGGAGTGAAGCTTCAGACCTTTGCCATGAGTGTTACCGTTCATAAAGGCACTGTGGACCCAAAGAGTGAGCAGCAGCAAGATTTATTGTGAAGAGCAAAAAAACAAAGTTTCCACAGTGTGGAAGGGGACCCAAGAGTGTTGCCACTACTGGCTCAGGCAGCCTGCTTTTATTCCCTTATCTGATCCCACCCACATCCTGCTGATTGGCCCATTTTACAGAGAGCAGATTGGACCACTTTACAGAGAGCTGATTGGTCCATTTTGACAGGGTGCCAATTGGTGCATTTACAATCCCTGAGCTAGACACAGCACGCTGATTGGTGTATTTACAATCCTCTAGCTAGACGTAAAATTTCTCCAAGTCCCCACTAGGTTAACTAGACATAGAGCACTGATTGGTGTGTTTGCAAACCTTGAGCTAGACACAGGGTGCTGATTGGTGCATGTACAATCCTTTAGCTAGACATAAAAGTTCTTCAAGACCCACCAGATTAGCTAGATACAGAGTGCTGATTGGTGAATCCATGAACCCTGAGCTAGACACAGTGTGCTGATTGGTGCATATACAATCTTCTGGCTAGACATAAAATTTCTCTAAGTCCCCACCTGACTCAGCAGCCCAGCTGGCTTGGCCTAGTAGATCCTGCAAAAGGGCCACAGGCAGAGCTGCCTGACAGTCCCATGGCATGCGCCTGCACTCCTCAGCCCTTGGGCAGTTGATGGGACTGGGCACCATGGAGCAGGGGGTGGCACCCATCAGGGAGGCTCAGGCTGTGCAGGAGCCCACTGCAGGGGTCAAGCATGATGAGGGCAGACCAGCAGTGCTGGGGGACCCAGCGCCCCCTCCACAACTGCTGCCCCAGGTGCTAAGCCCCTCACTGCCCATGGCCAGCCTCGCTGGCTGGCCAGCCACTCCAAGTGTGGGGACCACCAAGGCCACACCCACCCGGAACTCGCATTGGCCCACAAGTGCTCCACACAGCCCCAGATCCCACCCATGCCTCTCCCTCCATACCTCCCTGCAAGCAGAGGAAGCTGGCTCCACCTCAGCCTGCCCAGAGAGGGGCTCCCACAGTGCAGTGGCAGGCTGAAGGGCTCCTCAAGTGTGGCCAGAGTGGCCACCAAGGCTGAGGAGGCACTGAGAGTGAGCGATGGCCACCAGCATGTTGTCACCTTTCATTATCATAGCTAGATCTTTTTCTTCCAGGCTTTCCCAGTCCTGAAGAGATTAACAGAGAGTCTAGTACGTTTTAAAGGTCTGAAAGGAAACACTTATCTATTGTCTCTAAGGGCAGCCACTATGAGACTTTAAAAGAACCTGTGTCTCCACATTTTTTTATCTCAACCTGAACATTTCCTTTCTATCAGTACCAGGTCTTTAGACAAACTTAACCAATTGCCAACCAGAAAATGTTTAAATTTACCTGTAGCCTGGAAGCCCCCAACACACCCCCTGCTCCAAGTTGTCCCACCTTTCTGGAGCAAACCAATGTGTTTCTTAAATGTATTTGATTGATGTCTCATGCCTCTCTAAAATGTATAAAACCAAGGTATACCCTGACCGCTTTGGGCATGTGTTCTTCGGATCTCCTGGGGGCAATGTCACAGGCCATATTCACTCACAATTGGCTCAGAATAAATCTCTTCAAATATTTTTACAGAGTTTAACTCTTTTTGTTGACACTATGTTGCCCAGGCTATTGCATGTAAGATATGCAGCTTCCTCAATAACTCCTGCAAAGAACATCGCTATTGTCAAACCTCACACTGTTTTGGAGATGTCTTTTTTTTTAATGTGTCTGACACCCATGGCCTCCATGGTGTCACAGGTCCCACCAATCTGGGCCCTGTGGTCTCACCCAGAAGAAATACAGCCTACAGGAAGGCTGAACCTCACACACGTCAGTCCCACAAAATCTGTTTTCTGTCTCTATACATTTGCCTTTGCAGTTCATTTCATGTAAATGAAGCCTACAATGTATGGTCTTTTGTGACTGGCTTCTTCCACATAGCATTCTGTTTTTGGGATCACACATGCTATAAGATGTCTGTACTGTTTTTCTTTTTTTTTTCTTTTTCTTTCTTTTTTAAAAGACTTTTTTAAAGCAGTTTTAAGTTCACAGCAAGAGTGAGCAGAAAGGTACAAAGATTTCTCATATACTCTCTGCCCCCTTCCCAAACAATCAGCCCCACTATGAACACCCCTGACTAGGGGTAGTACCTTTGTTACAACTGATGAACCCACACTGGGATATAACATCACCCCAAAGCCCAGAGTTCATATTAAGGTTTATTGTGTTGCACATTCTATGGGTTTTGACAAATACATAATCACATGTATCCACCATTATAGCCTCATACAGAACAGTTTCCCTGCTGTAAATATTCTCTGGTGCACCTGTCAGATGTGATTGAACCAGAGAAACTCCATCTTGAATAGGGGCTGGGTAAAATAAGGCTAATACCTGCTGGGCTGCATTCCTAGGAAGTTAAGACATTCTAAGTCACAGGATGAGATTGGAAATTGATATGAGATACAGGTCATAAAGACCTGGCTGATAAAACAGGTTGTAGTAGAGAAGCTGCCAAAGCCCACCAAAACAAGGATGCTGATGAGAGTGACCTCTGGGCATCCTCACTGCTATACTTCCACCAGCGCCATGAAGGTCAGGAAGTTACCCTATGTGGTCTAAAAGGGGGAGGCATGAAAATCCACCCCTTGTTTACCATATCATCAAGAAATAACCATAAAAAATGGGTCACCAGCAGCCCTCAGGGCTGCTCTATCTATGGAGTAGCCATTCTTTATTCATTTACTTTCTTAATAAACTTGCTTTCACTTTTCTTTGTGGACTCACCCAGAATTCTTTCTTCTATGAGTTCCAAGAACCCTCTCTTGGGGCCTGGGTTGGACCTCTTTTCCAGTAACATTAACACTTCCAGCAGGCTCCTAGCATGCCCTACGTTAGGACTTAATTCTCAGTAATACTGCGTTGGCAAGTCAAGAGCCACTTTGGGCCTTCCTGCCATTTTTTTTAAGCACCAGGATTGCTCCTTCTGGCTGGGGACAGAAGAAAATATCTTGCAGCTGAAGTACTGCAACAGAGACTGTTGCTTGGATACCTTCAGAGCCTTTGGGTTTTTTCCTAATTCTTTCTTAAGTGTATCTGCCAAACAGAGCCCAGCTGAGCCTGTGTTCTTATCAAAGTCTCCCCAGCCACTTGATAGAAGCCTCCAGCACTTTTTAAAATCTCCCTCCCTTCTCTCCACCTCTGTTGGTGAGCTCATCATCAAAGCCTTTCCCTGTTTATCAATATATTTTGGTTCTTTTTCAGTGTGCAAAGCTACCATCATCTGGCCGCCCAATGGGGTTATCCAGCTAAGTTCTCTAAGCAATGGAACTGTTTTCCAAGGGTCAGTTATACATGTGGAATTTTAAAACACTGGACAGTAAAGCCACATTGTAAACACACTAAACATTAGTGAATTCCAATGCAAGAATATCTGCTCTTTCGGGCTGATGATTTTGCAATGGCTTGAGTTTAAAGTAAAACATTAGTTAACAGATCTGATATGCTGTAGGAAAGAAACGATTGGTTTTTGTGGGGTGATGGGGGTGGGGAGTGGTTACTTGACTTTTCAGGGGAAACGTATAGGAGAAACTCCTCCACTTCTCCTAAGAAACCTCTCCAACTCCCACGCTCATCTTTTCCTCATCCCAAGGGAGAAGAAATGACTTTTTCTTTTAGGAAAGTTGGATCCCAAACTGAGCATGTCCTCATTCTGATCTGCTGTCAGGGAATGGCCGTGGCCTGTCTTCCCTTCTGTCTTAATCCTGAGGGCAGCAGATTCTGCCTCTATACTGAGATTTCTTCTTCTACACAAAGCAACCAAGACGAGTTCAAACTCCCTAGCACAATTTCCACTGACCTGGTGTATTAGTCCGTTTTCATTCTGCTGCTAAAGACATAGCTGAGCCTGGGTAATTTACAAAGAAAAAGAGGCTTAAAGGAATAATGGTTCCATGTGGCCAGTGAGGCCTCACAATCACGGTGGAAGGCAAAAGGCATATCTTATGTGGCAGCAGGCAAGAGACAATGAGAGTCAATGGAAGAGGAAACCCCTTATAAAACCAGCAGATCTTGTGAGACTTATTCACTATCATGAGAACGGTATGGAGGAAGTCACTCCCATGATTCAATTATCTCCCACCAGGTTCCTCCCACAACACATAGAATTATGGGAGCTACAATTCAAGATGAGATTTGGGTGGGGACACAGCCAAACCATATCACCTGGGTTGGGTTGCAAGCTGAAAGATCATATCCCTTGATCTATCTCCTATTTTCTTCTTCTATTTCATCCAATAAACTTTTCCAGAAGTTCATAGTAGGCAAAATAATCCTGCAGTTTTGTCCCAGAAAGATGCTCAACTATAAGAGCAGAGAGGACAGAAAATATTTGGCCGCAATGTCACATAAGTAAGCAGGGAAGTCTGAGATCAAAGGTTTGGCAGGTTGTGCAGAGTCTAGATTTTATGAGAAAGAAAGTATGTTTGTGTATATATATAAATATGCACACACATATTTTACATATATATATATATGCATAAATTGTATGCATATATACATATTTTATGTATCTATACATACACATACATAAATGTATGTATGTGTACATATGTATAGACACACATATTATATATATGTATATGGAGAAAAGATAGGCAAAGTTGGTTCCTATATTAGTCTGTTCTCACACTGCTGTGAAGAAATACCCAAGACTGGGTAATTTATGGAGGAAAGAGGTTTAATTGTCTCAGTCAATTCTGCATGGCTGGGGAGGCCTCAGGAAACTTAACATCATGGCAGAAGGTGAAAGAGAAGTAGGCACCTTCTTCATAGGGCGGCAGGATGGAGTTAGTGCAAACAGAGGAAATGCCAAACTCTTATAGTACTATCAGACCTTGTGAGAACTCACTCACTATCACAAGAACAGCATATGGGGGAAATTATCCCCATGATACAATTGCCTCCACCTGGTTCTGCCCTTGACATGTCGGGATTATGGGGATTACAATTTGAGGTATTTGGGCAGGGACACAGAGCCAAAACTTGTCAGTTCCTCCAACAGTCTCTGAAGGAGAGACTGTCCCATTGTTCCTCCCTCTCTTCTGGTGGTTTGCTGGTGATCTTGAGCACTGTTTGGTTTTAGAAACATCAGTCCTATCTCAGCCTTCATCTCCCCATGACATTTTCCCTGGGTGTGTGTCTGTGTCCTAATTGTCCCCCTCATTTTTTTTCTTAAGTATAGAGATGGGGTCCCACCATCTTGGCCAGGCTGGTCTCAAACTCCTGACCTCAAGTGATCCACCCACCTGGGCCTCCCAAAGTGCTGGGATTACAGGCATGGGCCACTGCACCCAGCCCAAATTCCATCTTTTTATTAGGACACCAGTACTTGGATTTAGAACCCACCCAAATGACTTCATTTTAACCTGATGACATCTACAGAGACCTCACTTCCAAAGGTCACATTTACAGGTATTGGGGGTTAGCAATTTATCACATGAATTTGGGGGACAGGAGGTCACTATTCAAACCATAATCATGTGTTGTCCTTAAAGAAGAACATTGGTAATTATGCCAAGTGATAGAATTGCATATATCATAATATTTCATTTCTGGTAGAAAACTTATTTACATCTGAATTATCTACAGTGAACACATGTAGTCTAGTACTTCCATCTGTGGCTGGGGAAGGAATTCCAATCCAGATGCGAGGTTTCACAGCATGGCTTTCAGCAGCCAGGGGCATGGAGTAACTGGCAGATTCAGCTGTTACTCTCAGGATGGACATGAGACTCTATTCGTTCAATCCTCCCTGTACAAAGAGCATCCTTAAGAGAAAGACCAGAGCTCAAAGAGTGAAGATTTATAAGTACTTGTTGAAAAACAATGCTTGGAATTGGAACTCTTGTTTTGTTTTTGTTTTTGTTTTTTTAATTTGAGATGGAGTCTCACTGAGTCCCCCAGGCTGGAGTGCAGTGGCACAATCTGGGCTCACTGCAACCTTTCCCTCTCGGGTTCAAGTGATTCTTCTGCCTCAGCCTCCCCAGTAGCTGGGATTACAGGTGCAAGCCACCACACCTGTATTTTTAGTACAGACAAGGTTTCACTATGTTGGCAAGGCTGGTCTCGAACTCCTGACCTCCGGTGATCTGCCAAACTCAGCCTCCAAAAGTGCTAAGATTACAGGCATGAGCCACCATGTCTGGCTCTGGGAATTAAAAATTTATGTGTATGTGTGTTATTTACCAATATTAAAGTGAAGTTTTTATTCCAAATGAAATAATAGTTTTAAAAGACCCCCCATTAACCTGAATTTTTTGTTTGTTTGTTTGTTTTGATTTTAGAGTCAGGGTCTCACTCCATCCCCCAAGCAGGAGTGCAGTGGTGTGATCATGGCTCAATGCAGCCTCGATCTCCCATGCTTGGCAGCGATCCTCCTGCCTCAGCCTCCTGAATAGCTGAGACTATAGGTGAGTGTCACCATGACTAGTTAATTTTTTAATATTTAGTTTTTTTGTAGAGATGAGGTCTCAGTATGTTGCCCAGGCTACTCACAAACTTCTGGCCTCCAGCAATCCCCTGACTCTGGCCTCCCAGAATACTAGGACCACAGGCATGAGTCACTGCACCCAGCCTGACTTTCTTATAAACACTATTTTGATATCTTTCATTACCTTTTCTTTTATAGGCACTCTCCATTCTTTCATACATCTCTGTAGTGAAATAAGTATCGGCATAGACATCTTAACATCTGCTCTGCTAAGAATCCTCCTCAAAACTAACATAAGTAATAAATAGATAATTGTGTTTATGGGTATTTCCTTAAATGTCAACTTTGTTCCAGGGTGTATGTCCAAATGTAAAGTCAGCTTAGGAATATGGAATGATGTTGTGCTTTGTCTCATAAGAGAAATCTCCAGAATGCTTCTGACTTCCAAAGATTATGTTGGCCAGCTGGGCATGATGGTTCATGCCTGTAATCTCATCACTTTGAGAGGCCAAGGCAGGTGGATCACTTGACAGCAGGAGTTTGAGACGATCCTGGCCAACATAGCAAAACCCTGTCTCTACTAAAAATACAAAAATTAGCCAGGCATTGTGGCACACGAGTGTCATCCTATCTACTCAGGAGACTGAGGCAGGGCAATTGCTTAAACCCTGGAGTTTGAGGCTGCAATGAACTATGATTGCACCACTGCACTCTATCCTGGGCCACAGAGCAAGACCCTGCCTTAAAAAACAAAACAAACTAATAACAAAGACTATGCTGCCAGTACTGATGGGTGAAAGAGATTCATGCCCATCTCTCATGCCCATCCTCCAAGAGGTTTCCTTGGTATACCAAACTTCTCCTACCATCCCACCTGGGGCCCTTTACTATTTCCTGAGACCCCCATTCCTACCCTGTAGTTGTTCACTGCTTCCTACAGAGCTGAGACAAATTCCTCTTCTTCAGGCTTAGTCCTGGACTGTGTCTGTTCTTTGATGTTATCTTAAAAATTTGAAGTTCACAAAATATTTTTTTGCTTTGAAGAAAACATATATCCTGGTCAGGTGCAGTGGCTCAGGCATGTAATCCCAGCATTTTGGGAAGCTGAGGCAGGTGGATCACTTATGGTCAGGAATTTGAGACCAGCCTGGCCAACAAGGTGAAATCCCATATCTACTAAGAATACAAAATCAGCCAGGTGTCGTGGTATGTGCCTGTAATCCCAGGTACTTGGGAGGCTGAGGCAGGAAGTTCACTTGAACCTGGGATGTGGAGGTTGCAGTGCGTTGAGATCACACCACTGCACTCCAGGCTGGACAACAGACTGAGATTCCATCTAAAAAAAAAAAGAGAGAGAGAGAGAGACATTATATTTAGGGAAACAGGAAAAAATGAAAGAGTGTCTTCCTCCAAATTCAATCCTGTCCACCAATTCAAAGCAGAACTGCCCAATTCAGCTCATGAAACTGGACTGCATACATTAGTGGGGGATGTCGAATTGTTAGAAGGGTAGGAGCGTTTGCATAGTGAGACTCCAAGAGCAGTTCAGATGTGTTCCTGTTTTGTTTTGTTTTTTACTACCTACACCTCATGGCTAGCCTAGATAATGCGTTGTCAGTATTAGAGGGAGGAATGCCTGAAAATACTAGAAATTGATACTAGAATGGCTAGAACCACTAATGAGAATGGGTTACACTGAGTTGGGTGATGCCCAAAAATGCAACAAAGGAACATGTATGATTTGACCTCAGTAAGGAAAAGAAACATTTCTTTTTTTTTTTTTTTTTTTTTTGCTTTTTGAGAAAAGGTGTTGCTTTCTTACCCAGGCTGGAGTACAGTGCTGCAATCACTGGTCACTGCAGCCTCAATTTCCTGCTAGGACCACAGGCATGTGCACCACCAAGCTCAGTTAACTTTTTTTTTTTTTTTTCCACAGAGATGGTGTCTCCTCGTGTTGCCCAGACTGGTGGTTTTGAATTCCTGGACTCAAGCCATTCACACTCCTTAGCCTCCCAATGTGTTAGAATTACAGACATGAGCTACAGTATGTGACCAGAAGGAAAACATTTCTAAAATAGGAAAGACTTGCTCACATGGCACAGGCACTGTGGGGCATTTGAAGTAGGCAGAGTGAGGCCAGAGGGTTGTGTTTTTGAGGAAGCCTGGTTACTGAAAGAAACAACTACCAGAGCCCCCCAAACAAGCTTCCACTATACTTTACTCAGCATTTTTGCAAAGACCCCACTCTGTCAAGAAAGCTTCAGCCTGTTAATCACCAAATCATGCTTGAGCTAGAGGCTGAAGTGGAACATTGCAAAGCCCTGTTGTAATAAAACCAGGAATAAGATCATCAACCCTCATTGTCTGGTTCATAGACTTTCTTCTGGGATGAGATGCCCACATCTTACCATCTCAGTCATAGATTGCTTTTCCTGGATGGAGATGCTCACGACCCAACATTCGGTCATAGATTACTTTTCCCTGAAATCATAACAGCACCACCCACCAACACAGTCAGAGATTGTACTCTATTATTATTTATTGTAAGAACATCCCGGTCCTTTCCCCTTGATTTTAGATATATAGTTATGAATAAATAACCCAGTGGCCTTACAACATTGACATATTTCCAAGTAGAGAAATCTTCCAAAAATCTTCAAATAGGCATTGTCATTACTTAGAATAAGACAGAGCATTTATGTAGTTATTTGCTTTTTTGAGACCATGGGCAGCCTACATGTATAACTTGAAAATGAGGAATTGCAAAAAGGAAAATGTAAACCAAAATGTAATACATTCAGTACAGAAAGAGATAGCGATCATTGCCTTAAGTAAAGCGAGTGACTCATACAACAAATGCTGACTTGAATGGAGGTGTGAACATATCCAGATACATGCAGTGTGTCACACAAGCATCTAATGAAATGAAACAAAGCAAATAAAAGACCTAAGTCCAAGCTGCAATATATATTGTAGATGCATAACCATGGTTAGAGGAGAAAATACGCTACCCAGCTGAGAGAACCCTATAATTCCAAGAATTTGCACCTCTTTTTATAGAAATGAACTCCTTAATCCATTTGAGTCAGGAAACATTCAATTCACTTACATTTTATGACTCTGTAAACTCAAAAATTATCTCTCAATTCACTTATGTTTTATGGCTCTGTAAACTCAAAAATTCTCTCCCTAATTATAAATTAGCTTTGCATATATACTTCCAAATTGGAGAATATGATTGCCTTAGATTGATGCCTAGCAGTTAAAATGTTTACTGAATCAACATTATAAATGAACTTGAATAAACATATAGCTGACATTTTGGTTGTCATTCAGAATATTTTGCATGCAAACAAATGAATTCAGCATAAGGTAGTATTATGGAATTCAACAAACTAAAAACATAATTTTGACCTTATTTAGTACAGATAAATAGAATATATACAGTTAACATAAAATATATTCTCTGGATTAAAAACAACCTAATCTAACAGTAAAAACATAATTTTCTGGATTAAAAAAATTTAGTACGTTTTCTCTAAGATTTTGGATGAAGCTTATCCAGTGATAACTGATCCCATCTCACCACTTTTCCAGGTGTTTATAAGTCAGCTACCATAATGGCCAGTGGTCTTACCTTCAACTCCTTCATTCACTCACCAAGACAAAGGGGAGTAGAACCAAAAAGAGTCATTAGCAATGTCACCAGTTTGCATGCAGTGGCTCAACTCAAGCTGTTAAAGATGCATAGGAGAAGATCCTATATACAAAAGTGGAACTTTGTAAACTATATCTTCTCCAAGAGCCTGAAGGAATTATTGCATTGACATTCTGTGAAGAACGACAATTTGGTTAAAAACTAATTTTGATTTCAGCTCCATGAAAAACTGTTCCCTAAAACAAGGGGTCGATTGATTAAAATAACGAAAGAAAAGAAAATCAGAATAATAACAGAGTAATTGGCAGGCGTATACAATAGACTTTTTTTCTTTCTTTTATATATATATTTTTTTATTATACTTTAGGTTCAAGGGCACATGTGCACAACGTGCAGGTTTGTTACATAGGTATACATGTGCCATATTGGTGTGCTGCACCCATTAACTAGTCATTTACATTAGGTATATCTCCTAATGCTATCCCTTCCCCATTTCCCCATCCCACAACAGGCCCCATTGTGTGATGTTCCCCTTCCAGTGTTCAAGTGTTCTCATTTCTCAGTTCCCACCTATGAGTGAGAACATGTGGTGTTTCATTTTCTGTCCTTGAGATAGTTTGCTGAGAATGACGGTTTCCAGCTTCATCTATGTCCCTACAAAGGACAAGAACTCATCATTTTTTATGGCTGCATAGCATTCCATGGTGTATATGTGCCACATTTCCTTAATCCAGTCTATCATTGGTGGACATTTGGGTTGGTTCCAAGTCTTTGTTATTGTGAATAGCACCACAATAAACATACATGTGCATGTCTCTTTAAAGCAGCATGATTTATAATCCTTTAGGTATATACCCCATAATAGGATAGCTTGTTCAAATGGTATTTCTAGTTCTAGAGCCTTGAGGAATTGCCACACTGTCTTCCACAATGGCTGAACTAGCTTACAGTTCCACCAACAGTGTAAAAGTTTTCCTAATTCTCCACATCCTCTCCAGCACCTGTTGTTTCCTGACTTTTTAATGATCTTCATTCTAACTGGTGTGTGATGGTATCTCATTGTGGTTTTGACTTGCATTTCTCTGTTGGCCAGTGATGATGAGCATTTTTTCATGTGTCTTTGGCTGCATAAATGTCTTCTTTTGAGAAGTGTCTGTTCATATCCTTCGCCCACTTGTTGATGGAGTTCTTTGTCTTTTTTCTTGTAAATTTGTTTGAATTCTTTGTAGATTCTGGATATTAGCCCTTTGTCAGATGAGTAGACTGCAAAAATTTTCTCCCATTCTGTAGGTTGCCTGTTCACTCTGAGGGTAGTTTATTTTGCTGTGCAGAAGCTCTTTAGTTTAATTAGATCCCATTTGCTAATTTTGGAATTTGTTGCCATTGCTTTTGACGTTTTTATTCATGAAGTCCTTGTCCATGCCTATGTCCTGAATGGTATTGCCTAGGATTTCTTCTAGGGTTTTTATGGTTTTAGGTCTAAAATTTAAGTCTTTAATCCATCTTGAATTGATTATTGTATAAGGTGTAAGGAAGGGATCCAGTTTCAGCTTCCTACATATGGCTAGCCAGTTATCCCAGCACCATTTATTAAATAGGAAATCCTTTCCCCATTTATTGTTTTTGTCAGGTTTGTCAAAGATCAAATAGTTGTAGATGTGTGATATTATTTCTGAGGGCTCTGTACTGTTCCATTGGTCTGTATCTCTGTTTTGGTACCAGTACCATGCTGTTTTGGTTACTGTAGCCTTGTAGTACAGTTTGAAGTCAGGTAGCATGATGCCACCAGCTTTGTTCTTTTGGCTTAGGATTGTCTTGGCAATGTGGGCTCATTTTTGGTTCCATATGAACTTTAAAGTAGTTTTTTCCAATTCTGTGAAGAAAGCCTTGGTAGCTTGATGGGGATGGCATTGAATCTATAAATTACCTTGAGCAGTATGGCCATTTTCACAATATTGATTCTTCCTATCCATGAGCATGGAACGTTCTTCCATTTGTTTGTATCCTCTTTTATTTTGTTGAGCAGTGGTTTGTAGTTCTCCTTGAAAAGGCCCTTCACATCCCTTGTAACTTGGATTTCTAGGTATTTTATTCTCTTTGAAGCAATTGTGAATGGGAGTACATTCATGATTTGGCTCTCTGTTTGTCTGTTATTGGTGTATAAGAATGCTTGTGATTTTTGCACATTGATTTTGTATCCTGAGACTTTGCTGAAGTTGCTTATCAGCTTAAGGAGATTTTGGGCTGAGATGATGGGCTTCTCTAGATATACAATTCATGTCATCTGCAAACAGGGACAATTTGACTTCCTCTTTTCCTAATTGAATACCCTTTATTTCTTTCTCCTGCCTGATTGCCCTGGCCAGAACTTCCAACACTATGTTAAATAGGAATGATGAGAGAGGCATCATGGTTTTGTGCCAGTTTTCAAAGGGAATGCGTCCAGTTTTTGTCCATTCAGTATGATATTGGCTGTGGGTTTGTCATAAATAGCTCTTATTATTTTGAGATATGTCCCATCAATATCTAATTTACTGAGACTTTTTAGCATGAAGGGCTGTTGAATTTTTGTCAAAGGCCATTTCTGCATCTATTGAGATAATAATGTGGTTTTTGTCTTTGGTTCTGTTTATATGCTGGATTATCTTTATTGATTTGTGTATGTTGAACCAGCCTTGCATCCCCGGGATGAAGCCCACTTGATCATGGGGGATAAGCTTTATGATGTGCTGCTGGATTCGGTTTGCCAGTATTTTGTTGAGGATTTTCACATCAATGTTCGTCAGGGATATTGGTCTAAAATTCTCTTTTTGTTGTTGTGTCTCTCCCAGGCTTTGGTATCAGGATGATGCTGGCCTCACAAAATGAGTTAGGGAGGCTTGTCTCTTTCTCTATTGATTGGAATAGTTTCAGAAGGAATGGTACCAGCTCCTCCTTGTACCTCTGGTAGAATTTGGCTGTGAATCCATCTGGTCCTGGACTCTTTTTTGGTCGGTAAGCTATTAATAATCACCTCAATTTCAGAGCCTGTTATTGGTCTATTCAGAGATTCAACTTCTTCCTGGTTTAGACTTGGGAGGGTGCATGTGTCAAGGAATTTATCCATTTCTTCTAGGTTTTCTAGTTTATTTGCATAGAGGTGTTTATAGTATTCTCTGATGGTAGTTTGTATTTCTGTGGGATTGGTGGTGATATCCCCTTTATGATTTTTTATTGCATCTATTTGATTCTGCTCTCTTTTCTTCATTAGTCTTGCTAGTGGTCTATCAGCATGCTGTATTCAGGAAACCCATCTCATGTGCAAGGACACACATAGGCTCAAAATAAAGGGATGGAGGAAGATCTACCAAGAAAATGAAAAACGAAAAAAGGCAGGGGTTGCAATCCTAGTCTCTGATAAAACAAACTTTAAACCAACAAAGATTAAAAGAGACAAAGAAGGCCATTACCTAATGGTAAAGGAATCCATTCAACAAGAAGAGCTAACTATCCTAAATATATATGCACCTAATACAGGAGCACCCAGATTTATAAAGCAGGTCATTAGAGACTTAGGAAGAGACTTAGACTCCCACACAATAATAGTGGGAGACTTTAACACCCCACTGTGAACATTAGACAGATCTATGAGACAGAAAGTTAACAATGATAACCCGGAATTGAATTCAGTTCTGCATCAAGCAGACCTCAACAGAATATACATTTTTCTCAGCAGCACATCACACTTATTCCAAAATTGACAACATAGTTGGAAGTAATGCACTCCCCAGCAAATGTAAAAGACAGAAATTATAACAAACCATCTCTCAGACCACAGTGCAATCAAACTAGAACTCAGGATTGAGAAACTCGCTCAAAACCGCTCAACTACATGGAAACTGAACAACGTGTTCCTGAATGACTACTGGGTACATAACGATATAAAGGCATAAATAAAGATGTTCTTTGAAACCAACAAGAACAAAGACACAACATAAAAGAATTTCTGGGACACATTTAAGGCAGTGTGTAGAGGGAAATTTATAGCACTAAATGCCCACAAGAGGAAGTAGGAAAGATCTAAAATTAACACCCTAACATCACAATTAAAAGAACTAGAGAAGCAAGAGCAAACACATTCAAAAGCTAGCAGAAGGCAAGACATAACTAAGATCAGAGCAGAACTGAAAGAGATAGAGACACAAAAAAACCTTCAAAAAATCAATGAATCCGGGAGCTGGTTTTTTGAATAGTCTTTTTTCTTTCACGTCTTCCCTCAATGATTACTTTGCCATGGAACAATGATCTGCTGATTCAGGTAGCAAGATTGTTGTATTTCAGAGAAAAATTGTCGTATTTCAGGGGAAATACTGAGATCAGGCTACAGGGTAGTTGAGGTAAAAATAAAGTCGGAGGAGTCAAAAACAATACCAGAAATGTGGAATCTGTTAGAAGATTTCTCATTCCTTCTGTTCGTCACTGAGACCAGCACGATCTGATGTTAGACCAGTGACAGAGCCATCATGCTGACTTATTTCTTTCTTTTATTGCAAGGAAGTTTGGTTCTGGGAATGAGAAGCTTAAGTAACACGTGTAAAATTCCTAATCTTTCACAGGTCAGCCTTCACTGTTCATTAAGTACTTTAGGATCTTGTGCTTTGAGTCAGTGGCTGGGAAAGTTCACTTCACTTCCCAAAATGGATTTCATAATTCCATTAGCAGATCCCCTTGGCTGAACACAGTTACCACTGAAGTTCCTTTTCTCTTTCTCTCTCTCTCTCTCTCTCTCTTCAAATTCAGTCCTTTTCTCTCTGGATATTCTCATTTCATGAAGTCTGGATTTCTTTTAAAACCTTCTATGGCCAGGTGCGGTGGCTCACGCCTGTAATCCCAGCACTTTGGGAGGCTGAGGTGGGTGGATCACGATGTCAGGAGTTCAAGACAAGCCTGGCCAACTTGCTGAAACCCTGTCTCTACTAAAAATACAAAAAAATTAGCCAGGCATGGCAACGGGTGCCTGTAATCCCAGCTACCAGGGAGGCTGAGGCAAAGAGTTGCTTGAACCCAGGAGGCGGAGGTTGCAGTGAGCCGAGATCACGCCACTACACTCCAGCCTGGGTGACAGAGTGAGACTCTGTCTCAAAAACAAAAACAAAATAAAACCCTCTATTAAGGAGTTACATGGAATAGGTAATATTCTGTATAAAATGCACTTTATACTTATTCCTGACTTAAAGTGGCAACTCAGTCAGCTGACATTTTCCGAGAGTGAATCATTTTTTTATGCCTGAATGAAAATTCACCTTCCTGTGTCCATGTGTTCTCATTGTTCAATTACCACCTATGAGTGAGAATATGCGGTGTTTGGGTTTTTTTCCTTGCGATAGTTTACTGAGAATGATGATTTCCAACATCACACTCTGGGGACTGTTGTGGAGTCGGGGGAGGGGGGAGGGATAGCTTTGGGAGATATACCTAATGCTAGATGACGAGTTAGTGGGTGCAGCGCACCAGCATGTCACATGTATACATACGTAACTAACCTGCACGTTGTGCACATGTACCCTAAAACTTAAAGTATAATAATAAGAAGAAGAAGAAAATATGTAACAGTAAGCAATAATACAAATTAAAATATAATACAGTAAAAAAAAGAAAAAAAGAAAAAATAAACTTATTTTGCCATTCCGGAAAAAAAAAAAAAGAAAATTCACCTTGAAAGACCCACAGAAATCAACATCTCATTCTCAGAGATTTATTCAAAACAAAACATAAAGTTGGATTCTAAACAAAGAATTAAAAGGAAGAAAATCTCTCTATATTTTAGAACAAAATAGGGGAAAATTACAAGTGTTTTTCTTATACAGGACTCAGAGAATTTCATTAAGAACCGTCAAGATAACTCAGGTCCAACTTTTTGTTTTGAAGCTGAAAAAGCTGAAATCTAGAGATAAGGTGATCTGTTCAGAATCCTACAAAGAAGAAAATGTACAAGACTGAATGGTTTCTCATCAGAGCTTAATCTCTTTCCAACCTGCTTCGCTGTATGCAGGAGTCTTGTGCAACTGATACATTAAAAAAATAAGAGGCCAGGCACAGTGGCTCACATCTGTAATGTCAGAGCCTTGGGAGGCCATGGTGAAAGGATGGCTTGAGGCAAGGAGTTTGACCCCAGCCTATGCAACATAGTGAGACCCGCCCCCTCACCAATCTCTACAAAAAATTAAAAACTTAGCTGGGCATGGTGATGCACAGCTGTAGTCCCAGCTACTCAAGAGGCTGAGGCAGGAGGATCACTTGAGCCCAGGAGTTAAAAGCTGCAGTGAGCTATTATTTTACCGCTGAACTCCAGTCTCGGTGGCAGACTAAGATCCTGTCTAAAAAAAAAGAAAGAAAAGGGATTGAATAGTGCTTAATCAGTTAATCCCTAATCCGTAATGATATACAACTTTCAAGATTCTCGTATTTTAATTAACTTTCTCTATTTATCATACTTTTCAATCCCCCTTTTCTTTTTTTTTTTTTGAGAGAGAGTCTCACTCTGTCACCCAGGCTGGAGTGCAGTAGTAATATTTCAACTTACTGCAACCTCCACCTCTCAGGTTCAAGCATTTATCATGTATCAGCCACCACAGCAGCTGGAATGACAGGTGTGAACCACCACACCAGGCTAATTTTTGTATTTTTGGTAGAGACAGAATCTCATCATGTGTGCTAGGTTGGTCTTGAACTTCTGGCCTCAAGTGATCCACATTCTTCAGCCTCTCAAACTGCTAGGATTACAGGTGTGAGCCACAGTGCCCAGCTCAAATTTACTTTTACAGTATCTGCTTTTAAAATTGTGCACCAAAAATTCAGGCTGTTTCTATTTTCTTTGATATAGTAGATTCGTGTGTGTGTGTGTGTGCATGCACACATGTTCATTTGTGTGTGTGCTAGTTGGTTAGCCATTATTTTATCATCTTCTCCCTAAATTATGCATCCTAAATTCCAGCTCCCCTTTAAGCGAGGTGTGTCGGTTCTGTGCCTGTAGGTTGCATTCTACTTGCTTGTATGAATCTGCCTGTCACTCTCACAAATGACGCCACTTCTGCAAGATCAAACACATTTCTCATGACTGCACCACTGTCCATATTTCTTTCCTGGAAGCTTTATGTCATTGCCTTAGATTAGCTCATTTATTTCCTACTGACTTCACAACAACAATGTGCCCTTGCCATTTTTGCAATTAAAAAGATGTCTTCCTTTTTGAAGTCATCCCATTAAAACCTTTCCTGAAATCACAATGAATGTGTCCTGTTGTTCTTTCATATTTTCCAACAGAAGCAGGAATCTTCATCTTTGATCAAATATCTCATTCTCTTTTTCATGAATTTTCCCCAAATTTACATGTCCTTATCTATGGCCAAATCATGTAATTTTGAGAAATCAATTTTGGCTACTCTCACGTGATACTCAGTTAAAGGTCTTATAATTTCTGGGCAATTGTATCCACTATGTTTTTTAAATATTATTAGTTTAATTATATAATTATGCATTACTGAGGCAGGGTCTGAAATGCAGTAGTGCAGTCATAGCTCACTGCAGCCTTCACTTCCTGGGCTCAGGTGATTCCCCTACTTCAGCCTCCCAAGAACCTGGAAGCACCTGGAAGTGGACTGTGCCACTACGCCCAGCTAATTTTTGTATTTTTTGTAGAGATGAGATTTCGCAGTGTTGCTCAGACTGGTCTCAAACTCTTTGGCTTAAGCAATCCTCCCACCTCAGCCTCCCAATGTGCCAGAATTACTAGCATGAGATACTGTGCCCAGCCCAATATTATTATTTTTTATTGCTAAAAAATGGTAAAATTATAGATATAATTGAAGAATATTGTATGACATATAGTATCTGGGATCTCACAACCCAGAAAGTCAACCTTAACATTTTGGAAAATTCTTTTAAAAAATACTGGTTTGCGGCCGGGTGCAGTGGCACATTCCTCTAATCCCAACACTTTGGGAGATCAAAGTGGGAAAATCACCTGAACTCAGGAGTTTGAGAACACCTGGGCAACATGGCAAAACACT
Organism: Homo sapiens; assembly: GCF_000001405.40. NCBI lineage: Eukaryota > Metazoa > Chordata > Mammalia > Primates > Hominidae > Homo > Homo sapiens. The sequence goes on from NC_000024.10 coordinate 12,176,015, forward strand.
ATCTCTACCAAAAATACAAAAATTAGCTGGGCAATATGGTGTGTCACTGTAGTCCCAGGTACTTGGGAGGCTGAGGCAGGAGGATCATTTGAGCCTGGGAGTTTGAGAAAAACCTGGGCAAGATCCCCTCTCTACAAAAAAATACAAAAATTAATTGGGTGGTGATGTGTGTCTGTGGTCTCTGCTACGGGGGAGGCAGAGGCAGGAGGATTGCTTGAGCCTGGAAGGTGGAGGTTGCAGTGAGCTGAAATCACACCACTGCACTCCAGCCTGGGCAACAGGGTGAGATTCCATCTCAAAAAAAATACATATATATGCTATATATATATATATATATATTTATATGCAACATATATATGCAATATATATGCAACATATATATGTATACTGCTTTTGTAAAAGAGTGAATCAATCCTACTTTATTAAAGTCTACAAATGACTGCTTTAAAAAGAGGGGAATGATATTACATAACCCTATTTATCTCTTTTTTGAGATAGATTCTCACTCTGTCACCCAGGCTGGTGTGCAGTGGTGCAATCTTGGCTCACTGCAGCCTCCACCTCCTGGGTTCAAGCAATTCTCCCACCTCAGCCTCCCAAGTAGCTGGGATTACAGGTGTGGACCACCACACCTGGCTAATTTTTGTAATTTTAATAGATATGGGGTTTCACCATGTTGGCCAGGCTGGTCTTGAACTCCTGACCTCAGGTGAACCACCCGCCTTGGCCTCCCAAACTGTTGGGATTACAGACATGAGCCACTGCACCAAATCCCTATTTATCTTTTAAATGATCACTGTGGTTCCATCCTAGTGACACAAGAGGCTGAGCAAATGCACTCACACTTCCTCTTACCATTGACACATGGAATTTCAGGTTAAAAAACCCAATCACTAAAATAAATGAAACCTCAGCCCAGGCTCAGTGGTTCACACGTGTAATCCCAGCACTTTGGGAGACCAAGGCAGGTGGATCACCTGAGGTTGGCAGTTCAAGACCAGCCTGACCAACATGGTGAAACCCTGTCTCTACTAAAATACAAAAAATTAGCTAGGCATGGTGGTGCACACCTGTAATCCCAACTACTTGGGAAGCTGACACAGAAGAATCCCTTGAACTTGGGAGGCAGAGGTTGCAGTGAGCTGAGATGATGCCACTGTACTCTAGTCTGGTCGACAAAGCAAGACCCTGCCTCCACACACACACACACACACAAAAAGCCAGCCCGGTGGCTCAGCCTGTAATCCCAGCATTTTGGGAGGCCAAGGCAGGCAGATCACCTGAGGTCAGGAGTTCGAGACAAGCCTGACCAACATGGTGAAACCCCGTCTCTACTAAAATACAAAAAATTAGCCAGGTGTGGTGTTACTTGCCTGTAATCCCAGATACTCTGGAGGCTAAGGCAGGAGAATCACTTGAAACCTGGAGGTAGAACTTGCAGTGAGCCGAGATCATGCCAATGCACTCCAGCCTGGGCAACAGAGTGAGACTCTGTCTCAAAAAAAAAAAAATAGAAACCTCAAAGTCCTGGACCTGAAGACTGAAATAGCAGCCAGAGTAACAAATATGAACTAATTCCCCAGTAAGTGCTTAACATCTCAGAAGACACACAGTTCAGACAGACTAGAAATGAAACCTCACCAACAGACAGACAAAAAAGCCAGAGCCGGAAATTAGTTCCCTCAAGAAGCAACGTATGACTGCTTAAAGAGTTAACCTTGCCCACTGCCTAGAGAGAGCAGATTTATCTAGATAGGGGAATTGCAATAGAGAAACATTAATTCAGGCAGAGCCACCTATGAGGGAGACTGAAGTTTTATTATTTCTTCAATCAGTCTCCCTGAGCATTCCAGGATCAGAGTTTTTAAGGACAACTTGGTGGGTCGGGGAAGCCAGTGAGCCAGGATTTCTGATTGGTCAGGGATGAAACCATAGGGAATTAAAGCTGTCCTCTTGCTGAATCACTTCCTGGATGGGGGGGCCAATTTATTGATCTGAGTGGTGCCAGCTGATTCATCAAGTGCAGGGTCTGCAAAATATCTCAAGCACTGAACTTAGGAGCAGTTTAGGGAGGGCTAGAATCTTGTAGTCTCCAGGTGCATGACTCCTAACCCACAATTTCTAATCTTGTGGCTAATATTAGTCCTAAAAATGCAGTCTAGTCCCCAGGCAAGAAGAAGATCTGCTTTGGAAAGGGCTGTTATCATCTATATTTTAAACTATAAGCTAATTTTCTCCCATAGTTCAGCCTACACCTAGGAACAAAAAAGGACAGCTTAGAGGTGAGAAGCAAGATGGACTTGGTTAGGTTAGACCTCTTTGACTGTCTCAGTCACAATTTTTCAAAGGCGATTTCATCAGGACATCAGTGAAACAGTTCCTTTATTGCACTTGTACATACAAGGCAAGACCTAGAGAAAATCCTGGGAAGCTTAAAATTTCTTAAATAGAAATTAACCCTTTTCTTTGCTTAACTGGCCAAACACTACTCTATGCAGTGAGAATTTATGATATCCTCTTTCTCTGTCACCCCACAAGTAAAGTCCATTCTCAAAGCTGAGAAACAAAGTTTGTCAATTTGGAATTGCCTGTCATGGAAGTCAAAAGTAGAACTGCAGTCAAAATTTGGTAATTTTTGAAAAAAACTTTTTTTTTCCTCCCTGAAGTTTGGTTTGTTCCATGACAATCCTCTGGCTCTTGGTGTTGAAGAACGATCTTGTCTTTGTTTTCTTAAACTGCATAATTCTCCTACATATATTACAAGTGTCTGGTGCTTATCAATATACATTCTTAACAGATAACACACTCCCAATAGGGACATCATTTTTTTGGATTGCCTTCGTGTCTCTGACATTGCTTCCTTTAAGGTGAGTGATATGACTTGGATCTGTACCCCTGCCCAAATATCAGTTCAATTGTAATCCCCAATCCTGGAGATGCAGCCTGGAGCAAGGTGACTGGATCATGGGGGCAGTTTCTAATGGTTTTGCACTATCCTCCTAGTTCTGCTTTCATGATAGAGTTCTCAGGAAATCTGGATGTTTAAAGTGCATGGCAGCTCCTCTCTGTCTCTCTTGCTCCTGCTCTGTCCGTTTAAGACTCCTGCTTCCCCTTCACCTTCCGCCATCTTGTAAGTTTTCTGAGGTCTCCCCAGCCATGCTTCCTGTCTAGCCTGCAGAACTGTAAGCCAATTAAACCTCTCTTCTTCAAAAATTACCTAGTCTCAGGTATTTCTTTATAGCAGTGTGAAAACAGGCTAATAAAGTGAGCAACAAGAAACCTTCAATCCTTTGCGTTTTATTAGAAGAGATGGATTTCTTTTTTTATTATTAATTTTTTTTTTGAGATGGAGTCTGGCTCTGTCGTCCAGGCTGGTGTGCAGTGGTGCATTCTCGGCTCACTGCAAGCTCCACCTCCTGCGTTCGTGCCATTCTCCTGCCTCAGCCTCCAGAGTAGCTGGGACTACAGGCGCCCGCCACTATGCCCAGCTAATTTTTTGTATTTTTAGTAGAGACGGGTTTTCACCATGTTAGCCAGGATGGTCTTGATCTCCTGACCTCGTGATCTACCCACCTTGGCCTCTCAAAGTTCTGGGATTACAGGCATGAGCCACAGCACCTGGACAGATTTATTTCTTAGTTGATGCAGAGAAATTAATTGGGGGTTTAAAAAAAACATCGCGGCCCAGCATGGTGGCTCACGCCTGTAATCCCAACACTTTGGGATGCCGAGGTGGATGGATCACCTGAGGTCGGGAGTTCAAGACCAGCCTGGGCAACATGGCAAAATTCTATCTCTAACAAAATTACAAAAGTTAGCCGGGCTTGGTGGTGAGCATCTGTAATCCCAGCTACTCAGGAGGCTGAGGCAGGAGAATCATTGAACCTGAGAGGCGAGGGTGGCAGTGAGCTGAGATTGCACCACTGCACTCCCGCCTGGATGACAGAGTGAGACTCCATCTTAAAAAAATAAACAAACAAATAAAAACATAGTATCACACAGTCTGGAATTCTAAATCAATTCTGCATACATTCTCTGGATTACCTTATATCTGCAAAGGTGTTACAATAATATAGTAACATATATGCACTTGTCAAAACCCAGAGAGTGTACAACGGAAGTGGTAAACCTGATAGAAACTATGGACTTTAGTTGAAAAATAATGTATTGTGAAGGGAAAATATATCTCATGATACCAAAATTATTAATCCAAAGGGAAAAGTCAAACTGGGAACTGTGTCAGGCAAACCTGACTCCCATTCTATTCCTGAATAAGATAACTGCAAAGATGAAAAAGCTATATCCTTCCCTCACAATTTGTCCACAAGGAAATTCCTTGTGGACAAAGGGAAGAAGAAACTCAAAGTCATCACTTGGCTCCTGTAAGATAAGTGCATATCTGATGACTTCCTCTGTCCTGTTGTTTCACTAAACCAGACTGAGGCATAAGTGACTAATTCCTGTAAATTAAATTTTGCATTCAGTGAAAGGCTAATCAGAAACTCAAAAAAAGTAACCATTTTTTTCTCTTATCTACCTAAGATCTGCAACTCCCTTCCACCTTAGAGTTGCCCTTCCTTTCCAGTCTGAACCAATGCACTTCTTACATGTATTGATTGATGTCTCATATTTCTGTAAAATATATAAAACCAAGTTCTGACCTGACCACCTTGGCCAATCAGTGCTCTGTAAGATGCACCAATCAGCATGAGTTTAAAAGTAGCCAATCATGGGGAGGATTGAAAAAGGGCACTCTGATAGGACAGAAATGGAACGTGGGAGGGGCCAATAACGGACTCAAAGCTGATCAGGGGTGGAGCTAAGATGGCTGAATAGGGACAGCTCCAGTCACTCTACAGTCGCTCTACAGCTCTCAGCATGAGCGACACAGAAGACGGGTGATTTCTGCATTTCCAACTGAGGTACCGGGTTCATCTCACTGGGGAGCGTTGGAAAGCACGTGCCGGACAGTGGGTGCAGTGCACCGAGTGTGAGCCAAAGCAGGGCGAGGCATGGCCTCACCTGGGAAGTACAAGGGGTCAGGGAATTCCCTTTCCTAGTCAAAGAAAGGAGTGACAGACAGCAGCTGGAAAATCATGTCACTCCCACCCTAATACTGCACTCTTCCAATGGTCTTAGCAAATGGCACACCAGGAGATTATATCACATGCCTGGCTCAGAGGGTCCTATGCCCACGGAGCCTCACTCATTGCTAGCACTACAGTCTGAGATCAAACTGCAAGGCAGCAGCGAGGCTGGGGGTGGGGTGACCTTCATTGCTGAGGTTTGAGTAGGTAAACAAAGCAGCTGGGAAGCTCAAACTGGGTGGAGCCCACTGCAGCTCAAGAAGGCCTGCCTGCCTCTGTAGACTCCACCTCTGGGGGTGGGGCATTGCCAAACAAAAGGCAGCAGAATCCTCTGCAGACTTAAACGTCCCTATCTGACAGTGTTGAAGAGAGAGTAGTGGTTCTCCCAGCACACAGCTGGAGATCTGAGAATGGACAGACTGCCTCCTCAAGTGGTTCCCTGACCCCTGAGTAGCTTAACTGGGAGGCACCCCCGAGTAGAGGCAGACTGACAACTCACACAGGCAGGTACTTCTCTGAGAAAAAACTTCCAGAGGAACGATCAGGCAGCAACATTTTTTGTTTACCAATATCTGCTGTTCTGCAGCCTCCACTGTTGATACCCAGGAAAACAGGGTCTGGAGTGGACCTCCAACAAACTCCAACAGACCTGCAGCTGAGGCTCCTGACTGTTAGAAGGAAAACTAACAAACAGAAAGGACATCCACACTGAAATCCCATCTGTACGTCACCATCATCAAAGACCAAAGGTAGATAAAGCCACAAAGATGGGGAAAAAACAGAGCAGAAAAGCTGGAAACTCTAAAAATCCAAGTGCCTCTCCTCCTCCAAAGGAATGCACCTCCTCACCAGAAATTGAACAAAGCTGGATGGTGAATGACTTCAATGAATTGAGAGAAAAAGGGTTCAGACAATCAAACTACTCCAAGCTAAAGGACAAAGCTTGAACCCATGGCAAAGAAGGTAAAAACCTTGAGAAAAAATTAGACGAATGGCTAACTAGAATAACCGATGCAGAGAAGTCTTTAAAGGACCTGATGGAGCTGAAAACCAAGGTATGAGAACTAAGTGATGAATGCACAAGCCTCAGTAGCCAATTCGATCACCTGGAAGAAAGGGTATCAGGGATGGAAGATCAAAAAATGAAATGAAGTGAGAAGAGAAGATTAGAGAAAAAAGAATAAAAAGAAATGAACAAAGCCTCCAAGAAATATGGGATGATGGAAAAGACCAAATCTACATCTGATTGGTGTACCGGAAAGTGATGGGGAGAATGGAACCAAGTTGGAAAACACTGTGCAGGGTATTCTCCAGGAGAACTTCCCCAATCTAGTAAAGCAGGCCAACATTCAAATTCAGGAAATACAGAGAATGCCACAGAGATACTCCTCAAGAAGAGCAACTCGAAGACACATAATTGTCAGATTCACCAAAGTTGAAATGAAGGAAAAAAATGCTAAGGGCAGCCAGAGAGAAAGGTCGGGTTACCCTCAAAGGGAAGCCCATCAGACTAACAGCGGATCTCTTGGCAGAAACTCTACAAGCCAGAAGAGAGTGGGTGCCAATATTCAACATTCTTCAAGAGAAGAATTTTCACCCCAGAATTTCATATCCAGACAAACTAAGCTTCATAAGTGAAGGAGAAATAAAATACTTTACAGACAAGCAAATGCTGAGAGATTTTGTCACCACAAGGCCTGCCCTAAAACAGCTCCTGAAGGAAGCACTGACATGGAATGGAATAACCAGTACCAGCTGCTGCAAAAACATGCCAAATTATAAAGACCATAAATGCTAGGAAGAAACTACATCAATTAATGGGCAAAATAACGAGCTAACATCATAATGACAGGATCAAATTCACATATAACAATATTAACCTTAAATGTAAATGAGCTAAATGCTCCAATAAAAAAAGACACAGACTGGCAAATTGGATAAAGAGTCAAGACCCATCAGTGTGCTGTATTCAGGAAGCCCATTTCACGTGCAGAGACACACATAGGCTCAAAATAAAGGGATGGAGGAAGATCTACCAAGCAAATGGAAAACAAAAAATGGCAGGGGTTGCTATCCTAGTCTCTGATAAAACAGACTTTAAGCAAACAAAGATCAAAAAGAGACAAAGAAGGCCATTACATAATGGTAAAGGGATCAGTTCAACAAGAAGAGCTAACTATCCTAAATATATATGCAACCAACACAGGAGCAGTGAGATTCATAAAGCAAGTCCTTAGAGACCTAGGAAGAAACTTAGACTCCCACACAATAATAATGGGAGACTTTAACACCCCACTGTCAACATTAGACAGATCAATGAGACAGAAAGTTAACAAGGATATCCAGGAATGGAACTCAGCTCTGCACCAAGCAGACATAATAGAATCTACAGAACTCTCCACCCTAAGTCAACCAAATATACATTCTTCTCAGCACCACACTGCACTTATTCCAAAATTGACCACATAGTTGGAAGTAAAGCACTCCTCAGCAAATGTAAAAAACAGAAATTATAACAAACTGTCTCTCATACCACAGTGCAATCAAACTAGGACTCAGGACTGAGAAACTTACTCAAAACAGCTCATGTACATGGAAACTGAACTACCTGCTCCTGAATGACTACTGGGTACATAACAAAATGAAGGCAGAAATAAACATGTTATTTGAAACCAAAGAGAACAAAGACACAACATACCAGAATTTCTGAGACACATTCAAAGCAGTGTGTAGAGTGAAATTTATAGCACTAAATGCCCACAAGAGAAAGCAGGAAAAATCTAAAATTGACACTGTAACATCACAATTAAAAGAACTAGAGAAGCAAGAGCAAACATATTCCAAAACTAGCAGAAGGCAAGAAATAACTAAGATGAGAGCAGAACTGAAGGAAATAGAGACACAAAAAAAACCCTTCAAAAATCAATGAATCCAGGAGCTGGTTTTTTGAAAAGATCAACAAAATTCATAGACAACTAGCAAGACTAATAAAGAAGAAAACAGAGAAGAATCAAATAGACGCAATAAAAAATGATAAAGGGGATATCACCACCAATCCCACAGAAATACAAACTACCATCAGAGAATACTATAAACACCTCTATGCAAATAAACTAGAAAATCTAGAAGAAATGGATGAATTCCTTGACACATGCACCCTCCCAAGTCTAAATCAGGAAGAAGTTGAATCTCTGAATAGACCAATAACAGGATCTGAAATTGAGGCAATAATTAACAGCTTACCAACCAAGAAAAGTCCAGGACCAGATGGATTCACAGCCATATTCTACCAGAGGTACAAGGAGGAGCTGGTACCATTCCTTCTGAAACTATTCCAACCAATACAAAAAGAGGGAATTCTCCCTAACTCATTTTATGAGGCCAGCATCATCCTGATACCAAAGCCAGGCAGAGACACAACAATAAAAGAGAATTTTAGACCAATATCCCTGATGAACATCCATGCAAAAATCCTCAGTAAAATACTAGTAAACTGAATCCAGCAGCATATGAAAAAGCTTATCACCTATGATCAAGTAGGCTTCATCCCGGGGATGCAAGGCTGGTTCAACATATGGCAATCAATAAACATAATCCAGCATATAAACAGAACTGATGACAAAGAACATATGATAATCTCAATAGATGCAGGAAGGGCCTTAGATAAAATTCAGCAACACTTCAGGCTAAAAGCTCTCAATAAATTAGGTATTGATGGGACATATCTCAAAATAATAAGAGCTATCTATGACAAACCCGCAGCCAATATCATACTGAATGGGAAAAAACTGGAAGCATTCCCTTTGAAAACTGGCACAAGACAGGATGCCCTCTCTCACCACTCCTATTCAACACAGTGTTGACAGTTCTGGCCAGGGCAATCAGGCAGGAGAAGGAAATAAAGGGTATTCAGTTAGGAAAAGAGGAAGTCAAATTGTCCCTGTTTGCAGATGACATGATTGTATATCTAGAAAACCCCATCGTCTCAGCCCAATATCTCCTTAAGTTGATAAGCAACTTCAGCAAATCTCAGTATACAAAATCAATGTGCAAAAATCACAAGCATTCTTATACATCAATACAGACAAACAGAGAGCCAAATCATGAGTGAACTCCCATTCACAATTGCTTCAAAGAGAATAAAATACCTAGGAATCCAACTTACAAGGGACATGAAGGACATCTTCAAGGAGAACTACAAACCACTGCTCAACAAAATAAGAGAGGATACAAACAAATGGAAGAACATTCTATGCTCATGGGTAGGAAGAATCAATATCATGAAAATGGTCATACGGCCCAAGGTAATGTATAGATTCAATGTCATCCCCATCAAGCTACCACGACCTTCTTCATAGAATTGGAAAAACCTACTTTAAAGTTCATATGGAACCAAAAAAGAGCCTGCATTGCCAAGACAATCCTAAGCCAAAAGAACAAAGCTGGAGACATCACACTACCTGACTTCAAACTATACTATAAGGCCACAGTAACCAAAACAGCATGGTACTGGTACCAAAACAGAGATATAAACCAATGAAACAGAACAGAGCCCTCAGAAATAATGCTGCATATCTACAACCATCTGATCTTTGGCAAAACTGACAAAAACAAGAAATGGGGAAATGATTCCCTATTTAATAAATGGTGCTGGGAAAACTGACTAGCCTTATGTAGAAAGCTGAAACTGGATCCCTTCCTTACACCTTATACAAAAATCAATTCAAGATGGATTAAAGACTTAAACATTAGACCTAAAACAATAAAAACCCTAGAAGAAAACCTAGGCAATACCATTCAGGACATAGGTATGCACAAGGACTTCATGTCTAAAACACCAAAAGCAATGGCAACAAAAGCCAAAATTGACAAATGGGATCTAATTAAACTAAAGAGCTTCTGCACAGCAAAAGAAACTACCATCAGAGTGAACAGGCAACCTACAGAATGGGAGAAAATTTTTGCAATCTACTCATCTGACAAAGGACTAATATCCAGAATCTACAATGAACTCCAACAAATTTACAAGAAAAAAACAAACAACCCCATCAAAAAGTGGGCAAAGTATATGAACAGACACTTCTCAAAAGAAGACATTTATGCAGCCATAAAACACATGAAAAAGTGCTCATCATCACTGGCCATCAGAGAAATGCAAATCAAAACCACTATGAGATACCATCTCACACCAGTTAGAATGGCAATCATTAAAAAGTCAGGAAACAGGTGCTGGAGAGGATGTGGAGAAATAGGAACACTTTTACACTGTTGGTGGGACTGTAAACTAGTTCAACCATTGTGGAAGTCAGTGTGGCGATTCCTCAGGGATCTAGAACTAGAAATACCATTTGACCCAGCCATCCCATTACTGGGTATATACCCAAAGGACTATAAATCATGCTGCTATAAAGACACATGCACACGTATGTTCATTGTGGCACTATTCACAATAGCAAAGACTTGGATCCAACCCAAATGTCCAACAATGATAGACTGGATTAAGAAATTATGGCACATATACTCCATGGAATACTATGCAGCCATAAAAATTGATGAGTTCATGTCATTTGTAGGGACATGGATGGTGCTAGAAACCATCATTCTCAGCAAACTATCACAAGGACAAAAAACCAAACACCACATGTTCCCACTCATAGGTGGGAATTGAACAATGAGAACACATGGACACAGGAAAGGGAACATCACACACCAGGGCCTGTTGTGTGGTCATGGGGAGAGGGAAGGGATAGCATCTGGAGATACACCTAATGTTAAATGGAGTTACTGGGTGCAGCACACCAACATGGCACATGTATACATATGTAACTAACCTGCACATTGTGCACATGTACCATAAAACTTAAAGTAAAATTTAAAAAAAGAAAAGCCAACCACCACAGCCAACAGCAGCAACCTGCTGCGGTTTCCTTCCACACAGTGGAAGCTTTGTCCTTTCGCTCTTCACAACAAACATTGCTACTGCTCACCCTTTGGGTCTGTGCCATCTTTAAGAGCTGTAACACTCACTGCGAAGGTCCGTGGCTCTATTCTTGAAGTCAGAGAGACCACGAGCCCACCAGCAGGAACCAACTCCAGACACAATGCCACTGTACTCCAGCCTGGGTGATGGAGTGAGACTCCATCTCAAAAAAAAAAAAAAATTCTAAGCCTCCCCCCAACCGACTGTCTGAATCTGAATGGACCCCTCCTCTTGGACAAGTACTTTCCTAGTTAACCTGAAAAACTGGTTCAGGCTGGGCACGGTGGCTCACACCTGTAATCTCAGCACTTTGGGAAGCCAAGGTCGGTGGATCACCTGAGGTCAGGAGTTCAAGACCAGCCTGGACAATATGATGAAACCCTGTCCCTATTAAAAACATAAAAAATTAGCTGGGCTTGGTGTTGTATGCCTGTAATCCCAGCAACTTGGCAGTCTGAGCCAGGAGAATTGCTTGAGCCTGGAAGGCGGAGGTTGTAGTGAGCTGAGATCTTGACATTACACTCCAGCTTGGGTAACAAGAGAGAAACTCCATCTCAAAACAAAAAACAAAAAAACAAACAACAACAACAACAAATACTGGTTCAGGCCATGGCAGGAAGGGAAGGTTGGATAAGCTTCATTATACCCTTCTCCTTTTGGAATTCAGGGAAAACTGACTAGAATTAACATTGCCACAGTCTTTCAGTTTGATAAGTAACATTTATAATCTATTCTCTCTGAAACCTGCTACCTGGAGGCTTCATCCATGTGATAGTAATAAAACCTTGGTCTTCCCAACCTTTTATCGTCACAACCCAGGCATTCCTTTCTATTGATAATAACTCAACCAATTGCAAATCAGAAAATTTTTTACTCTACCTATGACCTGGAAGCTCCCCCAGCGTGGCGCTGTCCTGCCTTTCCAAATTGAACAAATGTACATCTGACATGTATTTGATTATTGTCTCGTGTCTCCCTAAAATATATAAAACTAGGCAGTGCTCCAACCACCTTAGATGCATGTCCTCAAGCTCTCCTGAGGGCTGTGTTATCAGAGGCATTTGGACCAGGGCAACTCCATCTTGAGTACGGGATGGGTAAAATAAGGTTGACACCTACTGGGCTGCATTCCCAGAAAGTTAAGTCATTCTAACTGACAAGAAGAGACAGAACATTGGCACAAGATACAGACCACAAAGGCCTTGCCTATAAAACAGCATACTGTAAAGAAGCTGGCCAAATCCCACCAAAACCAAGATGGCAATGAGTGACATCTGGTTGTCCTCAGTGCTCATTATACACTAATTATAATGCATTAGTGGCTAAAAGACACTCTCACCAGTGTCATGACAGCTTACATATACCATGGCAACATCAGGAAGTTACCCTATATGGTCCCAAAAGGGGAGGAATTCGGGTCTGGGAAATGCCCACCCCTTTCCCAGAAAACTCACCCCTTGTTTAGCATATAATCAAGAAGTCTTAATAACAATAAGTACAAGCAGTTGAGTAGCCCACATCGCTGCTCTGCCTACAGATTAGTCATTCTTTTATTCCTTTAGCTTCTTAATAAACTTGCTTTCACTTTATGAACTCACACTGAATTCTTTCTTGTATGAGGTCTAAGAACCCTCTCTTGGAGTCAGGATCGGGACCCCTATTCTGTAACAGCATCACAGGTCATTGGTCACTGATATTTGAATCAACATAAATTTCCTCAAATATTTCATAGAGTTTGACCTTTTTACATTGACAAGGGTATATAAGACCTCTATGTATTTTCTGGTTATTTTTCTGTAAGACTAAAAATGCCCTAAAAATAAAGTCTATTATCTTAGAGTGAGCCAAAACAAGAAAAATGAATGCCCTTTATTTGCATACTTATATTTTTACTAAAATATTTAACTTACAAATGAAGATACTGAATTACTTACTCCTCATCTCTAGTACCTGTAGATTCTCCGCAGTGGAACAGTTTAATGGTGTTCATGCCTCCCCATATGCAAATAATAGCCCTCTTTCCCCAGCCCTTGCACTGCAGTAGGATATCGTGGGTGACTAAACCCCATGGTTCTCTTCCTGCTCACCATGTGGGCTGCCTGGAAAGTCGACAGGCCGTCAGCATACAGAAAGAAGGCCAGAATTGTGAAGCAATCCAGCCCAAGGATTCAATACATTTAGGTGGCTTCATTTTCATCCTTAGGTGATGATCTACTTCAGTCAGGAACACTGCTTTCTAACTGAAGCTTATTGACACCGAGAGATGTTTAATTATTTTACTCCCTATGAAGTGATGTTGAGAGGTGAAACCAGCTGGACTTCCTGGGTCGAATGGGGACTTGCAGAATTTTTCTGTCTAGCTAGAGGATTGTAAACACACCAATCAGCACCCTGTGTCTAGCTAAAGGATTGTAAATGCACCAAACAGCGCTCTGTGTCTAGCTAAAGGATTGTAAATGCACTAGTCAGCACTATGTAAAAATGTACTAATCAGTGCTCTGTATAGCTAAAGGATTGTTAATGCACCAATCAGCACTCTGTAAAAATGCAGCAATCAGCACTCTGTCTCTAGCTAAAGGATTGAAAATGCACCAATCAGCACTCTGTAAAATCGACCAATCAGCACTCTGTAAAATGGACCAATCAGCAGGACCCCACTGGAAGGAAGAAACTCTGGACACATAGGAAAGAACAAACTCTGTACACACCATCTTTTGGAGCTGTAACACTCACTGTGAAGGTCCACAGCTTTATTCTTAACATCAGCAAGGCCAAGAACCCACTGGAAGGAACCAACTCTAGACACAATGTGATGTGTCTCCCCTTTGCCTTATGAATATTCCCTATTTATAAAGGCAGATCGATTAAAATTTTACATCCCAGTCCAGTCACCTTTCTTTCTTGATCTGTAAAACAAAAAGGAAACTATTCATTAAAAAAGAAAACAGAGGGTTTCAGTGTTTAAACAGAACCCTCTTTCTTCTAAGAGACTGTGACTAATCAGGAGGCTACATGAAAATGTAATCCATTGCCAGCTTGCAGACAAAACATTTGGCCACTCTGGGGCCACTTGCTCCCCTCTCTAAGCCTTCATCTTTTTACTGGCAAAATAAATTTGCAAATGAGGGTACTAGTAATCACCAAAAGTGATGATGAAGACCTTAACAAGCATCGAGTCATATTTGTAGTAGTATTTTTCATAAAAGGGATAGCGTCCTGATTAACGGGGTAAATTTTCATATTGGTAGTACTTATTTTATCAAAATGATGTTCCCCAGACAAAGCTTCTCTGTCTGCATCCAAATAATCACTTATGTATGCTTGCACTCACCTGTCCAACCTTTCTAGGGATCAGGAAGCCAAAAATTGAAGGGCATTCTATCCCTGTTTCTCCTTTACGCAGTCACTACTTCCTCCAATTGTAAGAAACATAGGTAGCAAAATGTTATCATTGAATGCCATCTCAGGAGGAAATGCTTCCTGAGTTAGCCAGAGTTCTCCAGATAAACTGCCAATAGAAACCAGGATATGTGCCTTCTGTTTGCCAGGGGAATGTCACAAAATCCCTGATGGAGTGACTTCAGCCCTGTGGAAGAAAGCCCTGAGGGTGATAAATGGGATAAATCAAGCACGTGTTCCCACACCTCTTACCTGGATCACTGCATTTTTAGAAAAGATTATTTCAATGCTCCTAGCCCCTGCCCCTTCCTGCACATAAGATAATGTCTGACAGGATTAATAACTATGCCTCTGTAATCTATAAACAGTTGTTCCCTGGCGCTCAAACCTTGATGAGAACTGGCTCTAATGCAACACCTGAGCACATCTGAGGTGACTTCTGAGAACATGTGTTGTGACTTCTATGACTTCTGAACACATTTGTTGTAACTTCTGAGCACCTGCATAACCTCTAGCACCTGTATATAAGCTGTGGGTTGAAACACTGTTTTGGAGCAGTCTAACAGAAACTCTCTGAAAGATTCGGGGATTGCAATCTTCAGTAAGATATTGAATAAAACTAATTATTTAAAAGCCTGGTTTTTCCTTTTTTAAGGAAAATTATTTATTTAAAAGCCGGATTATTCCTTTATTATTATTATTATTATCTGTCACCCAGGCTGGTGTGCAGTGGCTTGATCTTGGCTCACTGCAACCTCCACCTCCAGGGTTCAAGCAATTATCCTGCCTCAGCCTCCCAAGTACCTGGAACTACAGGCGCATGCCACCATGCCTGCCTAATTTTTTGTATTTTTAGTTGAGACAGGATTTCAACATATAAGCCAGGATGATCTCAATCTCTGACCTCGTGATCTGCCCGCCTTGGCCTCCCAAAGTGTTGGGAATACAGGTGTGTGCAAAGGTGCCCAGCCTATTTTTTAATTTTTACATAGAGGCAGGGTCTCACCATCTTGTCCAGGCTGATCTTGAACTCTTGGACTCAAGTAATCCTCCTGCCTTGGCTTCCCAAATTCCTGGAATTACAGGTATGAGCCTCCATGCCTAGCCCTGATTTTGCATTTAGTAGATAGATACATAGATGATTGATAGATAGGTACGTAGATGATAGACCCAGGGCATATATATTATCATATAGACTCCCTTTCCACATGGAGGACTGCATATATATTATTATATATATGATAGACTCCCCTTCCACCTGGAAGAATAGACCCAGGGCATATATTATCATATCTGTGGTAGACTCACCTTCCACCTGGAGAACTGGAGGCAGAGCATATATTATCTTATAAATGGTAGACTCTTTTTCCACCAGATGGACTGGACCTATTAAGTGTCCCTGGGATGTATTGGTTAATTTTATATGTCACCTTCACTGGGCTATGGTATCCATTGTTTACTCAAAACAGTCTTGGTGTTGCTGTGAAGTTGTTTTCTAAATGTGATTAACGTCTACAATCAATTAACTTTAAATAAAGGACACAACCCTCCATCAGGGAGATGGGCCTTATCCAACCAGTTAAAAGCCTTAAGAATAAAGATTGGGGTTTTTCAAAGAAGACCAAATTCTGCGTCAAGACTGCAGTATAGAAATTATGCCTGAGTTGCAGGCCCACAGCTCTGCAGAAACAGGACTAGAGGTTGTACATCAATCTTACCTGAATCTCCAGCCTACCAGCATGTCTTGAAGATTTTAGACTTTCCAGCTCCCACAATCGTGTGCCAATTCCATAAAATAAATCTCTACCTACTTCTATATCCTATTGTTTCTGTTTCTGTGGAGAATCCTGATTACCACTACAAAACAAAAATGACCAACTCATTATCTCAAATGCTATAGCACTGGCAGTGTCCAAGGAAGAGGTAAGCTGTGCAGGCAAGTCACTCAAAACATGGTCCAAGGAAGTGCCCAAAAAGGAGGACACATTCAGAATTTATGCAATTCTAGATGAGGAGCTGAGGGTCCATTTTTATATGAATCTATTTCACAACTTGAGAGTTTTCCAAGTCAGTGGGCTTTAGCATGGGAGGACATCCAATGGATTTGGAGGTTATGGGGACTTTCCTGACCAAATCCCCATGCAGTCAACACAACAATAGAAAACCTCGCTGTGTGGATTTAATGATGTCATTGTGGGCATGAGTCTACTGCTGTATAAAACAGTAGACTGTACATATGAGTCTACTGCTATATAAAAGAGTGATCAGACCCAACACCAGGCCACAGGGGTGACAAAGTCCAGTGGAGTCAAAGGAATGAGAAAAGACAAGTTAAGAGAGAAAGTGGGATGAGCGGACCAACGCTGGTATGGAGGATGCAAAGACCCTGAGCTCTGGAAGCCCATGTTATTTATTAGTGATCAAACAAAGAAACAGGTGGTGAGGATTTGGGGGTTGAAAGGAAGTGATGTATCAAGCAAATGAACTACAGTTGTGATGGTTTAGCATTTTCTTTGAAACACATGGCTACTTGAGATCATGAGAGTGCTAGAAGCAAGGATCCAGCAAGTCTGGACACATTCCAAAGGCCATGAGAGGTTTTACCCTGGACTCTGGACATGTTCCAAGCCCTGCCTCAGCTTCTCTCCCAACACTCAGCTTTTCTCCCAGCGGTATGTAAGGTAATATATGTCCTGGCTGCAGGAGGAAGGGAGTCCACCATGTATATAATAATATATGCCCTGGATCCACTCCTCCAGGTAGAAGGGGAGTCTACCATGTATTTAATAATATATGTCCTTGCTCCAGTCTTCAGTCTTCCAGTGGGGAGTCTACCATATATATGATAATATATGCCCTGGGTATATTAGGGTTCTCTAGAGGGACAGAGCTAAATACTTTATTAAGTATTACCTCACACTATCACAAAGTCCCAAAATAGGCTGTCTGCAGGCTGGGGAGCAAGGAAAGCCAGTCCAAGTTCCAAAATTGACTTGGATTCTGATATTTGAGGGCAGGAAGCATCCAGCACTGGAGAAAGATGTAGGCTGGGAGGCTAGGCCAGTCTCTCTTTTCACATTTTTCTCCCTGGTTATATTCTAGCTGAGCTGGCAGCTGATTAGATTGTGCCCACCTACTTTAAGGGGGCTCCTGCCTTTCCCAGCTCACTGACTCAAATGTTAAGCTCCTTTGGCAACATCCTTACAGACTCATCTAGGAACAATACTTTGTATCTTTTAATCCAATCAAGTTGACGCTCAGTATTAACCATCACACAGGTCCTCCAGGTGGAAGAAGGGTATGTCATATATATGATAATATATTCCCTGGGTCTATCCCTCCAGGTGGGAGAGGAGTCTACCATATATAAGGTAAATTGTGTCCTGGGTCTACTCCTCCAAGTGGAAGGGGAGTCTACCATATATATGATAATATATGCCCTGACTCCAGTCCTCCAGGTGAAAGAGGAGTCTACCATATATAATATATTCCCTGGTTTCAGTCCTCCAGATGGAAGAAATATATGATAATATATGCCCTGGGTCTATTCCTCTAGGTGGAAGAGGAGTCCATCCTATATAAGGTAAAATATGCTCTGTTCTATTCTTCCAGGTGGAAGGGAAATCTACCACATATATAAAAATATATGCCCTGGATCCGGTTTTTCAGGTGAAAGTGGTGTCTACCATATATAGTATATTCCCTGGTTCCAATCCCCAGTGTGGAAGGGGAGTTTAGCATATATATAACAATATATGCCATAGGTCCAGTCTTCCAGGTGAAAGAAGTCTATTTATGGTATTCCTCCCAGTGGAAGAGGAGTCTACCATATACAAAGTAAAATATGCCCTGGGTCTATTTCTCTAGGTGGAAGAGGAAGTCTACCATATATATGTATATAATACTATATGTCCTGGGTCTAGTCTTCCAGGTGGAAGTAGGGTCTACCATATATATAATATATGACCTTCTGTCAGTCCTCCAGGTAGAAGTAAGAATTACCATATGTATGGTAATATATGCTCCCCACTAGTCCTCCAGGTAGATGTGAAATCTACCACATAGATGATAATATAAGCCCCCGGCCAGTCTTCCACTTGGAATTGGAATTTACCATGTATATAGTAGTATATGTACTAGGTCCAACACTTCCAGTGAAAATAACGCCTACTGTGTATATGCTAGTATATGCCCTGGCTCCAGTCCTTCAGCTGAAAGTGGATTTTTTTTTTTTTTTTGAGACGGAGTCTCGTCAGGCTGGAGTGCAGTGGCTTGATCTCAGCTCACTGCAACCTCTTCCTCCTGGGTTCAAGAGATTCTCCGTAGCTGAGACTACAGGCATACACCACTACACCCAATTAATTTTTTGTATTTTCATTAAAGACAGGGTTTCACCATGTTAGCCAGGATGGTCTCAATCTCTTGAACTCGTGATGCACCAGCCTCAGCCTCCCAAGGTGCTGGGATTACAGGCATGAGCCACTGCACCCAGCCAAAAGTGGATGTTATCATATACATAATAGTATATGTCCTGGCTACACTCCTCCAGGTGGACATGAAATCTACCATATGTATGATAATACCTGTTCCCTTTCTGGGCCTCCAAGTGGAAGTGCAGCCTACCATATGTATGATAATATATGTCCTGGGGCCAGTGGTCCACGTGGATGTGGATTCTATCATATATATGATAGTTTATGCCATCATTTCAGTTTTCCTGGACATAGTCATCGTGTATACATGCAAAATGAAGATAGGTTTAGCAATTATCTCGTCAATTTGATTAGTTCAAATTGCCAAAGCAACGATTCAGCCCTGAAAGCACTCTTCCTGTTTTTTTAAGATATATCAACATTGAGAGTGTTAATACTTAAATAATGCCAGCACATCTTTACGAAGGAATCACATTTTGCATTTTTTTCTGTATAATGCACATTCCCCAAATCTCAGTCAAATTTTATTTTCTTAAATCATTGAAATCATTGATCTTCCTAATTCACTTTTTTTTTTTTTTGAAGACAGGGTCTTACTCTGTTGACCAGGCTTGAGTATAGAGGTAAGACCGTGGCTCATTTCAACTTCAATCTCCAGGGTTCAAGTGAATCTCACATCTAAGCGTCCCAAGTAGCTGGGATTACAGGCACATGAACTCATGGCCAGCTAATTTTATTTTTCTGTAGAGATGCGGTTTTGCCATGTTGCTCTCTCAAGCTCCTGAGCTCGAGTGAGCCTCTCACCTCAGCCTCCCAAAGTGCTGCGTTTACAGGTGAAAGACATGGCACCCAGCCCTAATTCACTTTTGAAAGACAGACATTTCCCCCTGGGGTTAAAATGTTAAGTGCATTTTTAGAGCTCCAAGTATTTTTGGCTTTGATGTAGACATTGTAGATTATTTAACAAATTACTTTTTTTTTCCATTTAGTCAAAAAACAATTCTGGGAAAACCGAACATGATCTCATTGTGTGTTGGAGTTTCCTGTTCTTCAAAAAGTTAAATTAGTCATGCTTTGCTTGGGCTCATAGTATCTGCCATTTTTTCTAATGCAGGCAAGAAGTGGATGAGTTTCTAATTCATCAGATCTGATAATATGAATAGCAAAACTTAGGCATCCCCTATGGTAGAGAAGACATGAAATCATCATCAATTTCACTAATCAAGACCACTTCTCCTTCCTTATTCATCTTCATGGCCATCAATGTTTCTTGCTCATAATCCTATAAATCAATGGTGTTGAGAAAATCTGTAAAAGTTGCTGAAAGAAGATATTAAAAAGTGTGTGTATAGTAGTCCATGGTTTTCTTCTCATTTAATTCCTTGTGAAGAAGATATAGTTACTGTGGAGATGAGTTACAAATGAGCCCAGCTTGTGTGTGGTGAGGACATAGATCTACTTTCAGGAGTCTACTTTATTTTTATTTTCTACCCTATTCTAAAATACCTCTTCTGTATTTTTTCCCCAGAAAAGAATATGACTGCCAAGCTCAAGGAGAAGTAAGTAAGCAAGCTATAAATCCTCCCTAATAGGCAGGAAATTAAAGAAAGAAAGATAAATAAAATTTAAAAGAAAGAGAAATTAGCTTTCCCTTATTAGGCTGACTTGTCTCAGAGGCAGCAACAGGCACAGCCCAGACCCAGGAAAAGTCTTGATAATACTCTCTAAGAAGCTAGGACACAAAGAAATGTGCTCTGGAGACTCTCCCAGCACTCCCTCAGCATACAGAGAAGAAAAACAAATTTTCCTTTGTTTTATGGTATGAGTTTATAGATTCTTGTTTCTGTAACTAGTTACTTCAAGTATTCTATTTTAGCTAAGTAATGGAATGAAGGTCATGAACCATCTGAGCAGGTCTGAGATAGAGCCACCTGGACACCATAGTGAAGGTCATGGAATAAGCTGTATTAGGCACTAGGGCAAACCTAGATAACAGCCATATGGGTTGCATAGCAATTGTCATATGTAATTCTGTGTTATGAACCTGTCACAATTTGCTTAATTATTCTGCCTCCATATCCTTGCTTTCATGCCACTGTAACTGTAAGCCTGCTTCAAGCTACCCCACCTGCTTTTTGAAGTGTGTATAAAAGTCAAGTGCTGTCTTTGTCCTGGGCCCAGGTTTTGGATGTTAAGTCTGCTCAGTCTGAGTGCACTCAATATCCTCCTGTATATACCCCAAGGCCTCTCTCATCCTCCTGTTTCTGCAACACAAGCCACTCTTTATTCAAATCTAACTATATTTTGAATTAATATTATGTTTGAGGGCTAATAATTCTTGATCACCAATTACACACACACATAGTCTTAAAATCAGCTATAACCCCATTGCCAATGCTCTAATATCACCTCACATATGTTCATTTGTATACTGTTTTTCTCCTTTTTCTAGGTCTGTTTTCTACCCAAATTGGTCATATAATTGGCATACGTTGGCAAGCTCCAGGCAAATTAATCAACTAAGTAAATTTATCTCCCTGTCTCCAACCTCTGCTTCTTCTAAATTCAATCACTTTATGCTTTAAAATTCACCCTTGCCTCTCCCCTGCTCGCAGTGCAGGTCTTTGTTCTGTCACTCAAAGTTCACAATGAGGTATTAAGGGCTTTGAGGCGTACAGAACAGAAAGCCTCCCCAAACACCCAGAGTTCCAAACCTGTAGAAGAATAAAAACACATGCAATTGTGACACATATTTTTCATCTAAAGGATTAAAATAATTTAAAGGAGTTCAGCATTTTAAAAATTAATTACTGCTTTGTCTTTTGGTGAAAACAAGGACTCATCTGTTTTGCAGAAAACTGAGGTCATGATTTCTTTTTACTTTTTTTTATTGAAACAGATGATTTGCATTAAAAATGATATTTGCTAAGGGAATTCCAGTCTTTAGAGAGAGTCCTCAAAATGAAGTTTCAGGAGGTGCCACTCCAATCTCAGCCAATTTGCAGAAAATAACCCTACACAGCAAGATAAAAATGCAGCTCACATTTCTCTCCTGCAAAAGACTAGGAGGCAAGAAGTCTTAACATCACCAGAGGGGAAGCTTCTCTCTCTAGCCACATCCTGGTAACTCCCCAGGAGCTTACTAGGGAACTTGGACATGCAGCCTCTTTCTGGAGCCAGAATGGCTAACATGGATTCAGATAACTTCCTGTATTCTCAGAGTCCATAAATTTTTCTGAACTGCCAAGAGTGCAAATCTTGGTTAACCCTGTACTTCCTCAAAAATGCATACTCTCTGGGAGAAGTTTTCTAGATAAGCCATGCACCCAATTACCTCATCACTTGCCTTTGATAGTCTATGTCCCTAGTCCCCTGACAATCCCCAAGACCATTTTTGTCTTTGCTGTCTGCCTCTGAGGCAATTCTTCAGAGGGTATTTCATTCCTCAGGTCACCTCCATAGTCTTGTTGCATGGTTTACAAACTCCCTACCTCCTACACATTGTAGGAGAGGAAAAGTAAGATCTTTTCCTCACCCATCACAAGGTTTATGGCTGAGACCCTGAGAGGAAAACACAGATCAGCTGAAGAAAAGACAGCATACATGTTTATTTAGCATAAATTTTGTGTGATACAGGAGCTTTTTGGATAAAAACCCAAAGACTCAGGGAAAACTATATATTGAAAGATAGTGTCTGGCTCTGTCTCCCAGGCTGGAGTGCAGTGGTGCAACGTTGGCTCACTGCAACCTCTTCCTCCAGGGATCAAATCATCCTTCCACCTCAGCCTCCTGAGTAGTGGAGACTACAGGCATGCATCACCTCACCCAGATATATATATATATATGTATATATATATGTGTATATATGCATGTGTATATATGTATATATATGTGTGTATACATATGTATATATACACATATATATACATATATGTGTGTGTGTGTATATATGTATATATATACATATATATGTGTGTGTGTGTATATATATGTGTGTGTATATATATATAGTAGAGACAGGGTTTTACCACATTGCCCAGGCTGGTCTCAAACTGCTGAACTCACGCAATCCACCCTGCCTCAGCCTCCCAAAGTGTTGGTATTACACATGTGAGCCACCATGACCAGCCAGAAAACTATATTTATTTTTGTGTGTGGTCATGCGGAAGTGTGATTGAGGGACAATAGGGCGTGATCTAATGGGAATAAACTGGGGTGGGGGGAACCTAGGAAGGGCTGCATGTTAAGATTCTTCTCTGTGTCTGTGTCTTCAGAAATAAAGATGTTCTTTCTCTCTGGAGATAGAGAAGGCACTTCTTGAATCAAGGTCCTAGGACCTGCTTCAGGGAAAGGTTAGAGAACTCTTCCCCGGTTTCTTGACTTGCTTCAGGGAGCAGAGTGATCAGAGGAGGCTTCCTGATACCTGTGCACCTGCTGAACCCTTGCCAATGAGTGGGAGGTAGAAAGGCTACCATGAGCAAGAGAGGAAGGGAGTAGGGGTTCCCAGCAGGAAGGTGGGGTTCAGGACCAGCCTGGGCAACATGTTTCAGGGGAGAAGGCTGAAGGAAAGTTGAGAGTAGCTTTTCTCCTTCTGCTGTTTATTTTTTTTCAAATGCCAAAATGTTGTAATTTGGGGTAGTGTTCGCTGAACCCCATCAGAGTTTCCCCTTCCATATGCATAATTTGTTGGACACACTGGCCTCCCAGTTCCATAATTAACCTCCCCAGCCATCCCGATTCCATAAGTCACTTCCAGAACCACTATTTGTCTGTCATCACTCAAGACGCACAACACAAGTGGCTCCTCCTGCAATTCCAGCTCTCGGTGATCCCTACGGGCCCTGCCATCTGAACTCTTGGAAATGCCAGTCCTTGATTCTCCCACTTCCTCTCTGTGAATACACCCTCTTCAACTTTGACATAACTATTTTCTAAGTTGGAAAATTGTGTTTCTTGTTCAACAAGTCTATCTGACCATATGTGGAATTTACATCACCTCTGCACCTCTATTAATTATTTGCTTTATTATATCTTTTTTTTTTTTGAGTCAGAATCTCACTCTGTTGCCCAGGCTCAAGGGAGGTGGTGTGATCTTAGCTCACTGCAACCTTGAACTTCTGGGTTCAAGCCATCCTTTCACCTCAGCTAAAAATAATTCTCAAACCAAAGTGATGTATTTGGAGATTACACACTCTGATGCCTTTCAGAGTATTTAGGCAGATATAACACACAGACAAATACACATACTTTATACAATTTTATAGAAAACAAATTTATGCATTTATACTTGCCATTGTATTCACTGATGCAGACACATCTGTGAGACTTAAATAAGTAACCCAGAAAAGAAGTCAGAAAATTTTGTAACAAGAGCCAAATCTGACCCACAACTGTTTGTGTAAATAAAGTTTTATTTAAGCACAGCCACACCTATACATTTATATATTGTGCATGACTGCTTTTGCAGTACAACGATGGAGTTGTGTAGTTGCAATAGAGACTGAACGGCCTACCAAGCCAAAATCATTTACTATTTGGCCCTTTGCTGAAAAAATTTGCCAATCTCTGAACTAGAATATTAAATGAAAGAAATATCTGAAACTCAGAGCAACAATACAGAAATAAAAACCATGGAGGAAAAGACAAGAAACTTGAATTACATGTTTGGGAGAACAGTGATGTGATATTCGCACATCACAACATGTGAAAAAAAAAATGGAACAGATGAAGGAGAAAGAATGACAAAACAAGTAATAGAATAAAAATTCCCTGGGGTCAAACACTTAGATAACTGTTGTTCCTAGCATATGTTCTCAAATCCTTACCATTGAGAGAAGTAATATACAAATGGATGGTGACTAGACCATATATAAAGAGAGAGATCTAATCTGTAAGCTGCAGTAACTCACCCAGGAAGCTAACAGCAAGCCCTGTAGCAACCAGCTGAAAATGTCCAGAACCTGAGCAATAACTATGAGCTTCCCTAATTTTTCCCCTATTTCCAACTTAGGACAAAGCAGAGAAACCCAAATGTGCCCCCTAACCAGTCACACAGGATGTCTCACTTCTGGTGAACCCCCAACTGCCTCCAGTCAGAACACACCTTAGTTTTCCCTTTTCCCCCACTATAAAGCTTCCCCATGGCTGTGTCAGCCTTTGAATCTCTGCCAGATGTGAGTGATGATGGCTGATTCCTTTGCTACACCAAGCTCGGAATAAACACCTTGCTTCTTTTCACGTAGGTGGCATTCATTTATTTCCACACCTTCATCTCTAAATTCATCATTACCTGACCACTGTTGCCTGCCTCTTCAATACCTGCTACACTCCAGCAAATGCTAACCAACTTTAGTTCCTCAATATCTGCTACTTTTTCCTATGAGCCAAGGCACTGGGGCCTCTTCCTGCTAGAAACCTCAAGCAGGAACCCCATCTTCCTGCTAGGAACCCCTATTCCCTTCTTCTTTTGCTCAAGGTAGCCTTTCCGTTTGTCACTCATTGGCAAGGGCTCAGAAAGTGCACAGGCATCAGGAAGCCTCCTCTGATCACCATTCATTCCCACCTTAAGATTACATCTAAGTCATCTATCCCCATGCAACTTGTACCAGGGGTAGCCAATGCCCACTAACTTCTCAGCCCTTTCGTCCACCATGTAGCTTATGAAAGTTGATGAATCCATCCTGCTCTTCACTGAACTGACAATGACAAGCACAGTACCAAGAATATTGTGTATCTTGGCTTGTCAGATGCACTTACAGATGAATTACTGTACAAGTGTGCAAGGTTCCTTTTTGGTTACCAAAGTGATGATTCTGCCATGAATCTGCCTAACATGGAGTTTCACAAAGGGCTTTGCACAAACAAGAGAGGCTACCTATGATCTGCACACTTTCTGTTTACCCCTGTAAAGAGAGGAGCTTTGCTTATGTCAGTTGGATCTTTGCTTCTGGGTTGAAAATCTTTGATTTATGGGTTAGGATGATGTAGTCATCTTTGTCCATTTGTTTGTGTCTATTAAGGACAGAAGAGCAAGTTCACTTTGCTAGAAGCCAAAGTCTTTTTTTCTTGTCTTAGTCCATTGAGTCTGCTATAACAAAACACCTAAGACTGAATGGCTTAACACATTGATTATGCACAGCTCTGGAGGCTGGAGACCCATGATCAAGGCATGGCAGATTCTATGTCTGGTAAGGACTCATTTCCTAGTCCACAGATCACCTTCTCACTGTGTCCTCCCATGGTGGAAGAGGTGAGGGAACCCTCTGGGGTCTGTTTTATAAGGGCAATCATCGCATTCATTAGGCTCCATCTGCATGACCACATCACCTCCCAAAGGCCCCAGGTCATAACACCATCACCTTGAAGGGAGGATTTCAACACATGCATTGTGTGAAGACACAGATATTTAGTCTGTAACACACACCTTGTGGAAGATTTTTTTTTTCCTTTTGCATCTCAAAGAGGAATTGAATAGCTATCTACTGTAAACGGATACACAAAGCATACAAACACACACAGAGTTATTTCATCATTTAAAAAATGGTCTCATAGCAGATACATGTCTGTTTGCCTGAAAACTATATGTACACTGCTTGTTCTTAATGCTTTTTATAAAATGGCAACAGACAGGACAGAAGTGATAGACACTATTCCCCAGTATTCCAATTATGTTTCTCTGTTTTCTTTTGTAACTATGTTTTAGATAAATGTGTTAAAATGCTTATTATTAAAAAAAAGCTATGTGCACTGGTGCATCCCTCTAAGTAAGTAAATAAATAAATAAAATAAAATGCAGACTGTATGAAAGGGTAAGAACAAAGATAAGCCTTCACATCTCTTTATATTCCTTCTCACTGACTTCTGACAACTTATTAACTTCCCCTTCTTGAGCAACAAGTGTTGAGTCCTATATAGCAGACTTCCCAATGAATGAGGATGTCTAATACATTGTAAATGGCTCCCCAGGTAAAACCACATTTTAAAAAACCCTGAAGGTAAAACAAAATTATTATTCAACAAAACATAAATGTGAATAAGATAAAAATAATGATTTGTTTTTCCAAGTGTCGCATCCACTGAGATCCTACCTTCTGGGTGGTTAGGATAGCAAGGGGCTCCATAAGCAGTCTCTATAAAATGTGTAAATTCATAGCATTCTTCAGTTTTTTTCCCACAGTGAACCAGTGTTCAACTCACAGCCTTAAAATAAGACCTATAATGAGGAAATTAGAAAAAAAAGCAAATAAATTTCTTTGATTCACACAGAGGGTAACTGCAGGATTTTTTTCCCCCTTTTTTCTCTGAGACCTCCCGTGCCCAAGGCCTTGCACTGGGATATCCTGTATGGGAGACATGGAGTTAAAATAGATTATTTTGGAGCTTTAAGACTTAATAACTGCCCTGCTAAGTTTCAGACTTGCATGGGGCCTGTAGCAGCTTTCTTTCAGCAGATTTCTTCCTCTAGAAATGGGAGTATTTATTCACTGCCTATACTCCAATGGTATCTTGGAAGAAACTAACTTGTTTTTGATTTTACCAACTCACAGGCAGAAGGAATTTACCTTCTTTCATATGAGACTATGGACTGTGGACTTTCGAGTTAATGCTAGAATGAGTTAAGATGGGTCTAGGAGCGATGGCTCACACCTGTAGTCCCAGCACTTTGTGAGGCTGAGGCAGGTGGCTCATGAGGTCAGCCACAACCTCCTGGACTCAACACAATCCTGGCTAACACAGTGAAACCTCGTCTCTACTATAAATACAAAAAATTAGATGGGTGTGGTGATGGGCGCCTGTAGTCCCAGCTACTCGGGAGGCTGAGGCAGGAGGATGGTGTCAACCTGGGAGGCAGAGCTTGCAGTGAGCCAAGATCACACCACTGCACTCCAGCCTGGGTGACATAGCGAGACTCCATCTCAAAAATAAAATAAAATAAAATAAAATAAAAAGAAAAAAACTAACCATGTTAAGGTGAACAATTCAGTGACATTTCGCACATTCACAATGATATGCAACCATTACCTCTACGTAGTTCCAGAACATTTTCATCACCACAAAAGAAACCCCGTACCCATTAAGGAGATATTTCCATTCCTTCCTCCCCCAGCCCCTGGCAACCACTAATCTGAGTTTTATCTCTATGGATTTGCCAGTTTTGTATGTTTAATATAAATAGAGCCATACCATATGTGACCTTTTGTGTCTGGTATCTTTCACTAGGCCTCATGACTTCAAGATGTATCCATATTGTAGTAGTATGTAGCAGAGATTCATTCTTTTTTTTTTTTTTTTTTTTTTTTTTGAGACAAGAGTCTTGCTCTGTCACCCAGGCTGGAGTGCAGTGGCGCGATCTCAACTCACGCAACCTCCGCCTCCTGGGTTTAAGTGATTCACCTGCCTCAGCCTTCCCAGTAGCTGGGACTACAGGCACACGCTACCACACCCAGCTAATTTTTGTGCTTTTAGTAGAGACGGGGTTTCACCATTTTGGCCAGGATGCTTTCAATCTGTTGACTTCATGATCCACCCACCTCAGCCTCCCAAAGTGCTGGGATAACAGGCATAAGCCACCACACAGGCCGATTCATTCATTTTTATGGCTGAATGGTATTCTACTTTCCGGATGGCCCACATTCTGTTTATCCATGGAACCACTGATGAAATTTGGGGTAGTTTCCACTTTTTGTGTTGTGGGCACAGAACTGCTTTCAATATGTGCACACAAAGTTTTTGCTTCAGTACTTGTTTTCAGTTCTACTTGATATATCCCTAGGAAATGGAGTGATTAGGCCATATGGTTAAAAATGATTTTAAAGACCAATTTTATCCAGGCATGGCAGCTCATAGTTTTAATCCCAGGACTTTGGGAGGCTAACGTGGGCGGATTGCTTGAGCTCAGGAATTTGAGACCAGCCTGGCCAACATAGGAAAACTCTGTCTCTACAAAAAATGCAAATGTTAGCCAGATATGGTGACACATGCCTGTGGTCCCAGCTACTCAGGAGGTTGAGGTGGGAGCACTGCTTGAGTCCAGGAGGTTGAGGCTGCAGTAAGCCATGACCACATCATTGCACCCCAGCCTGGATGACAGAGTGAGACCCTGTCTCCAAAAAGAAAATACTCTTCTAAGGTTTCTTGACTTGCTGACATCATCCTCAAACTGAATACTTCACACATTGTGATAGTAAATACTGTTGCTCATACCAATGAGGTAACATTAAATGAGGATGTTGATAATCCTTTGAAAGGGAGAGAAACACAACCATATTTGCAAAGGTAGACTCTCCAGTTCATTGACTCTTTTGCTTAATCCTTCTTCACTAGTTCTGCTTCCTACATTTTGTTACCCACCCAACTTAAATTCCATGGTTCAACACCTGAAGAATTCTCCAAAATGTTTAATTATTTGCCCCATTGTCTATGTAAACATTTACCTGGAAATCTGCCATCTTTGAGTGAGCCCAAATGCCAGAGATCCCCTTCTTACCCAGGGGCTCATCTTTACTAGAAATGTGGGTGCCATGGCACAGTTGAGTCCTTCATTCCAACCAGGTCTCCAAACTGCCTTGTCATCCTAGTTTTTGCCATTGACAAAATCAACATCTAACTATATGCTATCGTCTAACATTAGACCTTTCCAGTGCCAATCCCACCAACTTCTCATCTACCCAACACACAAACACGCTCTTAATAGATAATTATAGGAAGGGGAGAAATAAAACCTTTGTTATCTTTAATTTAGTTACTGGGAACTTCAAATTAAACTGACAGAAGACAAGTTTACAGAAGAAATGGTTTATTTTGTATGTACACATGGGGAGACACATGGAAAAGAAGTGAGGACCCTGAAGAGGTGCTTGGACCTAGGGGATTATATACCACCTTAACACAGGGTGATAAAGTTTAGAGAAGGAACTAGACAAAGGCAAATGGAATTTAAGCATCTAGGATGGGGGTAAGTTTGTAGAAGGTGGCTAGAAAATGCCTGGTAAGTATAGATTATTATATAGACTCAAGTCATCTCAGGTGATAATCCCTATCTCTGGAATCATCCATGAGAGGACACCTTTATAAATGAAATTTTTCTTTACAAATGAATTTTCTTTTCAAAGGGAAAACATATGCCCTGCATTTTAACAGAAAGGGGGAGGGTAGAGAGCTTGTTCTGTGCCTGCTCTTATTCAGTAGCCTTTAGCTCAAAGTAATGCTTGCACCGAAATGTCATATTTTTGGGTGGCATATTTTGATCCCCTTCATAATCTTACCACATACTTCCTGGAAATGGAAAAGCTACCCATAGGGAATTCACTCCATTTCTCAGCCTCAGCCCT
This sequence comes from Homo sapiens, assembly GCF_000001405.40. Classification (NCBI taxonomy): domain Eukaryota; kingdom Metazoa; phylum Chordata; class Mammalia; order Primates; family Hominidae; genus Homo; species Homo sapiens. The sequence goes on from NC_000024.10 coordinate 12,206,244, forward strand.
TCCAATATTTTTGAGTCTCTTTCCCTCCTCTGGTCACAGAAGATTACAGAAGGTATGTCCTTGCACTTTTGCACGTTGTAGTGAGCTAAGTAGTATTCTCCACTGATAATTCATAATTCATGGCCATCTGGAACTTCACAATGTGTCCTTATCTGGAAGTAGAATCTTTGCAGGTTAAGTAGGCCCTAAATTTAGTGACTGGCACCCTTATAAGAAGAGGAGAGGAGGACTGGGTGTGGTGGCTCATGGTTGTAATCCAAGCACTTTGGGAGGCTGAAGCAGCTGGATAGCTTGAGACCAGGAGTTTGAGACCAGCCTGGGCAACATGGTGAAACATCATCTGTACAAAAAAAGAGAAAAGTTGGCCAGTCTCATAACCCATTTTTGAAAAAAATAAATAAACAGGAGAGGAGAGGACACAGAGAGATATAAAGAAAAAGACCATGTGAAGATGGAGATGGAGATCGGAATGATGCATCTGCAAGTCAAAGAACATCAAGAATGGCTGGCAACCACCAGAAGCAGGAAGTGTCTTGGAGAGAGTGTTTCCTAGAGCATCTAGAAGGAACCCATTCTGCTGACACCTGGATTTCAGATGCTTCTGGCCTCCAGAAGGCTGAGAGAATAAATCTCCGTTAGTTTGAGCCATGCAGTGTGTGGTAATTTGTGATGGCAGCCCTCCAGGAAACCAATGCACACGCCTTGCTGGGGTGATTTCATTCACATGCACCTTCTCCATCCTGGGTCCTACTGTCTCTTTGGGTAGACCATGTTTTATTAATTATCCCATTTCCTGCAGCTGGGACTGCTTACTGTCCGTGTAGCCTTCCCTAAGCAAAGCCATAAACTGGTGTTTTTCATCATAGAAACAGAACAAACAATGACAACAACAAACTTTTTTTTATCCCAAGTAAAAGAGAGAATTGCATTTCTACTGATTGAAAGTAAAACATAATGGGCTAGTGCAAAGTAGATGTAGAAGCTTTTTTTTATTTGTATAAATTTAAGGGATACAAGTGCAGTTACACGGATATAGTGCATAGTGGTGAAGTCTGGGCTTTTAGTGTATCTATCACTTGAATAGTGTACATTGTAGCCATTAAATAATTTCTCATCCCTCAACCCCCACCATCCTGCCCTTCTGAATCTCCAGTGTCTATTATTCCACATTGGATGTCCATGTGAACACATTCTTTATCTCCCACTTATAAGTGAGAGAATGCAGAATTTGACTTTCTGTTTCTGAGTTGTTTTACTTGAGATAATTGCCTCCAGTTCTAGCCATGTTGCTGCTAAATACATGATTTTATTTTCTATGGCTCTGTAGTATTCCACTGTGTATATATATCACATTTTATTTATCCAAACATCCCATCATCCATCAGTGGACACTGAGGTTGATTTCACATCTTTGCTATTGTGAATGGTGCTGTGATAAGCACACATGTGCAGGGATATTTTTGATATAATGATTTCTTTTCCTTTGGGCAATCACCCAGTAGTGAGGTTGCTGGATCATGTGATAATAGAGCTTTATGTACTATTTTGGTTCCCTGTTCCAAGGTGAAACATTGATACCTGTAAGACAGCCATAAAAACACAATAGTTCACAAAGGTAAAAATATGTGAAAAGAATTCCCTTCTCCCCTTCTAGATATGCTCAAATGGGAGGTAAAGGAAATCCGTTTTGCCTTATCAGTTTTTATTTTATTTTATTTTCCTTTTGAGACAGAGTTTCACTCTCGTTGCCCAAGCTGGCGTGCAATGGCACAATCTTGGCTCACCCCAACCTCTGCTTCCCAGGTTTAAGAGATTCTCCTGCTTCAGCCTCCTGAGTAGTTGGGATTACAGGAAGCCTGCCACCATGTCCAGGTAATTTTTTTGTATTTTTAGTAGAGACAGGTTTTCACCATGTTGGCCAGGCTGGTCTCGAACTCCTGACCTCAAGAAATTCACCCACCTCGACATCCCAAAGTTCTGGGATTACAGGCATGAGCCACTGCACCCAAGCAGTTTTTAATTCTTGGATGATAACCTCTGAAATTTTACACAAGATATCTGTATTTATTTGCCAACCTATTTTAGGCTGGATGTTTTGAGTTCCAAATCTGAAATATAAGAAGTTTATTTCCCATTCATCTCCCTCTTCAACTGTCTTCTCCAAATAGTTGTTAATTTTATATCTTGTTTTAAATTCTTCTAGTCATATCTACTGATTTTGGAAAAGATACTTAAGTTTATTTTTCATGTTCCACAAGTCTTATACTGTTTTCAGCAAAACACCACTGAGTAGAATGGAAAATTTAAATAAATTTCAATCAAAGTCTTCAGATGCCAATAATAATTTCATCAGCATAGTATCTCACCTAGCCAACAAATGTTTCATATTATATATTTTTTCTTTATTGGGTTTCTTTTTAATTTTATTTTGTGCAGCGAAAAACATAATCTTAGCATTTTAATGTCAAATGTCTTCAATTAGACTTCAAAGCTGGTTCCATTCAATCAAACCTGCTAATCACACCAAACATCTGTCCCCTTCCTGATTTATTCAGTCTCTAACCCCACAAAACACTCACAGAAACTTCACTCTTCCCAGAAAAAAATGATTTCCTTATTCTTTTCTGAAAAATAAAAAATAAAATAGAAAGCTACACACTAACACCACAGGTTTTGATGAAAACTTTGATTATTCAGCTTTTATTTTATACCCTTCTACATGCACTTTGGAAGATTGAAAGGAAAAAAATGAATCAAACTTGCACCATTCACTATGCTTTGTTTCTGTTTTTTTTTTTTTTTTTAAGTGTTAACCTATGGCTTTGAAGCCACTATTTCTGGTGGGAAGATAGAAGTAAAATTAAAAACAAGAAATAAAATAATAAAACAGAAAAATGTCTCACAGAAAAAACACCGTGTGGGGTGTGTGTGACTGTGTGTGTTTGTATGTTTGTGTGTGTGTGACTGTGTGTGTGTGAGTGTATGTGTGTGTGTTTACCAGGATCCCAAGGTCTGTAACCCCCATGAGAGATGAAAACAAAATTTCACCCACATCCTAATCAAAATGAGTCTCCCAAGTTGCATTGGAAAGAATAAAAAGTCCAGTGTCCTTGCAAACTCACAGACTTGTCTGTTCTTTTTTTATACCACAGTGACAAAAATATTAAATTATGTTTTTATACTGCAAGCCTCCAACAGAGTAGGGAGCATTAATTATGGAGTATATTTTTGGAAAATAAGATGGAGCTTTCAGAATGGAGCAAGAAGGGATGAAGACAGGTGCCCTTACTCTCCCTCCAATCACTTCAGTCAACGCTGGCAACTATACAAACTTATGAGGCTATGACTCACCCTGTTCATGTTTCATGGAAGTTTTTACAATTTGTGAACACTCATCCTTAAAAAGAAGAAAAGGCAGTTTCAAAAATTAAAGGGGAAAAAGATACATTTCTCCTACCTCACCACCACACAGAAACCTGAAAAGGCTTAGCAACAAAACTAAAATCCTGAGATTGACAACTTTTTTCTTACTTGGAAAATCTCATTAGAGCTTACACTATGAAAAGTCCTAACATGCATATTTCCATATGGTTGTGAGAAAACAGCCTCACCCCTCACAAAGTAGAAATCATTAATGCTAACAAGAGAAACATAAGTCCTGGGAAAAGGGATCTTTGGCAGTTTGCACCAGAGAAGAAAAAAGATTTATTCTTAGAGCCTGTCCGCAGGCTCTTAGAATTCTAGACATCCTTGCCAGGTGTGGTGGCTCACCCCTGTAATCCCAGCACTTCAGGAGGCTGAGGCGGGTGGATCACTTAGGGCAAGGAGTTCAAGAACAGCCTGGGCAACAAAGCAAGATCCTATCTATACCAAAAAATAAAAAAATTAGCTGGGCGTGGTGGCATATACTGGTAGTCTCACCTCTTTGGGAGGCTGAGATAGGAGGATCACTTGAGCCCAGAAGGTTGAAGCTTCAGTGAGCTGTGATTGTCCAGTCTGGGTGACAGAGTGAGACCCTGTCTAAGAAGAAGACAGATGAGGAGGAGGAGGAGGGGGAGGAAAATGAAGAGGAGGAGGAGGAGGAGAGGGAGGAAAAGAAGGAGAGGGAGGAGAAAAGAAGAAAAGAAATGTGAACATTCCCATGCATAGTGACCAAAGGTAGAAGAAGCCTTGTAAATTTTCTTTTTTTTTTTTTTTTTTTTTTTTTGCTTTTGTGGAAAACAAATGTAATTCAGGAGTCAGCAGAGGGAAAAGACACAGAAATGATCTGAAGATACTGGCAATTTCTGCTTAGAGCTGCTTTCCACTGTCCCCTCTTCAGAAACTCAACACTGTCTTCTCCCTTCCTTCCCTATGAATGTTCATGGCTCCTGGGGCTGGGGTTGAGAGTCTTTGTTTACCTTCCCTCCTGCTGGCTTCAGACTATCACAGATGCTGGGAAACTTTGATCTGCTGAATCCTGTTCCTCCTTGGAAGCTACTGGAGTCTGCATAAACACCCCTAAGACCTCTGAGCTCCTGTCCCACTGAGCTGTTCATGAGGCATCCCGGGTGTCAGTAGGTCAGCTGCCCTCTGTGCATGGCATGCAGGAGGAGGAGCCAGAGATCCCTTTAAACCCCCTTTAGCTCTTACTGAGCTCTGTAGCTGCAACTAGAAACCAAGTTGACACTAGGCAGATTAACAAAGGAAAACATACATATTTTAATTTTCCATAGACAATGGGGATATTCCCAAGAGTGATGTTCAAAGAGGTGATGAAACCAAGACACTTTTGTACTTTTAGACGAAGAATGACAAATTTGAGAAGAAATGAAAAACAAAGAGAATCTGACTGGGGCAGTGAATTTCTGGGAAAGTCACAAGGAGATATATGGGAGGGGTTAAACTAGTGTGAAGCGCATTTGTTGAGGTCCATTGCAGGTCCCAAAGCCCAGTCTCTGGTGATGACAGCTATTTTCTCACCCTGGTAAGGGGAGGAATCCCCTCCCAGAGGAATCTTTATAGCTTGCTGCCTGCAGGAAGAGACAGGTCGACTAGCCCTTTCTGAAACTACAATTCTCCAGTGTTTTCAACTCTAAATATGAAAGATACGAATCCAGCATATTTTGGGAAGGCACGTCCTTCTCTCCTTCAACAGCACAAATAGGTATCACAACCTAGGGCATATATGAGCCACCCTGGTGATATCTAGGAATCTCAAGAAGAAGAGAGAGAAGAAAGAAAGGAGAAACAAGGGAGGAAGACAGGTAGAGAAAAGAGAGAGAAAAAGGAAGGTAGGGAAAGGAAGTGGGGGGAAGTATATGAGAGAGAGATGTAGAAAGAAACGTGGGGGAGAGAGACAGAGAGCACAGAAGCAGTTATATAGCTATACTTAAAAAGCCAGGAGGCCCAGGACTAGAGAAAAAACAAATCCCTTTGTTCTATGAGGTACAGATTTTTTTCTCTCTTCCCAAAAATGTCATTATTTTTCTTCTCCTGACTCATAAGAATATCAATAAAGAGTCAAACTCTGTAAAATATTTGAAGAGATTTATTTTGAACAAATATTTTTATAGGAATGGGGTCCAGGAAACAGACCCCAAGAGAGGGTTCTTATCTGGTGCAAGAAATAATTTGGGGCAAGTCCATAGAGTAAAGTGAAAGAAAGTTTATTAGGAAAGTAAAGGAACAAAAGAATGGCTACTCCATAGACAGAGCAGTCCCAAGAGGGCTGCTGGTTGCCCATTTTTATGGTGATTTCTTGATGATATGCTAAACAAGGGTGGATTACTCCTGCCTCCTCTTTTTTGACCATATGGGGTAACTACCTGACATTGCCATGGCATTCGTAAATTGTCATGGTGCTGGTGGGAGTGTAGCAGTGAGGACGATCAGACATCACTCTACTACCATCTTGAGTATCTCAGTCCCATTCTCATCCAAGGCACCGTAAAAACTAGAATCCCTCCTTCCCAAGGTGGATCCAAGAAACAAGACACCTTTTTCCCCAAAGCCAGGCATAAAGCCTAAAAGTATGACTCTAACTCCCTCTACTCACCTTTCCATGTAAAAACTGGCCATAAAGAAATGATCTGAGGGCAAGGCACAGTGGCTTACACCTGTAATTCCTACATTTTGGGAGGCCAAGGTGGGAGGATCCCTTGAGTCCAGGAGCTTGAGAACAACATGGGCAACTTCCTGTTTCTCCCCTGTAAAAGACAAACTTTTTGTCCCTCCCCAGTGCAGGATGCACTTCCTGTGTCTCCCCTGTGAAGGACACACTTCCTGTCATTCTCCTAAAAGAGACACACTTCCTATTCCTCCCCTGTGTAGGACACACTTCCTGTATCTTTCATGTGAAGGACACACTTTCTGTTCCTCCCCTTGCAAAACACACTTTCTGTTTCTCTTCTGTAAAAAATGCATTTTCTCTATCTCCCCTGTGCAGCAACACTTCCTGTTTCTTTTCTGTGTAGGACAAACCACTTGTGACTCCCATGTGCAGGAGAAACTTTCTGTTTATCCTCTGTGCAAGACATACTGTGGTTCCTGCCCTGTGTAGAACACATGTCCTGTGTCTCCCCTTGCAGGACACAGTTCCTGTTCTTCCCCTGTGGAATATACACTTTCTGTTCCTTCCCTGTGTAGGACAGACTTCTTGTTACTCTTCTGAGACAGAAACACTTCCTGTTCTTTCCCTGTGCAAGGCACACTTCCTGTGAAGGACACACTTCCTGTTACCCTCTGGAGAAAGACATACCTTTTGGTCCTGCTCTGTGCAGGATACTCTTCCTGTGCCTCACCTGTGAAGACACACTTTCTGTTCCTCCCCTGTGCAGGTCTCACTTTTATTTCTCTTCTGTGAAGAACACACTTACTGTTTTACTTCTGTGAAGGGCACACTTCCTGTTTCTTCTCTGTGCAGAACACACTTTCTCTGTCTCCCCTGTGAAGGATATACTTTCTGTTCCTCCCCTGTGCTGGACACTTCCTGTGTCTCCCCTCTGAAGGACACACTTTCTGCTTATCCTTTGTGCAGGACACATTTCCTTTTCCTGCCCTGGACAGGACACACATCCTGTGTGTACCTCTTGGAGGGCACACTTCTGGTGTCTTTCTGTGCATAGCACACTTCCTGTTATTCTCCTGAGAGACATACTTTCTGTTCCTCCCCTGTGCAGCATACACTTCCTCTGTCTCCCTTTGCAGGACACACTTCCTCTTCCTCCCCTGAGGAGCAATCACTTTCTGTACTTTCCCAGTACAAGACAGAATTTTTTTAATCTCCTGAGACAGACACACTTCCTGTTCCTTCCCTGTGCAGGACACATTTCCTGTGACTTTCCTATGAAGGACACACTTTCTGTTACTCTCCTGGGGAGGGACACAATTCTTGTTCCTGCCCTGTGCAGGGCACACTTCCTGTCTCCATTGTGAATGACAAACTTTCTGTTCCTTCCCCGTGCAGTACACACTTCCTGTTAATCTCCTTAGGCAGACACATTTCCTTTGTGTCTCCTGTGCAGGTCACACATCCTGTTTCTCCCCTGTGAAAGACACACTGTTTATCCTCTGTGCAGGAAACACTAACTGTTCCTTCCCTGTGCAGAACACACTTCCTGTGTCTCCCCTGTGCATGACACACTTCCTTTTTCCCCCTATGCAGCACACGCTTTCTGTTCCTCCCCTGTGCAGTACACACTTCCCTCTTCTCCCCTATGCAGCACACACTTTCTTTTCCTCCCCTGTACAGTACACGTCCTATGTCTCTCTTTTGTAAGACATTTTCTATTTCTGCCCTATCCAATACACACTTTCTGTTTCTATCCTGTGCATAAAATATTTCCTGTTACTCTCTTGAGACAGCCACACTTCCTGTTCTTCAACTCTGCAGGACACACTTCCTGTTACTTTCATGACACAGCCACACTTCCTGCTCTTCCCCAGTGCAGGACACACTTCCTGTGTTTCTCCTGTGCATGACACACTTCCTACACACTTCCTATTACTATCCTGAGACAGACACACTTTCTGTTCCTCCCCTGTGCAGGACACACTTCCTGTGTCTCCCTTGTGCATGACAAACTTTCTGCTACTCTCCTCAGACAGATACTTTTCCTGTTACTTCCCTGTGCAGGACACACTTCCTGCTTTTCTTTGTGAAAGACACACTTCGTTATCTTCCCTTTACATGACACACTTCCTGTTCCTATCCTGTGCAGCACACACTTTCTGCTCCTGTTCTGTGCAGGACACTCTTCTTGTTACTCTTCAAACAGACACACATCCTGTGTGTCTCCTGTGGTGGGCACACTTCCTGTTACAATCCTGAGACAGACACACTTTCTGTTCCTTCCCAGTGCAGGACACACTTCCTGTTTTTCTTCTGTGAAGGACATGTTTCTTCTTTCAGCTCTGTGAATGACACTCTTTCTGTGTCTCCCCTATGCAGCACCCACTTTTTGTTCCTCCACTGTGCAGCACACACTTCCTGTTTCTCCCTTCTGCAGCACACACTTTCTGTTCCTCCCCTGTGCACTACACACTTTCTGCTCCTTCCCTTTGCAGAACACACTTTCTATTTTTCTTCTGTGAAGGACACACTTCTTTCAGCCTTGTGAATGACACACTTTCTCTGTCTCCCCTATGTAGCACCCACTTTCTGTTCCTCCCCTGTGCAGTACACACTTCCTGTTTCTCCCCTATGCAGCACACCCTTTCTGTTCCTCCCCTGTGCGGTACATACATCCTGTGTCTCTCCTTTCCATGACACATTTTCTATGTCAGCCCTATCCGATACACATTTTGTGCTTTTATCCTATGAATGACACACTTCCTGTTATTTTCATGACACAGCCACACTTCCTGCTCTTTCCCCATTCACGACACACTTCCTGTGTTTCCACTGTTTATGACACATTTCCTATTACACTCTTGAGAGAGACACACTTTCTGTTCCACCCCTGTGCAGGACACACTTCCTGTATCTCCCTTTTGCATGACAAACTTCCATAGCTTTCCTCAGCCATACACTTTTCCCTGTACTTCCCTGTGCATGACACATTTTCTATTTCTCTTCTGTGAAGAACACACTTCCTGCTTTTCCTCTGTGACAGACACACTTGCTGTTCTTCCCGTGTGCAGGACACACTTCCTGTATCTCCCATTTACAGGACCCACTTCTTGTTTCTTTCCTGTGCAGCACACACTTTCTGTTCCTGTCCTGTGTAAGACACACTTCTTGTTGATCTCTTGAGACAGACACACTTCCTGTTCTTCCTCTGTGCATTAAACACTTCTTGTGTTTCCCTGTGCATGACACACTACTTCTTTCTGTCCTGGGCAAGACACACTTCCTGCTTCTCTCCTGTGAATGACACATTTTCTTATCTCCCCTGTGCAGAACACACTTCCTGTGCCTCCCCTTTACAGGACTTACTTCCTGTTCCCACTCTGTGATGCAAACACTTTCTGTTTCTGTTCTGTGCAGGACACACTACTTGTTACTCTCCTTAGAGAGACACACTTCCTGTGTCTCCTCTGTGCAGGACACATTTCCTGTGTCTCCCCTGTGCTGGACTCACTTCCTTTTACTCCCCTGAGACAGAAACACTTTGTGTTCCTTCCCTGTGCAGGACACACTTCCTGTTCTTCTTCTGTGAAGCACATGCTTCTTCCTTCAGCTCTCTGAATGACATACTTCCTGTGTCTTCCCTATGCAGCACACACTGTTTCTACCCTGTGCAGTAGACACTTCCTCTGTCTCTTTGCAAGATACACTTTCTGTTTCTGCCCTGTCCTGTACACACTTCTGTTTCTATCCTGTGCATGACACACTTCCTGTTATTTTAGTGTCACAGCCACACTTCCTTCTCTTCCCCTGCGCAGGACACACCTCCTATTTCCCCTGTGCATGACACACTTTCTATTACTCTCCTGAGACAGACACACTTTCTGTTCCTACTCTGTGCAGGACACACTTCCTGAATTTCCCTTGTGCATGACAAATTTTCTGTTACTCTCCTCAGACAGATACTTTTCTTGTCACTTCCCTGTGCAGGACACATGTCCAGTTTCTCTTCTGTGAAGAACACAATTCCTGTTCTTCCTCTGTGAAAGACACACTTCCTGTTTCTCCTGTTTAGCACACACTTCCAGTGTCTCCCCTGTGTATGACACACTTCCTGTTTCTGTCCTATGAATAACACACTTGTTTCTCTCCTGTGGACACAATTCCTTGTCCCCCTTGTGCAGGTCATACTTTTTGTGTCTCCTCTTTACAGGACACACTTCCTGGGTCTCCCCTTTGCAGGACACAATTCCTGTTCTTATTCTACACAGCACACATTTTCTGTTCCTGTCCTGTGTAACAGCTATTTATTGTTACTCTCCTGAGATAGAAACTCTTCCTGTTCTTCTCCTGTCTGTGACATACTTCCTGAGTGCTCCCTGTGCATGACACACTTCCTCTTTCTGTCCTTTGCAAGACACATTTCCTGTTTCTCCCCTGTGAAGGACAAACTGTCTTCTCTTCCCTGTGGAGGACACACTTTCTTTGTCTCCCCTTTGTAGGACACACTTCCTGTTCCTACCTTGTGCAGCATACACTTTCTGTTTCTGTCCTGTGCAAGATGCACTTCTTGTTACTCTCCTGAGACAGACACACTTGCTTTTCCTCCCCTGGGCAGGATGAGCTTCCTGTGTCTTTCCTGTGCCTGACACAACTTCTGTTACTCTCATGAGACTCACTCTTCTGCTTCTGCCCTGTGCAGGATGCACTTTTTGTGTCTCCCCTGTGCACAACACACTTTCTGTTTCTCTACTTTGCAAGACACAACTCCTGCACATTCTTTTTTGCAGGACACACTTCCTATTCCTTCTGGTGAAGCACACACTTTCTGTTCCTCCCCTGTGCAGGACACATTTCTTGTTACTCTCCTGAAACTGACACACTTCCTGTTCTTTTCCTGTACAGGACACACTTCCTGTTTTTCCTTTTCCTCCTCTTTTTAGGAAACACTGCCTGTGTGTCCCCTGTGCTGGACACATTTCCTGTGTCACCTCTGTGCAGGACACACTTGCTGTTTCCCCCTGTGCAGTAAGCACTTTCTGTTCCTCTGTTGTACAGGATACACCTCCTGTTTTTCCCCCGTGGAACACACACTTTCTGTTCTCTTGTGCAGGTTACAGTTCTCATTTCTCCCATGCAGCACACACTTTGTTTCTTTCTTGTTTCTGGGCACACTTTTTGTTACTCTCCCCTGTGTTGGACACACTTCTTGTTACACTCCTGAGACAGACACACTTCCTGTTTCTCTCCTATGCAGGACACAGTTCCTGTTCCTTCCCTGTGCAGCACATACTTTCTGTTCCTCCCCTGTGCAGCACACATTTTGTTTCTTTTCTGTGAAGAACACACTTCTGGTTTCTCTTCTTTGAAGGACACACTTCCTGTTCCTCCCCTGTGCAGGACACATTTCCTATTTCTCCTCTGTGTGGAACATACTTCCTGTGTCTCCCTTGTACAGGACAACTTCATGTTTATCCTCTGTGCAGGGCACACTTTTTCTTCCTCCCCTGTGCAGGACATACTTTCTGTGTCTCCTTTTTGCAGGACACACTTCTTGTTCTTCTCTTGTGAAGCACACACTTTCTATTCTTCTCCTGTGAAGTACAGTCTTCTTGTTAATCTCCTAAGACAGACACACTACCAGCTCCTCCCCTGTGCAGGATGCACTTACTGTTCATCTCCTGTGCAGGACACCCTTCCTGTTCCTCCCTTGTGTGAGACACACTTCTTGTGCATAGTCTTTACAGGACACACTTTCTGTTTCTATTCTGTGCAGCACACACTTTCTATTCCTGTCCTGTGCAGGACAAACTTCCTGTTACTCTCCAGAGACAGATGCACTTCCTTTTTCACCCTTGTCTTTTTTTTCTTTCTTTTTTTCCTGTCTGTCCTTTCTTTCTTTCCTTCTATGTTTTATTTTTTCTTTCTTTTCTTCTTTTGTTTTCTCTTCCTTTATTCCTTTTTCTTTTCTTTCTCTCCTTCCTTCCTTCCTCTCTCCCTTCCTTCTTTTTTCTTTCTTTCTTTCTTTCCTTCCTTCTTTCTCTCTTCTTTCTTTCTTTATGTCTCTCCTTTCTTTGTGTCTTTTTTTCTTGTTTCTTTTCTTTCTTTCTTTTTTTTTTTTTTTTTTTGAGACAGGGTCTCACCATGTTGCCCAAGCTCATCTTGAACTCCTGAGCTTGAGCAATCCTCCTGCCTTTGTCTCCCAAAATGCTGGGGATATAGGTTTGACCCACCATGCCTAACCCATCCTTCTTATTGATCTTTGTAGCCACAGATAATTATTTCAAAACAATTAAGTGATACTCTTTAAAAAATCTTTATCTTCCTTCTCCCCCCATAAATATGCACATAGTTTCCTATGGCATGCGATTTTCCATTGCAATGCTACATTCCCAAATAAATATCTTTTCTTTTACAGAGTATCTCTGTTATTTAAGATGACACTAGTTTATTTCAGCACACTTAAATATTAAACTTTTAGACATTTTTTCATCAATTGATGGCCTGATTCAAATCAGCATAACCTGTTTGTCAGAAAATCCTGGTTTACAACTCTAAAAATCAATAAAGGTGGTGTTCTAACTTATTAATAAAGTTAAGAAAATATCCAAGAATGACAGACTTTTATATACTTTGGAAAAAGAGAACTATCCAGAAAAAAAATGTTTTAAGACATTTTGTTCCCTGTTTGACATGTGTTTCTCAATATTGATTTATTTGCATAACAAAGTTTAATTCTTAACTGATAAAAGTAGAGCGAATTATCATGTGATTGATCATCATACTTACACTAGTTATAAAAATTATTTTCTGTCTTTTTTTTTTTCTTTGAGACAGAGTTTTGCTCTTGTTGCCCAGGCTGGAGTCCAATGGCAAGATCTTGGCTTACAGCAACCTCCACTTCCCAGTTTCAAGTGATCCTCCTTCCTCAGCCTCCTGAGTAGCTGGGATTACATGCATGAGCCACCACATTCAGCTAAGTTTTTGTATTTTTAGTAGAGATTCTGAGGCCAGAGTATAATTCAATCAATCTAATTAGAAAAGTGTAGGAACAAATTTTTATTTCTAGTCTTTGGCGACTAACAGGATGACTTGCAAGGATTTCCAGGCTAAATTTTTGGCTAAGCAGGGGATCTGTACAACAAGAATGACAGAATCCAAGAGCACATTAGTTAACAGTCTTTACTAAGGAAAACCCCAGTCTGTGTAAAGAATCCAAAATGGTAATCATGTATGCATTTTAGCACCATTGTTTTCTACCCTCACTCTCAGCGATGCCTGGAGGTTACCCTCATGTCTTTGAATAGTTTCTTATTGCCACTTTTATTTTTCATACTCACTCTTTATCTCCTGTTGCCTGTGGAAGCACTTGGTAAGCAAGGTCTTTTTCAACATTAGACAGCAGAAGTGGAGAATTGCAAAACAGATGATGTCATTGTTTCTTGTTGATCTTCGCATCCACATTTCCATTATCATCACACAGAAAATTACCTTGATTGTCTGCATATTATAAGGACCACCTCCAAGCTAACAACTTTCTCTGCATTATTTTAATCTGTCTTAACCATCTGTAATATTTTTGGCATACTTTGGCTGTTTCAATTAAGTGGATGCTCCTTTTTACTATCCTATACAAATATTTTTCTTCTGCATTTTTTGGGGTTTTTTTGAGAGTTTCCCTCTGTCACCCAGGCTGGAGTGCAGTGGTGCGATCTTGGTTCACTCTGGCATCGACTTCCTAAGGTGATCCTCCCACCTCAGCCTCCTGAGTATCCAGGACCACAGGTGTGTGCCACCATGCCCAGTTAATTTTTTTGCATTTTTGTAGAGACAGTGTTTCATCATGTTTCTCAGCTGGTCTCACACTTCTGGGCTCAAGTGATCTTCTCACCTTGGCCTCCCAAAGTGCTGGGACTACAAGTATGAGCCATTCTGCCAGAACTGCATTTTTTCATACTATTCCTTGCTTTTATTGAAGTGTCCACCCTATGCCTGTTGTGTTTGTGTGAATGTGTGTGTGTCGCACTTCCTGTATAAATGTCTTCTCTCTGACCTTCTCCTCCCTTCTTGTCTCTGGTATCAAATTCCCCCCCAAGAAACTAGAATTTCTCCATAGAAGTTAGATTTTTTCCCCATAGAAACTGGAATTTTCGCAACCTACTCATCTGACAAAGGGCTAATATCCAGAATCTACAATGAACTCAAACAGATTTACAAGAAAAAAACAAACAACCCCATCAAAAAGTGGGCAAAGGACATGAACAGACACTTCTCAAAAGAAGATATTTATGCAGCCAAAAAACACATGAAAAAATGCTCATCATCACTGGCCATCAGAGAAATGCAAATCAAAACCACAATGAGATACCATTTCACACCAGTTAGAATGGCAATCATTAAAAAGTCAGGAAACAACAGGTGCTGGAGAGGATGTGGAGAAATAGGAACACTTTTACACTGTTGGTGGGACTGTAAACTAGTTCAACCATTGTGGAAGTCAGTGTGGCGATTCCTCAGGGATCTAGAACTAGAAATACCATTTGACCCAGCCATCCCATTACTGGGTATATACCCAAAGAACTCTAAATCATGCTGCTATAAAGACACATGCACACGTATGTTTATTGCGGCATTATTCACAATAGCAAAGACTTGGAACCAACCCAAATGTCCAACAATGATAGACTGGATTAAGAAAATGTGGCACATATACACCATGGAATGCTATGCAGCCATAAAAAATGATGAGTTCATGTCCTTTGTAGGGACATGGATGAAATTGGAAAGCATCATTCTCAGTAAACTATCGCAAGAACAATAAACCAAACACCGCATATTCTCACTCATAGGTGGGAATTGAACAATGAGATCACATGGACACAGGAAGGGGAATATCACACTCTGGGGACTGTGGTGGGGTTGGGGGAGGGGGGAGGGATAGCACTGGGAGATATACCTAATGCTAGATGACGAGTTAGTGGGTGCAGCGCACCAGCATGGCACATGTATACGTATGTAACTAACCTGCACAATGTGCCCATGTACCCTAAAACTTAAAGTATAATAATAAAAAAAAAAGAAACTGGAATTTCTTTTCTTTCAAGGTGAATCATAGAATCAGAACCTCTTTTCTTCATGACCAGCCATAAGATGTAAATTTATTACAGTAGCTCCCTGCTGCCTTTCTGGGTAAAAACTGGCTCATCTCTGTATTTCTTTTAAACCCAAATAAACTCGATAGGAGTTAACTCAAGTACACGGTTACTGCAAAATTAATTTGGTAAAATTATGCCTAAGTATTTTCATAGAAACACAATTGATTACAGCAGCAATTATCCACTTTTCACTCTCCTTAATTACAGCTAGATATTTCATTTCCATCTTTATTTGCATGCAAGGAGGTTGTATGGATTCCAAATATAAGTGCAGGCTAGGAGGAGTTATCACCAGTCATTGATTCTGAGAAAGGTCCCTACAGAGCCTGCCTGAAAAGCATTTCAACAAAAAGGATGCTGTACCTGGAATTCCACTGTGAATTCATGAATGTAACACAATCCAGGGAAAGAGAGACCCAGTGAGTCCCTCAGAGCTTCTCTGTGGTATCTCAATACTTTCTGCTTTATGTTAAGTAGAGTTTCACAAGACCCACAACCCTTTGTGGTTTTTCTTTGATTTGCCCAATAAGACATTACAATAAAATTCACATTAAGATGTCAAAGGGAAAAGAAAGAATTATTTACCAGCATTCTACCAAATGAAAAATCAAAACTTCTCTTGTGTATACAGGTAATCCAGGTAGACTATTTCATTACTAAACGAGGTCCTCTCTTGTTTGATTTCTCTAACTACTAAGTCTGTGTACATGAGGCATTTCTCCAAAATTTTTCTGGTCTTCTTCTTCACTTGCCCATCAAATATGCGGTAAAACGGAAGACCAGTGATAACAAAATATGAATTGTTTATAGGAATGACATTTCCCTTATTCCTAAAGAGACGATCACTCATAAGAACATTTTATTTATTTATTTATTTATTTATTGAAACAGAGCCTCATTTTGTCACCCAGGCTGGAGTGCAGTGGTGCAATCTCAGCTTCCTGCAACCTCCACCTCCAGGGTTCAAGGAATTCTCTTGCCACAGCCTCTCCAGTAGCTGGGATTACAGGTGCACACCACCATACCCAGCTAATTTTTGTATTTTTAGTAGAGACAGGGTTTTGCTATGTTGGCCAGGCTGGTCTTGAATTTTTGACCTCAAGTGATCTGCCCACCTCGGACTCCCAAAGTGTTGGGATTACAGCCATGAGCCACTGTGCCCAGCCTGCTTATAAGAATATTTTGCGTGTAGGAAATCTCAACTTTGTGGTGCTTCAACCTGTCTATTGGTACCTGGATAGAAATAAATAAAGCCTAAGGTCAAAGTCAAGATTAAAGTATTCTGCTGGGAGAACTGGGGTTTCCAAAAAGAAATGTAGAGTCAACAGCAAAGGGCTCAAAGGTAAAGAAGCTCACATGCATACCCTGCCTGAATTTGGATTCTCTGAGCTGTACTGTAAAATGAGGATATGCACACTTTATTCACAAAGAAGTTAACAACTAAATTAGGCAAGGTATATACAATGTCTGACACATAGTAATTATTTAAACATCATTTTAGCTAAGAAAAAGTTTTCTTTCCAAAAGAAATAATTCAGAATGTTATTTTTTAAAGTTAACTCTCAGCTGCATGCTTCCAATTATATGACATTGTGGAAAAAACAAAACTATGGAGGAAATAAAAAGATCAGTTGTTGATACAGGTTGGGGGAGGAGGGATATAAACAGGTGGAGCACAGAGGATTTTAGGAAAAGTGAAACTATGCTTGTGATAATATAGTGTGGGATGCATGTCATTATGGATTTGTCAAAACCCTCAGAATGCACACCACCAACCGTGAACTTAAACTATGGACTTTGGGTTATGATGATGTGTCAGTGTGGGCCCAAGGATTGTAGCAAATGCACCACTCTAGTAGGGGATGTTGACAGTGGAGGAGGCTGTGCGTGTCTGGGGGCAACAGAATATATGGATAGTCTCTGTACTTTCCACTGGATTTTTCTGTAAACCCAAAACTGCTCTAAAAATAATGGTCTATTAAAAATAATAATATGGTGGCTGGGCACGGTGGCTCACACCTGTAATCCCAGCACTTCAGGAGGCCGAGGTGGGTGGATCACCTGAGGTCAGGAATTCAAGACAAGCCTGGGCAATGTGGCAAAATGCTGTCTCTACTAAAAATAGAAAAAATTAGCAAAGCGTGATGTCACACGCCTGTAGGGAAGCTGAGGCATGAGAACCACTTGAACCCAGGAGGTGGAGGTTGCAGTGAGCAAAGATCATGCCATGGGTGACAGAGTGAGACTTCATTTCAAAATAATAATAATTATTATTATTGCAATTATATGGCGGAAGGATTTCTTGAGGCTCATAGTTTAAGACCAGCCTTGCCAAGATGACAAGTCCCCATCTGTACCTAAAAGAGAAAAATTTGCTGGACATGGTGATGTGCACCTGTATTCCCAGCTACTCAGGAGGCTGAGGTGGATGGATTGCTTAAGCCCAGGAGGTCAAGATTTCAGTGAGCCATGATCACAACACCACACTCCATCCTGGGCAACAAAGCAAGATCTCACCTTGAAAATTAAATTACTACTATTGTTACTAATAATAATAATAAAAAACAACTATACGATATATGGAAATGTTGATGTATGTTAAAAATTCTTGGCCAGGTATGTTGGCTCTTGCCTGCAATCCTAGCACTTTACGAGGCTAAGGCAGACAGATTGCTTGAGCCCAGAAGTTCAAGAACAGCCTTGGCAACATTGCAAAACCCCCTCTCTACCCAAAAAAAATACAAAGTATATTAGTGGGTTGTGGTGATGGCATGTGCCTGGAGTCCCAGCAACTCGGGAGGCTGAGGTGGGAGGATCAATTGAGGCTGGGAGGTGGAGGTTGCAATAATCCAAGATCACACCACTGCCCTCCAGCCTCGGTGATGGAGCCAGACCCTGTCTCAAGGAAAAAAAAAAAAATCCATGTCTTATATCACATGGCAAGAAACACCAGGGATTAACACCATTAATTTTAGATTTTTTCTTGATGAACTCAACAAATTATTGATGTCTATTGTGTGATAAACCAACTCTAAGTGTAAAGAATATAAGAGAAAAAAAACTCAATATTTTCATCCGAAAAACAAGGCTGTAAAGTAAGTCAACACCTCATTTAAAAAAAAACACTTAAATTTTTTAGTAAATTGCTGTTTGTGTAAATTGAGCTGTGTCGGAAGTTCAATCCTGGCTCATTCAAAGTGATGCCTTCCTGTATTTGAATGTGTGCTCTGTAGTCTGATTTGCAACACGAATGATGTTGCAAAGAAAAATGCCCATCATGTAACAGGATATCTCAGAGGTGCAGGGAGGTGGGAAGACGTGCTTAAGATCACATCTTGACTAAGCTTTAAAGCTGAGATTAAAATGCAGGTCTAACTGGCTTGCAAGTCCTGTTCTTTGTGCTCTCAGACATCATCAAACTGTTCTTTTCTCAAGGTTGGGTCAAGGTTGGACAGAAGCAAGCAAGAGTTTTAAAGGTTGGGTCAAGTTTGTACAGAGGCAGCAGGAGCTTTAATTGTCTCTCACCATCCCTTAATGCTCTTGTGAGCCAAAAAAAACCGTGCAAAGCCCACAGGCAAGGGCTCCCTTGGGTAGGACTGAAGCCACACAGAGCATCAATGCAGCCAGCAGACTTGCAACAGTGGCTGTCACCTGCTCTCCTGCTTCATCCCATTCCACAGTGTTAACAGCTTTCCCATTTTTTCTTTAATGTTGAGTGCTAACAGGCAGATGTCTCTTGCATTGGGAGCTGGGTCTGTGACTTCTAGTGCTAAACAGAGCACCTCACTGCTAAGAATGAGGACGACTTAGTGTGAGGAACAAGGGAATGAAAATCAAGGGACCCTCTCTTGCATCTGAGAAGGGTTTTGGCTAGCACTGTTTCAGAGGCATATGGAGAATTTCGGTTCAATAAATTCTGTTCTTTATCCTGCTGTCCAGACCATTGATTCTACTTATTTCTATATCTATATATATCTATATACATATATATGTATGTCATTTATTTGTCATCTCTAGCTCATCTATTTATCTATCTTCTCTCTCTTTCTCTCTCTCTCTCCTTGTCTGTCTGTAAAGTTTCAACAGTTTTCTAAGCTACTGTGTGGAGGTGACCATGTGAAACCAAGTATCCACTACATTTTCAACAGAAGGCTTTGTGCAGGTTGCATTTGCACTAAATTCCCCTCTCTGTCACTCCAGGAAGTGATTGGAGCCATTTAGCATTTAATTCAGCCAACCTGTGATTCCATTTGGACTTAATCAACATTTCCATGTAACTCTGCAAAAACAACAAGTGGGTCTAGATTTCATGCACAGTGTCAGAAAATCGGGGATATGCATTAACTAGAGGCTATGATTAACTTAACATTTGTATGATATACATAAAACTTGCCATAGGTCATTTTGTGTGTGTTTATGTGTGTGTATTCCAACTATAGTTGCATCATCAATTTTTAAAATGACTTTCTCATGCATTTGGGGATTGTCATTGATTCCATATGGTTATGTGATAGTCATCTATTCAAAATCTTTTCAACACTTAAGCAATTTCCCTTAATATTTTAACTCTACAACTGATGATCAGAGAGCTAGAAAATTTTGATTCTGAGTTGATACCATTGTTTCAAAAGCACCCATTTGACTTACGCTGTTTTAAGAGGAAGAATGTTTTTTCATGTGAGTGGAATTTCCACATGCTTTGAAAAAATAAGCAGTGATTCATGAGTTTCCCTATAACGTACTTCCCCGCAATTGAAACTGGGTGCATACCCAGTATTTGCAAATCCAGGAAGACATCATAACCAATAGTCTTCATTTTATTTTACCAATAACCATAATCAGTATAGGGAGATATATTTCTTTATACACCAAATCCTGCATAACATGAGTAAAAGCATGAGTCCCTAAGCTCACATTAAATGCATGTAAATAAATCAGATTAACAAAGCATATGAAACAGGGAGTTTCAAAGAATAATTTCAAAATCCCTTTCCACTAAGTTTATCTTATATTTTCAGCTATTCATTTACTGCTCATATCAATGTTTCACCCCAAATCTTAGAATTCTTCCCTTTACAAAAAAAGTGCTCCACCTTCTTTTATCTCTGAACAAGAAGTTTTGTTTTTTAATGAAAGGAAATCTTGAAAATTACTCTCTGTTCATTTTCCTAGTCTTTTCCACCCAGTTATTTTTTCCATTGGTGTAGATGTGGACCTGGAACTCTCCTCCTTCAAAAATTGTATTTCGTGTGCTGCTCCTGAAGCATTAAAGGTGTCTGGTGAGCTGGCAGGAGGTAGTAAGGTTTTAACAACTTTTAAGTTTTTCCCTTAATTCATCCAAGTCTCAAATCACAGCCATGATACTTAATTCCCTGCTACTTATTGTAAACATTCATTAAGCAAATCTGGGGAACTTTTATTTTGCTAAAATACCAAGGGTATTTCAGGAATGATAATTATTCCTTCCTTTTCAGCTCTTAAAAACACACAGAAATCCAGTTACATCACTGGATGCTGGGCAACTATGTCCCAGGGAAGCTATATTTAAAATATGAATTCACATCTTAACCAGAGAACATGGGAATAGGACCTTATGTGGAAATAGGGTCTTTGCAGATGGAATCAAGTTAAGGATCTCAAGATGGAATCATCTTGGATTATCTGGATGGGCCCCAAATCCAACAACCTGTGTCTTTCTAAGAGGTGTCCTCTTGGGGTCATATGCAAAGCAGACACCTTGTTCTTGGTGAAGACAACATGCTTTTTTTTCTCCATCTTTGGGCTTCTGCTTGGAAGTATAACTTTTATAGCCAAGCATCAAAGTGGCCCACTGGGAGTCAGGCATGGTGACTCATACCTGTAATCCCACCACTTTGAGATGTCAATGTGGGAGGATCACTTGAGGCCAGAAGTTCAGGACCAAACTGGACAACATAGAAAGACCTCATCTCTATTTTTTTTAAAAAGTGCTCCACTGGGAAAATTTTCCTCTTTCACTTGCTACCACCATCTCCCTCTCAATGTCGCCACTGCAGCTGAAGCAATGTTGCCAGACCTTTGCCATTCTCAGAGACAGACGTAGAGGAGAAGGGCCATGCGGAGATGAGGACAGAGACTGGAATGATTTGGCCACAAGCCCAGGGATGCCAGGAGCTGGAAGTGGCAGGAAGTATCCTCCCCTAGAGGCTCCGGAAGCAAGTGAATACAAATGTAGTGGACTAAACAGTGGCCCCCAGAAAGATCTGTCCATATCCTAAAGCCTAAAACCTGGAATGAGACCTTATTTGGAAATAGGGTCTTTGCAGATGTAATTAGTTAAGGATCTTGAGATGAAATCATACTAGATTACAGTGATTTCTAAATAAAATGACAGGTGTTCCTAAAAGAGACAGAAGAGCAATGGATGATTTGATGCAGAAAATACATAAATACATACAATAAAATAAGAGACAGAAGAAGTAACACAGACAAAGACACAGAGGAGCAGTCCATGTGGAGATGGAGGCAGAGACTGGAGTGGTGCGGCCACAAGCCTAGTGATGCCTGGAGCCCCCAGGAGCTCGGAGAGGCAAGACGGAGCCTCCCCTAGAGCCTCTGGAGAATCGCGGCCCTGAGATGCTTTGTTCTCAGTCTCGGGTCTTCTGAACTGGGGGAGAATAAAGTCTTGTTATTTTTAGCCACCCAACATATGTTGACTTGTTAGGGGCCTCAGGACATTCCTCCAGAAGTTTCCTAGAAGCTGCCAATTTTACCTTTTTAGCAATACCCATTTCCTTGGTCCCATAAGGCAGGAACCATTCAGGGCAAAGAGAACAGCTAGGGTGCAGCATGCCTTCTTCAAACTGTGCTTCTGCAGGTCATGGACTTCATCTCTCTCTGGATCCTGCCTGTCCAAGATGGTCATTGGCATCAAATTCTGTCTTGGTTTCATGGCATAATAAAATTGTCCCATGAAATTCCTCCCCTCTGCTTTACAGCTTGCCTGACTTGTCCTCTTCTGCTCTGGGGAAAGCTATAAAATTACACACTGAAAAGAACAGATTTGGCACCCCAGTCTCCCAATTCCACGTGTCAGAGAGGCTGCATGTAAAAAATTAAACAGACAGGGTAGATTGTCTTCCCTTTGTCAGAAAGTAGGAAAAGTAGACACTTGTAGAGAAATGGGTTTATATTTAGAAGGAGGAAGCATCACCTTTTTAGCATAAGAGTTTTGCAAAATGAGCATGGCTTTTGTGAACGTATAGATGTGAATCAAAATGAAAAAGCTGGCTTTTGATTCGGGAGCAAATCAAACTTTGAAATCATGAATGCTGGTGTATTCTTTTACTCTTTTGTCTTTACTCTTGAAGGACTTGGAACTTTCTGCAAATTTTTCTTCAAATGTTTGGCAGGGGCCCCCAGGTGATCTCCCTTTGGGTTATATGCAAAGCAGACATCTTGTTTTTGGTAAACACAACACATGTTTTTTTCTCCATCTTTGGGCTTCTTGGGAATAATTTTTATAGCCAAGCACCAAAGTGTTCCACTGTGTGTCAGGCATGGTGACTCATACCTGTAATCCCACCACTTTGAGAGGCCAATGTGGGAGGACCACTTGAGGCCAGAAGTTCGAGACCAGACTGAAGAGCATAGCAAGACCCCTTCTCTATTAAAAAGAAAAAAAAGTGCTCCACTGGGAAAATACTGCTTTTTCACTTCCTGCCACCATCTCCCTCTCACCGTCACCATTACTGCTGAAGCAATGCTATCATATCTTTGCCACTCTTGGCAGCATGGAATATAAGCATGCCTCTCTCTCTCTTGCAGTTTCTCTCTGAGAAAACCCCAGAAACCTAGCTCACACCCAAAGCCTCACATCGATTGCAATGAAAGATCTCTTTCCTCTCCTCTTATACCTTCTTATTACTTCCTAAAAGGACTACAGATGTTGATCCAAACATTTATTAATAGTATAACCCCATTCACAGAATATCTTTACAATGTAGTTTTTTGTTTTCTTTTGTTTTGTTTGTTTTTTGAGATGGAGTCTCACTCTATTGCCCAAGCTGGAGTACAGTGGTACAATCTTGGCTCACTGCAACCTCTGTCTCCTGGGTTCAAGCCATTCTCATCCCTCAGCCTCCCAATTAGCTGGAATTACAGGCGTGTGCCACCATACCTGGCTAAATTTTTGAGTTTTTAGTAGAGACAGGGTTTCCCCATGTCGGCCAGACTGGTCTTGAACTCCTTACCTCAAGTGATCCTCCTGCCATGGCCTCCCAAAGTGCTGGGATTACAGGGATGAGCCATTGTGCCTGGCCTGGAAGTTACAATTATTAACAAGACAAAAAAAATATAGGTCAGTGGTACGAAAATCATGATAGAACTCTTTTAGCATCCTTAGGTAGACATGTATTCAACTTTTGGTCAAGTGTAGATGCCTATTTTTAAAAAAGAAATATTTGGTTGGAGAGGACACAGAGAAGCTAAGGGGGTTGGTGAATGCAAATGGGAAGAAAGAATGCTTAATGCAGCTTGACAAAAGTAGAAGCAAGCCCTGCGACCTAGTCAAAAGTTTTGTAAGAGCATCATTAAAAGATGGCATTGGAATCCTTATTCTCTGTCTCCACAGATGTTCAAAGCTGAGGAGGAAGCTGCACTGTCTTATTAAAATGGACCCAGCTACAGAGGCATGTGAGTGATTTCTTCTATCAAAAGCAATCAGCAGTGGGTTCTGTACAGACCTGTTCAAGCTCCCTTCCAACCTTATATTTCCATGCCCCAGGTTATGAAATCAGTTCCAGGACCAGAGTTCACAGTCCCTCCGAGCCCATTTAGACATGCATTACAGAAAACAACAGTGGTCTTCAACTCTGTATTTGAAAAATAAATATGGTCCTAATTATACTAACTACCTTTCCAAGCCAGAGGTTTTATCCATTTCACCTTAAGGTCATGTACTTGGGAAATGACAGACTCACATGTGGAAGCCATTTCTCTACAATTTACTAGGTGATCACAGGCTTCATTTCATCAAACCATTTTTCTACAGTAGCCTCATACAATTCCCAGAAATACCAAGGTGAGGAGCGGCCATTTGCTGCTATGTTCTTTCCTTGGTTGGTTCCATTATAGCCCCTCAAGCATAGAGCAACCAGAAGTGATGGCCCACACCTGTAATCTCAGCATTTTGGGAGGCTGAGGTGGGTGGATCACTTGAAGCCAGAAGTTTGAGGCCAGCCTGGCCAACATGGCAAAACCACATCTCTATGAAAAATACAAAAATTACCTGGGCATGGTGGTGCAAATCTGCAATACCAGGTACTCGGGAGGCTGAGGCAGGAGAATTGCTTGAAACTGGGAGGTGGAAGTTGCAGTGAACCAACATCATGTCACTGCACTCCAGCCTGGGTGACAGTCAGACTTTGTCCCCACCCCCCAAAAAAGGAAAGAACAAAAGATCAAAGAAGGCATCTCACAATAATCCTACTTCTTTTTCAGAGATGGTGGTCTGGAACAAGAAAACAAGGATGAATAATAGAACAAGAAAACAAGGATGAAGTCGATTTATTGGAGGCTATGGAAATCACTTAATCATGAATCATTTAATCTTCTTGTCTTGTGGCCTGACCCTAAATAGCTCCTGGACCAGCCCACATCCTGCCAGCTCTTATAATGTCAGGAGCCAGGTGGAAGATTTCATCATCTCTTCCTTTCTGGATTGCAACATCCCACTAACTGGTAACACCTCAATTCCCAGCCTTATTCTTCCCTAGTCCAAAACCCTCTGGACACAGTAGAAGATGAGATTATAGACCTGACCATGCTGTGTTCTGTGTAGACCCATTTCATGGTTTTCCACTGTTCCTGGGATAAAGAAGAAGCTCCTCATCTCAGACCACGAAGTCTGAATCATCTGTACTTGTTGCTTCTTTCCTGCTACCTCTCCATCCTCAGTGTTTGCCATCGTTTACCTCATTCTGTGTCTCCCAGCCACACTGCGGTTCTTACTGCTCTTCAGGGTTGCGTCACCCATTTTGTTACTGAGCAATGGGCTTGCTGCTTGACATGTATATAAGCCAATACTAGGGCATTGCTTTGGGGATTTTGTTGTTATTGTTTAAGACAGGGTCTCACTCTGTTGCCCGGGATGGAGTGCAGTGGCACGATCTTGACTCAGCGCAGCTTCTGCCTCCCAGGTTTAAGTAATCCTCCCATCTTAGCCTCCCGAGTAGCTGTGACCACAGGCACACATCACCATGCCTAGTTAATTTTTGTATTTTTGGGTAGAGACTGGGTTTTGCTGTTTCCCACGCTGGTCTCCAACTCCTGAGCGGAAGCAATCCACCTGCCTCAGCCTCCAAAGTGCTTGGATTACAAGTGTGAGCCACCATGCTGTGCTGTAGGGTACCATTTTTTTTCTTTGTTCTTTTCTTTTTCTTTCTTTCTTTTTTTTTTTTTTCCTTTTTAAGGCTTTATTGTGAGGTCAGCTGGCAAGGAGACAGGAGGCAGGGCTCAAATCTGTCTCCCTGATCTGGGGGTTAGCTCAAATATTTATGGGTTAAGAAGTGTGTGACTGGGCACAGTGTCTCATGTTTGTAATGATGGCACTTTGAGAGGCCGAGCTGGGAGGATTGCTTGAGGCCAGGAGTTCAAGACCAGCCTGGGCAACATGGCAAAACCACATTTCCACAAAAAATATGAAAACTAGCCTGGTGTGATGGTGCCCACCTGTGGTCCCAGCTACCCACCCAGGAAGTTGACGTGGGAGGATCAATTAAACCCAGGAGGTCGAGGCTTCAGCGCACCATGATCACGCCACCGTATTCCAGCCTGGGTGAAAGAGCAAGACCCTGTCAAAAAAAAAAAGAAAAGAAAAGAAAAGAAAAAAAGAAAGAAACAAACAAAAGAAAAGAAAAAGAGGTATGTGGAAGTGCTGGTGTGGCAAGTTTTAATTAAAGGGCTTTAACCTTGGCTATTTATAATAAGATATGGAATAGTGGATTTCAGCACAATGTCTTCTGGGGGAGTAGACCCTTTGCTTCTGAATGGGTTTCAGCATCCTGGTTCCGGTCATGTCCAGCTGTTTTTGGTTCCACAGGGAAGCATCATCAGTTTCAGGTGTGACTGGAAGTCAAAGCTTTTTCCCTTTGCCTGTGCCCAGGCTACACAACATGCAGTGTTGGTTCTGTTGCAACTGTATAACAGCTTAAACAATGGTTAAACAATTGAGTTGAACTGGTTCAAGCTGATCTCATGGTTACAGTTTCCCTACTCCATTCCTTGCTAAACTCTACCCAGAAAGACCCAGTGCTACATATTACCACCCCTTACTCTACTTACCAATCAGATTTACCTTCAAACACCACTTTCTCAGGGAATCTTTCCTTCCTTTCCAAACTTGGGAAATTTCCTCTAACATTCCTCTATTTCTACTGCCAAACACTTCTCCTGGTACTAATGAAGTAGGAAATAGTACTTTTTTATTTCTTTCTCCACTAAAACATAAGAGAAAGACAAATATGGTATCCACATTGCAAGCATGTTCCCTGAGGGTATTCTCCACTCATTACATGCTTTTTGAATATGTAAAATGTAAATATTCAGTAGGTAAATATTCAATATGTAAATATGATGATATGTAAATATTCAATATGAAACATTGAAATCTACTTCAAAGGTCATGGGTTTTTTGGAGTTTTCTTTGTTATTTTTTAATTGACACATAATGGATATACATGGTTTTGGGATACACGTAATAATTGAATAGATTCACATAATTTGTAAAAATCAAATGAGTACTTGGGCTCTTTATCATCATAAATACTTGTCTTTTCTTTATGCTAGAACCATTTGAATTCTTTTCTTCTAGCAATTTTGAATATGTAATAGATTACTGTAAACTATAGTCACCCTATGACCTAACACTAGGACCGTTTTCTTTCATCAAACTTTATATTTGCACCATTGAATCAACAAAACTGATGTTGATTCATGAGATTAAACAACTAAATCTGAAGAGATATCATCAGTTCTCACTCTGCTGGGGACATACTTCATCCCCTTGTAGGTAATAGTTGTATCTACACTAATGATATGTGACTCTGAGGTACTCTGTTTTTTAAATTTTTATTTTTTAATATAAATAGAAATGGAGACTCACTGTGGTGTCCGGGCAGGTCTCAAATTCCTGGGCTCAAGTGATTCTCCTACCTTTGCCTCCCAACATGCTGGGATTACAGGCATGAGCCACCAAGCCTGGCTTACTCTGTTTTTTTGTTGTTGTTTTCTTTTTTTCTTTGTTTGTTGGTTGGTTGGTTTTTTGAGTCAGGGTCTCAGTCTGTTACCCAGGCTGGAGTGCTATGGCATGATCTCGACTCTCTGCAGCCTCAACCTCTCAGGCTCAAGCTGTTCTCCCACCTCAGCCTCTGGATTAACTGGGATGGCATGGACTACCACCATAGATTTTTGTGTGTTTTTTGTAAAGACAAGGTTTCTGGCCAGGCACAGTATCCCAGCAGTTTGGGAGGCTGAGGTGGGCAGAACACTTGAGGCCAGGAATTCAAGACAGGGTTTTGCCATGTTGCCCAGGCTGATCTCTAACTCTTGGACTTAAGCGATCCTCCTACCTTGGCCTCCCAAAGTGCTAGGATTACAAACATGTGCCACCATGCCCATCCATTAAAAGTGTTTTCTCTTCCATTTTAAGAGAATGCTCCTTCATTGAAATGCACTGTCTTATTTATTCTTTTCTTTTCTTTTTAGATAGGGTCTCATTCTGTCACCCAGGCTGGAGTTCAGTAGTGCATTCATAGCTCACTGCAGCCTTGACCTCCCGTGTTCAAGCCATCTTCCTGTCTCAGCCTCTCGAGTAGCTGGGCCTACAGGCATGAGCCAGGGCACCTTAAAAGAAGTATACATTGGAGCTTTTGTAACATCAGAGGAGTAAAACAAAAAACAACAACAACAAAAGAAACATGTTGGGACTGTGTCCCCAGAAGGCCAGATATGACTTGAACTACTATGAGACATAAATTTAAAGAAAACCACCCAGTGTGGCTGAAGATAGGATTCCCTAGTGCTACTGCCTCACTTACAGACCAACAGTCTCCTGTCATCCAGCTTTCCACTCCTTCCTTGGCATTTCCACTGAGGTATCTCAGTGGCATCTCCAACCCAGGGATTGCAATGCATAGGTTCTTCCATCAGATCTGCCAGTTGCAAAAGGATTCCTCTGGTAGTGAAAGCCAGAAAAAACAAATGCTGACATCTATGGTCCCAGCTACTTGGGTAGTTGAGGCAGGTGGGTGGCATCTGTAGTCTTAGCTATTTGGGAAGCTGAGGTGGGAGGATTGCTTGAGCCCAGGAGGTTAAGGTTGCAGTGAGCTATGATGGTACCACCACACTCCAGTTTGGGTGACAGAGTGAGAATTTGTCTCTAAAAAAATATAAAAATAAAAATAAATAAGTCAAATAAATGTAACAGAGTTTAATTGAGCAGAGAACGATTCACAAATTGGATAACCCACTGAGCCAGAGTAGGTTCAGAGAGACTCTGGCGCTGTCTCATGGTGAGAGAAGATTTATGGACAAAAAAAGGAAAGTTGTGTGCAGAAAACAGAAGTGAGGTACAGAAATAGCCAAATTCTTTCCAGCTGACCATTGGCCTTATTTGAGCATGGTTTGGATAGTTGACTTCCTTCGGACAAAACTTTGTGATTGGCACAAAAGTAGGTTCCAGCCTGTTTACACATCCAGTTAGGTTTCAGTGCACTGCGTACGGAGAAACCTTTAAGCAAACCTTAAAATATGTCAGGGAGCAGCTTTAGGCTAAACTTAATTCAACACATCTTTTGGCGCTCAGCTTAAATATAGCTCTTGCATTAAACATGAACAGTCTAAGAAGAGGGCCGTGCCTGTCTAGTGAGACCTGAAATTTCGGCTGGGTTTTGGAAAACCAGTGACACTTGCCCTAAGTTACCGTGAAGGCTCCAGGTGTTGTCTGGGTGATATTACCCATGTTCAGGGTGAACTTCAAGATGAAGGACCTCCACTGTTGCACAAGTCCCTGTCATCAGAGAGACCAAAATAAATGCCCCTTTAGCAACTAAAACAGACCCTAAGGTTAAGGAAAGAAAAGTTTGCTACAGGCTGAGTTCACAGAGAGGCTAGGGTGGCAACTTCCTAAATTCCTACGGCTACAAGAAAAACCACACTCTTGCTAAATTCCGTAAGAAGACAAGCTACCCAGGCAAATTATCAGACCCTTCTAACACTTTTTTTTTTAAACAGGGTCTCACTCTATAGCCCAAGCTGGAGTGCAGTGTTATGATCATGCCTCACTGAAGCCTCAACCTCCTGGGCTCAAGTGATCCTGCCACTTCAGCCTCCTAAGTAGCCGGGACCACAGGTTCATGCCACTGTGCTCAACTAATTTGAGCATGTGTATTTTTTGCAGAGATGGAGTTTCACCATGTTGTCCAGGCTGTTCTCAACCTCCTGAGTTTAAGCAATTTACCTGCATCAGCTTCCCAAAGTGCTGGGATTACAGGCATGATCCATGATCCACTGTGCCCGGCCCCTTCTAAGTCTTGACAACCCAGATCACTATTCAGACAGAGAAGCAGCTTTACCCATATTCTTTCTAATAAGCAACTGCAGAACTTACTCCAGTTTCAGCAGCTCAAGAGGCTTCACACTGTTTGTGTCATATAGTTCACCTCTTCACATAAAGAACCAAATCCCACCTCTTTTTTTTCTTTTTTTTTTTTTTTTTGATACACCATTCCCCTTTGTCACCCAGGCTGGAGTGCAGTTGTGCAGTCTTGGCTGACTGCAGCCTCAGTCTTCTGGGCCCAACCAATTCTTCCACCTCAGCCTCCCAAATAGTTGGGATCACATGCATGTGCCACCATGCCCAGCTAATTCTTTTATTTTTATTTTTTGTAGAGACCAGGTTTCACCCTGTTTCCCAGGCTGTCTCAAACTCCTGAGCACAAGTGATCCACCTGCCTTGGCCTCCCAAAGTGCTAGGATTACAGGAAAGAGCCACCATGCCTCACCTCATTTTAATACTAAAACATAGCCCCAAAATGAACATGAGTCATATGTTACGTATATGTTTACCCGTTGGGCATGCACTCAGCTCCCCTCATAAATATGCATAGCTTCTCCACCAAACCTGCTGAATATGCATGACTCTATTGTGTAATATGATCCCTATGAGGCATGAGACCCAATCTCTTTTCCCTCTTCAGAGAGAGAGCATCTTTTCTTTATGCCAGGGACACTCACTCCCCAGTTTGCAAAGCGATATCACCAATAAAACTCTCCTTTCTATTACACTATTTGCGCATCCTGGTGGTCTTTTCATGACAGCTCTAAACTTTGCTTAAGGCTCTTGTGGGAGAGCAGGATAGGTCACCCCAAAAGATATCACTTTGGGATAAGCATTATTTTGAGCCAAAGAAAATTGAGAAGCAAGAGCTGCTAAAAGAAAACAGCTGTTATACAGATTAATTCATCACCCAGGCATTAAGTTCAGAACCTGTGAAAGGACAATATATCTTGGGGCCTCCAAGTCACTAAGCTAAAGAGAAAAGTCCAGCTGGGAACTGCTTAGGGCCTCTGCCTCCCATTCTAGTCAAAGTCACCCCTCTGCTCCCTGAGAGACGCGTATCTGATCGCCTCCTTTGGAAAGGCTCATCAGAAACTCAAAACAATGCAACTGTTTGTGTCTCACCTATCTGTGCCCTGGAATCCCCCTCCCTGCTTCCAGGCTTCCTGCCTTTGCTTCAAGTTGTTCCACCTTTCTAGATCGAATCAATGTGCTTCTTACATATATTGATTGATGTCTCATGTCTCCCTGAATGTATAAAACGGAGCTGTGCCCCAACCACCTTGGGCACATGTCGTCAGGACTTCCTGAGGCTGTGTCACGGCACATCCTCAACCTTGGCAAAAGAAACTGTCTAAGTTAACTGAGACCTGTCTCAGACTTTCTGGGTTCACATACCCATTAGTTATTTTTCCTGATCCTCTCCCTCCTCCCACGCTCCACCTTCTGAAAGGCCCCAATGTGTGTTGTTCCCCTCTTTGTGTCCATGTGTTCTCATCATTCAGCTCCTATGTATAAGTGAGAACATGCGGTATTTGGTTTTCTGGTCCTGTGCTAGTTTGCTAAGGATAATGGCCTCCAGCTCCATCTGTGTTCCTGCAAAGGACATGATCTCGTTCTTTTTTAACTCAAACAATAAAAGCAAGTCAGCTAAGGGAGTGGAAAAAAAAAAAAAACTCTCTGCACTCTCCTATTCGCCTGAAAGTAGACTTAGACTGTTAATTACCAGAGACACAGGCCTAGAGGAATCTACATAACAAACCTTACTCAATTTGCCTTTATCTTCCATTAGCTTCCCTCCTGTATTTATCTTCCCAAAGTTTGCAGCTCCTAGGAGCTTAAAAGGCCTTTTTCCTTTGCCTTTTTTCTTCATGACAAATGTATTGTTCTTGGGTGATTTGTTCTATGTGCCCCATGTCCTAACCACACTTTTGAGTTACTCATCACTGACTTTCACCACAATGGATGTACACTGCAAATCTTAATAAACTCTGCTTTTCTTTGGTTCTTTGGTCAGTTCCATTTCCAGGGCAGTAGCTAGAGAACTGAGGAAGACAGAGGAAAAAGTTGTTATTGTTGTTGTTGTTTTTCCTTCTGCTCTACCAGCGCCCTGTCAAAATCCTTAAACATTTTGGAACAGAGAGCTGTTAAAAGAAAACTTCAGACAAGTAAAATTTGGTGGAGTTTAACTGAGCAAAGAAAAGATCTTATTGAATCAGGCAGCCTTGAGGATCACAGCAGATTCAGAGACACTGCAGGGGTGCCTTGTGGTCAGAATAAATTTATAGACAAAAGAAGTAAAGTGAGGTACAGGAATCAGAAGTGCGGTATAGAAACAGTGAAATGGATTACAGCTCGGTGTTTGCCTGATTTGAACACAGTATGAACACTCAGCAGTCTGTGAGTGGTTGAAGTATGTCCCCTGGGATTGGCCAACACTCAGCTATTGTTACAGATGCATATTATTAGTTAGGTTTTCAATTTTGGCTGCCTATTAAACTAGGATACCCTTCATCCACAAGGACTCACATATAGAAGTACGGAATCCTTCTTGGGCCATATTTAGTTTGTTTTAACAGAAGTAAGCATTTTATTTTTATTTTTACCTGTTTCCCCAAGAGCTGAGCATTTTCATTTTGCACTCGGCCTTGCAAACTATACCTGGTTCTATCCACAAAGAAAAGATGCCAAGAACTGAGGTTGCTTAAGTCATTATTACTTATATTGATAGCAAGAGTAGATTTCTGAAGGAGTTTGCTCTTAAAAGTGCGTATTTCCTGAGTCTATACTATTGACAGCATTTCTTTGGCAGGGATCTAAATTTGGGTCTTGGGATTAAAATTAGGGAATCTGGGTTGCTAATCAAAACTCTGCTTAGAAGAAACAAAAATAGGCTGGGCATGGTGGCTTATGTCTGTGATTCCAGCACTTTGGAAGGCCAAGGTGGGTAGATGGCTTGAGTCCAGGAATTTGAGACCAACCTGGGCAACATAGTGAGACCTCATCTCTATAAAGTATACAAAAATTAGGTGGGAGTCGTGGCTTATACCTGTGGTCCCAATTACTTGGGAGGCTGAGGCAGGAGGGCACTTGAGCCTGGGAGGTCGAGGCTGCAGTGAATCATGATTGCAGCACTACACTGCAGCCTGGGTGACAGAGCAAGATCCCGTCTCAGAAAAAAAAAAAAAAGAAGGAAGGAAAGAAGGAAGAAAGGAAGGAAGGGAAGGAGGGAGGGATGGAGGGAGGAAGGGAGGAAGGGAGTCTTTACTGTTTAAAGAATGAATACAGGCTGCAGATGTGGGTAGATACTTGGCATTTTCCAAGTGGGAGTTTCACTTGCATGTCATCTAAATGCAATGCAAAATCAAACAAGGCATACTTAAAGAGGCAGGATTTTTCTGATTCAGAATCCAAGTTTTCTATTCTGCAGAATCTGTGTGTCATCCTGAAATCCGTTGCTGGAAAATGTTCATTGCTCAATTATCATCACCAAGAGGTGGCCGGGCAACAAACCATCATCCCATAACATGACCCCAAGGTATCCACCGCACAAACTGTGCTTCCACTTCCATGCAATGTGTACTTCCTGTATCTCCCGCCTGTTTTTTACAAGAGTACCAAGGAAATCTGCTGTAGTCAGAGGAGGGCTTCTGAGGCCATTTGCAGATCTGAGTAAGGAAAATCATACAACCCTGATCCTAGGAGTCTTTACCATTTGTGCGTCCATCCAATTTGGGATTTGCTTTTAAATCCCTGTACCACCCAAATCAAATATCATAAAATATTTGGATTTGAAAAAATCATTCCAAGTAGGCTGCTAAATACACTGCTTCCTTAACTAAATTATAGCCAAGATCTGAGGTATGGTTGCTGCTTTCAGCCAAGCCTTTTGAGATTATTTATTGTTGGCCCATCTCAATTCTAATTCACATTGCTTTTCTCATCCTCTGAACAAGGTCTTGAGACAAAAGAAACTATGTATCATTTCTCCAACTTTAGACCAGTGCCTGGATTATTCTAGGTTCTCCATTTATGCTCAGCCTCTGATGGATGAATGAGTGGCACAGATCACACATACTAGTTGTAATTAAAATATTTGTGCTTAGAAAAATCCAGATAATAAATGATTCACTTTGATATTTCTGTCTCTCTCTCTCCCCTGCTACCCTTCTGTCTGTCTTTCTTTCTCTAATTTTTGCTTTATGTTATTCCTGTCTAAAACTTTAATCAATGCATTCCATTCCTTCAAAGCTATTAAGGATTTGAGGAGCTTATGTAAAATACTGACAACCTCAGATGGATAAAGTAGGTGGAGGTGAATTCTGGATACAATCAAACAATATAGGTTGAAAAATATATCTTTCCTTTTCAAATACCTCTTCTGAGAATAAAGTTAAAATGTATGCTATCTTTACAAAAATGAAATAAATGTACACATTTATCATATTAGGAATTTGGAGCTAGCTGTGCAGGCAGCTATATTAGCATGCCACCTAGTGTTTAAATTCATGTAATGATTAAAAACACGCCGTGCTCAATCAGGCTTGCATTCCTTGATGCTAAGGAAAGAATATAAATTATTTGAAGGATAATTCAGAATGAGGAAATAATAGACATCCCTTAAGTAACTATATTTGCAGACTGAATTGTATAATTTATCTTTCTATTTAGGGAAAAAGGTTAATTAAGGGCTTAAGGGGCATATGGAAAATATTGACCACCTCGGATAGACAAGGCAGGTGAAGGTATTTTCTCGATGCAATGGGTCATGATAGGTTACTTAAGCATTGAGTTTGGAGTGTTTAGACCAATGGCAAAGGTTTGTATCATTTTGATAGATGACATTCTTTCAATTTTAATCTTAAGGTATTTTCAAAATAACCACTAGAAAAGGAAATATAATACTTATTAAGAGCTACCTATGGGCCTATGGGCTATGTGCAAAGTCTTTTACAGATATTATCTCCATGAATCTTTGTAAGTCTGGTAATATACTTTTCAGTTGCATTTCACAGAGGGAACAATTGAAGTACAGATACATTAGGGAATATGTC
This sequence comes from Homo sapiens, assembly GCF_000001405.40. Lineage (NCBI taxonomy): Eukaryota > Metazoa > Chordata > Mammalia > Primates > Hominidae > Homo > Homo sapiens. Next base: position 12,241,098 of record NC_000024.10, read on the forward strand.
CAAAGATATTTAGCTGGCAAGAAGAACAATTACCATTCACCCCATTGTGTCAAACCCTAGAGAACATTCTTTCCACCTCTGAACACCACTGTGTGGAAAAGAACGTGTTCCCTTGGTTATACATAGCTTGCTTTTATCTACTACCTTCTCCTTGCCATGTGGTTAAAGAAAATGGAAGGACCGGAGCCAGGGAGGGAGAAGGATCTTGCATTTGGGGTTGACAACCTTGGGGCCAGACGTCATGGTCCTGCTCCCTTTACAGTGTGGACTCACCAAAGCCTCTTCATGTCTCCACACTCTGTGTTCTTCATCTGCAAATATAAGAGCATTTGAGAAAATGATTTCAGAAGTTATTTCTCAGGCTAAAATCCTAAGATTCTGTTCTAGGGTTTTCTAAATTCAAAATGAACATCCTCCTAACAGTGATGAGAAAATGAATGCTTTAGAGATCTTAGAACAGACTGGCAGAGAAATTGCTCAGCCTTTGTAAGGAATTCTTTTGTAGACAAATAAGGTCTGATATGGTGGCCCCAAATCACTTAGGAAAAAGATATCCTTGTTTAATAGTTAATATTAAGACAGTTATTTCTATTTCACTTGACACTTTCATATTACTCCTTAGTGAAGACAGCACAATAATACAGTCCATTGAAATAAATCAAACACACATAATTTTCTAATTTTTTTATTTCCATAGGTTTTGGGGGAACAGGTGGTGTTGGGTTACATAAGTAAGTTCTTCAGTGGTGATTTGTGAGATTTTGGTGCATCCATCACTGAGCAGTATACAATGCACTCAATTTGTAGTGTTTTATCCCTCACCCCCTTCCTACCCTTTCCCCCAGAGTCCCCAGAGTCCTGGCCTTTGCATCCTTATAGCTTAGCTCCCATTTATGAGTGAGAACATACAATGTTTGGTTTTCCATTTCTGAGTGACTTCACTTAGTCTCCAAACTGATCCACGTTGCTGTGAATGCCATTAATTCATTCCTTTTCATGGCTGATTAGTATTTCTTTGTACAAATATATACCACAGTTTCTTTATCCACCCATTGATTGGTGGGCATTTAGGCTGGTTCCACATTTTTGCAATTGCAAATTGATGAACACACCTGATTATGTTACTCCTGGTTTACACCTTTGAAAGACACTGATGGAGGGCAGGTGAGTTTCAAAGTGGGGCTTAGCCCACAGGGGTTCCTGGCTTAGCCCAGGAAAGAATTCAAGGGCAAACCAGAGGTAGAAGAAAACTGCTTTATTGAAGCAACAGTGTTATGCTTTGTGACTGTTCCTGCAGAAAAGGGTTACCCCCTAGGAAGAGAGTAGCAGCTCAGGGCAGTTTTGCAGTCCTATTTATACCCATTTTTTTTTTTTTTTTCCTTGTTTGAGACAGTGTCTCACCCTGTCACCCAGGGAGTGCAAGTGGCATGATCTCACTGCAAACTCCGCCTCCCATGTTGGAGCGATTCTCCTGCCTAAGTCTCCAGAGTAGCTAAGATTACAAGCATGCACCACCACACCCGGCCAAATTTTTGTATTTTTAGTAAAGACAGAGTTTCACCATGTTGGTCAGGCTGGTCTCAATCTCCTGACCTCAAACGATCTGCCCACCTTGGCCTCCCAAAGTGTATACCCATTTTTAATTGCATGCAGATTAAGGGGTAGGTTATGCAGAAATATCTAGGGAAAGGGTCGTAATCATTGAGTTATTGGGTCATTGCCACGGAAATGGGTGGTAACTCCCAGGTGTTGCCATGGCATTGGTAAATAGACATGGCACACTGGTGGGCATGTCTGACTGAAAGCTGCTTCAGTCTGCCCTGTTTTAGCTAGTCCTCAATCTGGTCTGGCGTCCAACCCCACCTCTGGAGTCAAGTCCCGCCTCCTACTTCAACACCATAGGGTTGATGTACATGGAGTTTTGGGGTTGGCATGGCTAGGGCGCTAGTCCCAGCCCAGTAACACCTAAGCTGTGTTCTTCTGAGCAAGTTACAGAGCATTTCAAGTCCCAGGTCCTCTTCTTGGTATTTTGGGGTGCAGTGGGTTAAATTGTGACCTCCTCAAATGTTACATTAAAGTTCTAAACCCTGGTACCAAATAAATGAGACTTTATTTGGAACTGGGGTCTTTAAAGATGCCATCAAGAGAAAATGAGGTCATACTAGATGAAGGTGGGTTCTAAATTCTATATGACTATAATCTCTCTCTATAAGGAGAGAGAGATTTAAAGACACAGAGCGTAGACATTCATGTAATGACAAAGGCAGAGATTGGAGTGATATGTCCACAAGCCAAGGAATTTCAAGGATTGGCAAGGACGGATTCTACCCAGGGCCTCGGAGGAAGCACCTTGATTTTTGAACTTCTAGCCTCCAGAATTGTAGAAGAATGAATGTCTGTTTTCTTAAACCACCAAGTTTATGGTGATTTTTATGGCAGCTCTGGGCAATCTCACACAAGTGTTTATACCTAAATCATGAGGCTGAATTAAGAAGGAAATAAGAGACTTCATCAAAGCTCTGGCACATTCTGGGGGGATCAAAGCAGTGCTGCTCCGAGGTTGTTGATGACTACTTCTCTTTGCTTTGTAGAACTTGGCTGCTCAGGAGAGGCAATGGCTTATCAGCTGTTGCTGAAATTTCCAGACTGCCAGGAGACCAATTGCTATGTCACTCAGTGCCAGTATGTGTGAAAGGAAAATATCCTGGGCCCCCAGAATGACTCAGGAAAACTCAAGCTGGAAACTGCTAAGGGCAAACCTGCTTCCAATTGTATTCAAAGTCACCCCTCTGCTCACTGAGATAGATGGATAATTGATCGCCTCTTTTGGAAAGGCTAAGCAGAAAGTCAAAAGAATGCAACTGTTTGTGTCTCACCATCTGTGACCTCAAAGCCCCCTCCCACCTCAAGACTTCCAGCCTTGCTTCAATTGGTCCCGCCTTTCCAAAGCGAACCAATGTATGTCTTACATATGTTGATTGATGTCTCATGTCTCCCTAAAATGTATAAAATCAAGCTGTGCCAGGACCACCTTAGGCACATGTCATCAGGGTCCCATGAGGCTGTGTCATGCATGGGCGTGTCCTCAACCTTGACAAAATAATCTTTCTAAGTTAACTGAGACCTCTCAGATTTTCTGGGTTCAGACAAATTTTGCTGAATTATTGCAACAGTCCTGATTCAGTTTCTATCTATTGTTGACAAACATAAACCCTTTTGGTTGGCTACTGGCCATGTTCAGACTTGTTGCTCTTAATACACTGTTTAAATGTCTGGTATGTTGCATCCTGATGACACAGGGCCTTATATTTAGAGCAAAGCAACTGAGCAGATGGCACAAGTGTCTGTAGGTGCTTGTTTTCTGGCACAGGAAGATATGCTTAGAAAATGGAAATTAGGGTTGGTGCAGTGGCTTATGCCTGTAATTCCAGCACTTTGGGAGGCTGAGGCAGGAGGATCACTAGGGGAATGGAGTTTGAGATTGACCTGGGCAACATAGGAAGACTCATTCCCTACAAAATAATATGAGCTGGGTGTCGTGGTACGTGTCTACAGTGCCACCTACTATGGAGGCTGAACTGGGAGGATTGCTGTGGGGTCCAAGAGTTCAAGGCTGCAGTAGCTCTGATTGCACCAGGGTACTCAGCTGCCAACATGAATGACACAGCAACTATCTACATAGGAAAGTCATGAGGTACCGACTTCTTCAGAGGCAACAAATGGTCATTAATGTTCTTCACGCCAGGAAGGCAACAGTACTTAAGACAGAAATCCAGAAAAATGCTAGCCAAAGAATGTCCTGGTTTTTTTTTTTTCTTTTTTCTTTTTTTTTGAAATGGAGTCTTGCTCTGTTGCCCAGGCTGGAGTGCAGTGGTGCAAACCTGGCTCACTACAACACCCACCTCCCAGGTTCAAGGGTTTTCCTGCCTCAGCCTCCCAAGTATCTGGGACTACAGGTATGTGTCACCACCTCTGGCTAATTTTTGTATTTTTAGTACAGACAGGGTTTCATGATGTTGGCCAGGCTGGTTTTGAACTCCTGACCTCAAGTGATCCACCCACCTTGGACTCCCAAAGTGCTGGGATTACAAGAGTGAGCCCCCATGCCTAGCCAGGATGTCCTGTTTGTATTCATATTCAGAACTCATTTTGGTGGTGGTTAAGACAACTGGTTTTGGCACAATTTACAAATCTTTGCATTATGCAAAGAAAAATGAACCCCAACATAGACTTTCAAGAATCACCACATGTGAGAAGAAAAAGATCCCAGGGAAACAGCAAGTGGAATGAAAGAACAGAACAAAGAAAGTCAGGAAGACTGCAAAGGCCACTGTTGGTTCTGGCAATAGAAGAGGTGGAGACTGGGTGAAAAACAGACTAAGAGAAGAGAGACAGACCCTCTCATATTGCTTTATATTGTTTTATACTCAGAAAAGGAAAGAAAAGTGAAACAAAAGGCAGGTAGCCCGGCGCCTAGGAACCAGACCTGAAACCAAAGAACCAGACCTGAAACCAGGCCTGGGCCTGCCTGACCTAAGCCTGGTGGTTAAAATTCCACCCCTGACCTAGCAACTGATGTTATCTATAGATTCCAGACATTGTATGGAAGGACATTGTGAAACCTCCCATTCTATTCTGTTTCACTCTGACCACTGGTGCTTGCAGTCCCTGTCACGTTACCCCTGCCTTGCTCAATCAATCACAGCCCTCTCACACAGACCCCCTTGGAGTTGTGAGCCCTTAAAAGGGAAAGAAGGTGGGCACCTGAAAGCTCAGATTTTAAGATGTTAGTCTGCCAATGCTTCCAGCTGATTAAAGCCACTTCCTTCACTATCTTGGTGTCTGTGGGGTTTTGTTCACAGCTTGTCCTGCTACATTTCTTGGTTCCCTGACCTGGAAGTGAGGTGACTGATGGACGGCTGAGGCAGCCCCTTAGGTGGCTTAGGCTTACCCTGTGGAGCATCCCTGTGGGGGACTCCAGCCAGCCTGAGTTACGCGATGCAAAGAACACTCATGGGTAGGCAATTGCCCCGGTGGAACGCCTCACCAAAGCAGCACATAACGGGCCCCCACGGAGGATTAACACAGTGGCTGAACACCAGGAAGGAACTGGCACTTGGAGTCCAGACATCTGAAACTTGGTAAGACTAGTCTTTGAAATTTGCCCACTCCATTTGAGTGGAAGCATGGCCTGATCACCCACGGTGTGCCTGTATTGGCACTTTTGTTCCGGTTTTGACTTTACTTGAATTGCTTGATACTTTGATTTTGATTTTGACTTGGCCTGATACTCTGATTTTAGTTTGGTATAAATCTTAAAGGTGTGTGTGTGCCCTCTTTACCCATTCTTTGTTTTGTGGTGAGTGTGTGGTGTGGGCATGGTATTTTGTCTTGAGAAAACATGGGCCAGCCTCAAAGTAAGCCAATCCCATTGGGAACTATGTTAAAGAATTTCAAGAAAGGATTCAAAGGAGACTATGGAGTCATTATGACTCCAGGAAAACTTAGAACTTTGTGTGAAATAGATTGGCCAGAATTACAGGTGGGTTGGCCATCAGAAGGAAGCTTGGACAGGTGTCTTGTCTCAAAGGTATGGCAAAAAGTAACTTGTAAGGCAGGACACCCAGATCAGTTCTCATATATAGATTCCTGGTTACAGCTAGTTTTAGACCCCCCACAGTGGTTAAGAGGACAGGCAGCAGCATTACTAGTAGCAAAGGGACAGTTAGTTAAAGAAGGTTCTTGCTCCACCCGCAGAGGGAAGCCAACACCTAAAGTTCTATCTGATACAGTGCCTGAAGATTCATTCAGTCGGTTGTGCAAAAGGGATGGATGCCCTGCACCTGGAGGACTGTGGGCATAAGGTGTCCAAGAAGAAAGCTCAGACCTGCAGACAGCAGGTACACTACCTGGGATTCACTATTCAGAAAGGGGAGTGCAGCCTGGGGTCAGAAAGAAAGCAGGTCATCTGCAGCTTACCAGAACCTGAAACCAGAAGGCAAGTAAGGGAATTTCTAGGAGCTGTGGGGTTTTGCAGATTATGGATTCCAAACTTTGCAGTGCTAGCCAACCATTGTATGGGATTACAAAGGGGGGTGACTGAGAGCCCTTTGAATGGGAGCCTCTACAACAGCAAGCCTTTTGTAAGTTAAAAGAAAAACTTATGTCACCCCAGCTCCAGGACTACAAGATTTGACAGAGCCCTTTACACTCTATGTATCAGAAAGAGAAAAAATGGCAGTTGGAGTTTTAACCCAAACTGTGCGGCCCTGGCCAAGACCAGTGGCCTACCTCTCAAAACAGCTAAATGGAGTTTCAAAAGGCTGGCCTCCATGTCTGAGAGCCCTGGCAGCTAAAGCCCTGTTAGCACAAGAAGTAGAAAAGCTAATCCTTGGACAAAACTTAAGTATAAAGGCCCTCCATGCAGTGGTAAGTTTAAAGAATATCAAAGGACACAATTGGCTAACAAATGCTAGATTAACCAAATACCAGAGCTTGCTATGTGAAAACCCCTACATAACCATTGAAGTCTGTAACACCCTAAATCCTGCCACCTTTCTCCCAGTATTGGATAGCCCTGTTGAACATAGCTGTGTGGAGGTGTTGGACTGAGTCCATTCTAGCAGATCCAATCTTTGATACCAGCCATGGGCATCAGTGGACTGGGAGTTATACATGGACGGGAGCAGCTTCATCAATCCACGAGGAGAAAGATGTTCCGGATATGTGGTGGTAACCTTGAATAATGTTATTGAAGCCAAGCCATCGCTCAGGGCACTTCAGCCTAGAAAGCAGAACTCATTGCTTAAACTCGGACTCTAGAACTCAGTGAAGGTAAGACTGTAAACATTTATCCTGACTCTCAACATGCCTTTCTAACCATTCAAGTACATGGAGCATTATATAAAGAAAAAGCCCTGTTAAATTCTGGAGGCAGAGACTTAAAATATCAACGAGAAATTCTGCAATTATTAGAGGCAGTGTGGAAAGCCCAAAAGGCAGCAGTTATGCACTGCAGGTGACATCAGCGAGCTTCCACCTCAGTAAGCCAGTGAAACTCCCGAGCAGTCACAGAGGCACGAAAAGCAGCGTCTACTCCTTACCGGGCATCAGTCACAGCCTTCCTGCTCCCTCAAACACCTGATCTTGTGTCTACTTATTCTAAAGAGGAAAAAGACTTTCTTCAGGCAGAGGGAGGACAAGCAATACAAAAAGGATGGATAAAGTTACTAGATGGGAGAATAGCTGTACCACAGCTGCTAGGAGCCACAGTCACGCTGGCTGTACATGAAACTACCCATTCAGGCCAAGACTCACTTGAAAAGCTGTTAAGCTGGTATTTCTATATCTCACACTTGCCAGCTCTTGCTAAGACAGTAGCACAGTGATGGGTTACCTGATGACAGCATAATGCAAAGCAAGGCCCCTCTGTTCCTCCTGGCATAAAAGCCTATAGAGCAGCTCCTTTTGAAGATCTTCAAGTGGACTTCACAAAGATGCCCAAATGTGGAGGTAACAAGTATTTACTGGTTCTAATGTGTACTTACTCTGGGTGGGTAGAGGCTTATCCAACAAGAACTGAAAAAGCTTGTGTAGTAACCTGTGTGCTTCTTTGAGACCTCATCCCTAGGTTTGGACTCCCTCTATGGATCGGCTCAGATAGTAGGCCGGCATTTGAGGCTGATGTAGTACAGAGACGGCAAAGATATTGGGAATCACTTGGAAGTTACATGCTGCCTACTGACCTCAGAGTTCCGGAAAGGTGGAGTGAATTAATCAGACTATTAAAAATAGGTTAGGGAAAGTATGTCAAGAGACAGGATTAAAATGGATGCAGTCCCTTCCTATAGTATTGTTTAAAATTAGTTGCATCTCCTCTATGAAAATAGGATACTCCCCTTATGAAATATTATATCACAGGCCTTCTCCTATACTGTGAGGACTTTCAGGTACTCCGCAAGAGTTGGGTGAAATTGAATTGCAGCAACAGCTACAGGTCTTGGGGAAAATTACCCAGACAATCTCAACTTGGGTAAATGAGAAGTGCCTGGTCAGCTTATTCTCCCCAGTTCACGCTTTTTCTCCAGGTCACCATGTGTGGATCAACAACTGGAACATAGCCCCTTTGTGGCCATGGTGGAAAGGACCTCAGACCATTATCTTGACCACCCTCACAGCTGTAAAAGTAGAAGGAATTCTGACCTGGATTCACCACAGCTGCCTAAAGCCTGCAGCTGCTGATACCTAGGCCAAACCAAGCCTGGACAATCCCTGTAAAGTGACCCTGAGGGGGATGACAAGCCCCGCTGCAGTCACATCCGGAAGCTGACTGGTCTACATACGGCCAAAGCATGAGGAAAATCGTCGTGGGACTTATTTTCCTTATAACATGGATTTGTGTGGTAAAAGCTGCTTCTTCCCACACAGAGGAATGCTTTCAGTGCATACTTCAGGTCACTGAGGTAGGACAAAAGGTTAAAACAATCTTTTTGTTCTATAGTTATTATGAGTGCCTAGGAACTCCAGAAGGAACATGTTTATATAATAACACTCAGCACAAAGTCTGTAATCCAGGAAGTGATCAGCCTGATGTGTGCTGTGACTCCTCTGAACCTCCCATGATCACAGTTTTTTGAAATAAGACTAAGAACTGGTCCTTTTCTAGGTGACACAAGTAAAATAATAGCTAAGACACAAGAAAGAGGGGTCCCCAAGCATGTAACCCTAAAATTTGATGCTTTTGCCACTATTAATAGTAATCAGTATGGAATAGGATGCGGTTCTTTAGATTGGGAAAAAAGTTACACAGCAGAAAATAAGTATATCTGCGATGAATCATATTCATGTACAAAAGTGTGTCAGCACTGGTCTTGTGTCATCTGGGTTTCTTGGAAAAAAGATGAAAAAGATCTCGTTTTCCAAAAAGGAAAAAGCAGCTCGTCCTGCACAAGTGGAAGCTGCAACCCTTTAGAATTGGTAATTACAAATCCCTTATACCCAAAGTAGGAAAAAGGAGAACACATATCTCTAGGCATTGATGGAAAAGGACTAGACCCTAGAGTAAATACCTTAATAAAAGGGGAGGTTCAGAAACGCTGTCCAGAACCAGTATTTCAGACTTTCTATGATGAACTAAATGTGCCAGTACCTGAGATTCCAGGAAAAACTAAAAATTTGTTTTTGCAATTAACCGAGCATGTAGCCCAGTCTCTAAAAGTCATTCTGTGTTGTTTGTGGAGGAACTTTAAAAGGAGATCGATGGCCACGGGAAGCCCAAGAATCAGTTCCTACAGACCCAGTTCCTGATGAATTCCCAGCCCAAAAGAACCACCCTGACAATTTCTGGGTTCTAAAAGTCTCAATTATTGTACACTATTGCATAGCTAGAAAAGGAAAAGAATTTACTCATCCTGTAGGACGGCTTAGTTGTCTAGGACAGAAACTGTATAACAGTACCACAAAACAGTTACATGGGGGAGTTCAAACCACACAGAGAAAAATCCATTCAGTAAATTTCCAGAGTTGCAGACCATTTGGGCCCACCCAGAATCCCACCAGGACTGGACTGCCCCCACTGGGTTATACTGGATATGTGGACATAGAGCCTATGCTAAGCTACCTGACCAGTGGACAGGTAGTTGTGTAATTGGCACTATTAAAACATCTTTCTTCCTAATACCCATAAAAACAGGTGAACTCCTACGCTTCCCTGTCTGTGCTTCTCACGAAAAGCAAAGCATAGCCATAGGTAATTGGAAAGACGATGAATGGCTTCCTGAGAGAATTATACAATACTATGGGCCTGCCCCTTGGGCACAAAATGGCTCATGGGGATACCAGACCCCCATTTACATGTTCAACTGAATTATACAGTTGCAAGCTGTTTTAGAAATCATCAGTAATAAAACTGGTTAAGCCGTGACTGTTCTAGCCTGGCAAGAAACTCAGATGAGGAATGCTATCTATCAAAATAGATGAGCTCTCGACTACTTGCTAGCAGCTGAAGGAGGGGTTTGTGGAAAATTTAACCTTACTAATTGCTGTCTACACATAGATGATCAGGGGCAAGTAGTTGAAGACATAGTTAAAAATAAAACGAAACTGGCACATGTGCCCCTGCAAGTGTGGCATGGATATGATCTTGGGGCCATGTTTAGAAATTGGTTCCCAGCACTAGGAGGATTTAAAACTCTACAGTAGGAGTTATAATAGTAATAGGAACCTGCTTACTGCTCCCTTTTTTACTACCTGTACTTCTTCAAAGGATAAAAAGCTTCATTGCTACCTTTGTTCACCAAAATGCTTCAGTACAAATGTACTATGTGAATCACTATCAATCTATTACACAGGAAGACAAAAGTAGCAAAAATGAGAGTAAGAACTCCCACTAATAAAAAGTGAGAGTCTCAAAGGGGGAAAATGAGAGAAGAGAGACAGACCCTCTCATATTGTTTTATACTCAGAAAAGGAAAGGAAAGCGAAACTAAAGGCAGGTAGCCCAGTGCCTAGGAACCAGACCCGAAACCGAGGAAGCAGAACGAAAACCAGGCCTGGGCCTGCCTGACCTAAGCCTGGTAGTTAAAATCCCACCCCAACCTAGCAACTGATGTTATCTATACATTATAGAAAGACACTATAAAACTTCCCAGTCTGTTCTGTTTCACTCTGACCACCAGTACTTGCAGCCCCTGTCATGTACCCCCTGGCTTGCTCAATTGATCACGACCCTCTCACAGACCCCCTTAGAGTTATGAGCCCTTAAAAGGGACAGAAGTTGGGCACCTGACAAGCTCGGATTTTAAGATGTTAGTCTGTCGATGCTTCCAGCTGATTAAAGATGGATTTTAAGACATTAGTCTGCCAATGCTTCCAGCTGATTAAAGCCACTTCCTTCACTATCTTGGTGTCTGGGGGATTTTGTGCACAGCTCGTCCTGCTACAAGACAAAGTAGCAATTCTGCAATGACATCAGCAGCAGCCATTGTGTGGATTTTTTACAAGAGAATTAATAAATTATAAACTTTAAGGAAATAAAACAAATTTCAATCAACATTTATCCACAGGAATTCCCCCCCCCCCCACCAAAAAAAAAGTTAGCAGCTAGTGGAGTAACCAGTGGGCCTTTAATAATCTGGAATGGTAGATAAATTTATTGGATCTTAAATGCATTCCTTGGAAACTTGAAAGCACCAAAGTTAGTGGCCTTTGGCAGCCTGATAGTAATTACCTCTACTCGTTAGGACCCCAGGGCTGAGAGAGTTCCCCTTCCTTGTCACACAGACAAAATGGGAACACCCCACAGCAAGGCTTCAGCCACATCCTGCCCTGATTCAGTTCTGAGAATTGGTAGGGCACAGGCACCATGGTTTCCCAGTGTTCCTTCAGGGTATCAGCCACCTTTTTAATCACAAAATAATGGAGAGTTGGAGAGTCTCCTTGTCAGGCATCAGTGGGGAAGGAAAATTAAATTAAGTAATAAAATTTAAAATAATAAGCATAACATAGGTAATAGTTAACATTTAGTATAAGCTATTTAGAAGTCACACATAGGCTAAAATTTTAAGCAGACCCTCCCAGCATTGTTAACAAGTTGCAGATGCAAGCTTACTTCAAAAGCTTTTCACCTGCCTCGGCCCACCACCTCCCCGCCACTTCCATCCCCCCACCCACTTCCACCCCCGTACCGCATCCCGCACATTGCACTGTGCATTGTGCCATTGCACTCCAGCCTGGGTAACATAGTGAGACTCCATTTCAATAATAATAATAATAATAAATAAAATAAAGTTGATATAAATTGAGCAAGTGGATAATACTACTGTCTTCATGGGTAAAATGCTGATGAAATTTGTCCAAAAATCTGATAGCTATTTCTTGGCTTATGACTTTGTGGGTTTTTGGTTGTTGCTGTTTGTTTGTCTGGAGATGGAGTCTCGCTCTGTCACCCAGGCTGGAATGGAATGCAATGGCACAATATCGGCTCACTGCAACCTCTGCCTCCCGGGTTCAAGCGACTCTGCTGCCTCACCCTCCTGAGTAGCTGGGACTACAGGCGCATGCCACCACACCCAGCTAATTTTTGTATTTTTAGTAGAGACAGGGTTTCACCATGTTGGCCAGGCTGGTCTCAAACTCCTGACCTCAAGTCATCCGCCCACCTTGGCCTCCCAGTGTGCTGGGATTACAGATGTAAGCCACTGGGCCCAGCTATGACTTTGTGGTTTGAAAGAAAAAAAAGCTATTTTCTGGTGGCAGACTGCATGTGTAAACACTTGTGTTAATTACTTCATTCCAAGAGAGCTTATCTCTGTTGACCTGGGAAACCCAAACATACACCTTGTGACTTGGAATTCAGATAAAAAGCTGTTATTGCATCAAAATAAAACTGAACCACACAGGGTGATCTTGTATCTCTGAGAAGTGCAGTAATTTTGATGTGGCCGGTGGTTGTTGTGTATGCCAGTGCACCTATGCACAGGTGTACTTTTTCTTTTCTTTCCTTGGTATCTTTTTTTTTCTTTCTAAGACATGCTCTATCACAGGCTAGTGTGCAATGCTGTGATCATGCTCACTACAGCCTCAAACTCCTGGACTTAAGTGATCCTCCCACTTCAGCCTCCCAAGTAACTGGGACTACAGGCACATGCCACCATGCTCAACTTACTTAAAAACATTTTTGTGAAGATGCGGTCTTACTGTTGCCAAGGCTGGTTTGAAACTCCTGGGATCAAGCAATCCTCCCACCTTGGCCTCCTGAAGTTCCGGGATTACAGGCGTGAGCCATCGTGCCCAGCCCTTTATCACTTGTTAACATAGTCAAGCCATGTTTTTATTTCCTCACATCCTAACTTGAGGGCAGAGTCCAGCAGAGCCCGCCAGTTTGCATACCTGATCAGATCGGGTATCTTCCCGTCAAGAACACGGACCAGCTTGGGCTGCAGATGGAGGTGGCAGAGATGTGCTGAGTCAGTCGCACGCCTTCCCTGGCAAGGCAGTGGATGTGAGGCGTCCTGAAGGGGGAGAGGGAAGGTGTATTGAAGAGAAGGAAAAGGTGGGAGGCGGGGGAAGCAGAGAGGAAGAGTGAGAGAAAGGCAGAGAAGGACAAACAGAAAGGCACAGGTGGAAAGAGAGAGGAGAGACAGACAGGGAGAGAGGGAGAGACCCAGAAAGCGAGGCAGAGAGAGAGAGACAGACAGAAAGAAAAGATGAAAGAGAGAGAGAGAGATGAGAATGAGAGCAACAGAAAAGGATAGAAAGAGACAAACAGAAAGAAAGAGATAAAAAGAGAAAGAGACAAAGGGTAGGACACACAAAGAGAGAGAGAGATGGAAAGAGAGAGACAAACAGAAAAAAGGAGAGAGAAAGAGAGACAGAAAGAGGGAGACAGAGAATGACAGAGAGGGACAAACATACAGAGAAGATGAGAGAGAGAGAGAGAGATGGAAAGAGACATACGGAGTTTAAGAGAGAGACAGAAAGAAATGAAAAGAAAGACTTAAACAGAAGGAGGGAGTCAGAGAAAGAGAAACAGAAAATGAGGTGGGTAAAGAGAGACAGACAGACAGAGGGAGAAGAAAGAGAGAAAAACATAGAGAGATGAAAAGAGAGAAAGAGACAGAGAGAGATACAGAAAGAGAGATGGAGAGAGAGAAGTAGAAAGAGAGAGATAAACAGAGAGATGGAAAGAGACAGACAGAGGGTGAGAGAAGGAAAGACAGAAAGAGATAGAAAGAAATGGATAGAATGAGATAGACAAAAAGAGAGACAAAGACAGAGACCGACAGTCACAGAGAGATATAGAAAGAGAGACAAGCAGACAAAGGGGGAGACAGAGACAGACATAGAAACAAATGGAGAGACAGAAAGAGATGGAAACAGATGGACAGAGAGAGGGAGAGAGAGAGACAGAAAGAGATAGAAAGAAATAGAAAGAGATAGATAGAGAGAGACAATCAGAGACAGATAGACAAGCAGACAGAGAGGGGTGACAGAGACAGGCATAGAAGGAGATGGAGAGACAGAAAGAAGAGAAAGAGAGAGACAGAGAGAGAGAGACAGAGAGAGAGAGAGAGAGATCTGAAGATAAACAACATCCCTGTTTATTATGATTTCCAGGTGCCCAGAGCAGGTAACTGCACATGGAGTTCATTTTTCTTTCTTGCCCGTGTCAAGGTGAAGTATGACTGAAATTCCAGGCAGCTGTTGTTCTGCGGGGCTCGTATACATGGGTGCCGCTATATGGTGTCCATTCACTGTACTTCAGCCTTACAAAATAAAATGCTTAAGGAATTGGGGTCTGATTTATCGAGGCTAATTGCTTACAGACCTTACTTATGCCTAACTACTTACAGACCACCCACCCACCAATTTGATAGATACATTTCCCTGCAGTCTGCATAGGTTGCAAAACTGTCATATGATTAAATATTCAAAAGAAGGAAATCCCATCATTTTCAACAACACAGATGAACTGAAAGGGTATTAAATGAAATAAGCCAAGCACAGAGAGACAAATACCGCATGATCTCACTTATGTGTGGAATCTAAAACAGCAAACTCAGAAGTAGAATAGTGGGTATCAGGGGCTGGGGCAAGGGTTGAGAATAGGTATGTTAAAGGATATAACATCTCATGGAGCCAAACATGAATAAATCCTCTATTTGATTTATTCCTCACATAGAGGAATAAATTTAAGAGATCTGTTGCAGATTGTGGTGACTATAGCTAATAACAATGTATTCTATTCTTGAAATTGCCATAATTTTAACCATTCTCACCACATATAAATAATAAGTATGTGTGGTTGTGCATGTTAATTAGCTTGATTTAGCTATTCCACAATGGATCCATGAATCAAAACATCATAATGTACACCATAAATACACAGAACTATAATTTGTCAATTAAAAAATAATTTAACAAGAGAATTCTGGAGGCTGGAGAGACTTCTGGAAAAAGAATCAGTCACCTCTTGGATGAAAATAAAATATAATGATTTCTACATTTGTTCATGAGAGAAATTATGACAGGTAACTGGTGCAAGAAGAATTTCCAGCTTTACCAAGGCATGTATCTGATTTTTTTTTTGAGATATGGAAGTCACCTACCAACTTTTAAAACATTATTTATTTTGCAAAGAAAAAAGATTATAAACTGCATTCCAGGGGCACGTGTGCCTGATTTTAGATTTCACATTATAATCTCACTTCTCAAATTGCTAGTATTTTCAGCAAAACACTGATACCTCACACTGACATAATCTCCATAAATATCTGCCATTTATGGACACCATGTTTCTGTGCGTTTGGGTGAGTCCTCCCTTCTTTTCTCATAAGCAATGGTTAATTTTTGGCGACTACTTTTTCATGACTCCTAGCTCTGTTGTTGAAAACTGTGATGACTACCTTCAGCATCTATTAGTCACACATGCAGTGATCTTAAAAGTGTATGATGTATGTCTTATAATGATGTACTCCTAAGCTCAGTATAAGCATAGCTAATACAGGTGGCTTCTATAATCCACTACAAAGCTCTGAGTTTCTGCTGCATATCTGTTTTTCTTCTTTCAGAATGCCCATTGTTAAAAATACAAGCTCATCACCTTAAAGAATCTGTTGACTCGCCAAATTAGGAAACAGAATGAATTCTGCTGAATGTACATATTCACATTTATATATTTATGAATATATATGCTTGAATATATAAATATATACTTATTAATTTATACATATTTATGAATATATTTATATGAACATATTTATATATTATAAATATGAATATATAAATATGTTTATAATATATAATTTTATGTTATGAATATATATTCATTTTATATAAATATTTATATAAAATAAATAAATATGTTTACATATATTTATTTATACTTTTCTAAAGTATATAGATGTTTATATATTTATTTAAATATATTTATATATAAATGTATATAAATTTTATTTATACATTTATATAAAAATGAATATATATTCATAGACATATAAATATGTATATATTCATGTATATATGAATAACATTTATATATTTGTAATATATACTCATATATGTTTATATATTGAATATATGTTCATATATTCATAATATATGATATATAATACAATAAATGTATGATATATATTTTATATATTATAGAATATATTCATAAATGAAATATATCACATATTTATATAATATTTATATGTTTATATCTGTATATGCACATGTATATACAATCATCATGCTTCATAATAGACTGCATAATAGAGGATAGTTGTGTGTTAGGTACTATTCTAAGTTCTTTACACATATAAACTCAGGGATATAAAGCCTTCTCTGCATTCGACAAATAAGAAAACTAAGGCACAGACAGCTTCGGCGACTTCTCCAAGACTTCAGAGGTAGTAAATACAGAGCTAGGACTTGGGTCCGGACAGCCACGCTTTTACTTTGACCATCCTCGTTAATGGTAGAGACACTGGATGCACTGATTACCCTGATCTGATCACTATACATTGTGCGTATCCAAACCTCACTGTGTATCCCGTGAAGATGGACGATTATTATTTCTTAAAAACTGAATGAGATTCAAATTAAAATTATTAAAAATGTAATTGTAAAACTATTTTTACAATTTAAATCTAAATAATTTAAAGCTATCAAAAAGCTTAAAGTAACTTAAAAAATCCCAATGAATCCATTTGGTTTTGCACATAGATGCAGTTGTACAAGTTTGTCAGCCTGTCAAACCTGAACAACTGATGAACATATGACTCGCCATGAAACCGCCTTACCTGATGGTGTCATTGCCATAGCAGCCCAGATCTCCAATACCCAGGTTATCAACCATGATCAGGATAATATTAGGCTTGTTGTCATGCACCCTGTGTGCCTGGCAAGTGTTCAAGAGTGCACACACCAAAGACATGAAGACCAAGGGGCTCCTGGAAAGCAAACGGATTTTATTGGCCAGGCTTCTCTGGGTGGATTCAGGATCCACCTCCCAGTACAACACAACAGGGGTCTTTGAAGATCACGTGGATCTCCCAGACATCTCCTCAAGCTCAAGAGTGTCTCTCTCCAAGCACCGAGCTCTGCTGCTGAATGGTAGCAGAAGTTCCCAATGTAATGTGCTCTTGGCTTCTCACGTTGCATAAAATAAAGGCTAAAACAACAGATGTTAATGTGGATGCAGTGAAAACGGAATCCTTTTATACTGTTAGTGGGAATGTACCACCGCTGTGGAAAACAGTATGGAGATTCCTTAAAGAACTAAAAATAGACCTACAATTTGATCCAGCAATCCCACTCCTGGGTATCTACTTAGAGGAAAAGAAGGCATTATATATAAAAGACACTGGCGGCCAGCTGTGGTGGCTCATACCTCTAATCCCAGAACTTCAGGAAGATGAGGTAGGTGGACCACCTGAGGTCAGGAGTTTGAGACCAGCCTGGCCAACATGGTGAAATCCTATCTCTACTAGAAATACAAAAATTAGCCAGGTGTGGTGGCACACACCTGTAATCCCAGCTACTAGGGAGGCTGAGGCAGGAGAATCACTTAAACCCAGGAGGCAGAGGTTACAGTGAGCCAAGATTGTGCCACTGTATTTCAGCTTGAGTGATGGACCAAGGCTCCATCTCAAACAACAAAAACACAAAAAATGAAGACACTTGCACATACATTGTTTATAGCAGCAAAATTCACAGTTGGAAAAATGTGGAACCAGCCCAAATATCCATCAATCAATGAATGGATAAAGAAAATGTGATAGATAGATAGATAGATAGATAGATAGATAGATAGATACATACATAGATAGATACATACATAGATAGATACATACATAGATAGATAGATAGAGATTCTATGCAAAGTGAGAAGCCAAGAGAGCATTCCATTGGGCATTTCTGCTCCCATTCAGCAGCAGTGCTTGGTGCTTGAAGTGAGACACTCTTGATATCTATGGATCTATAGATATCAATATATATCATATTTTCTTTATCTATATAGATCTATATCTATCTATCTATATCACATTTTCATATACATACAGACACGCACACCATGGAATACTAATCAGCCATAAAAAGGAACAAAATGATGTCATTTGCAGCAACCTGGATGGAGCTGGAGACAATTATTCTAAGTGAAGTAACTCAGGAATGGAAAACCAAACATCATATGTTCTCACTCACAAGTGGGAGCTCAGCTATGAGGATGCAAAGGCATAAGAATGACACAATGAACTTTGAGGACTCAGAAAAAAGGGTGGGAGGGGAGTGAGGGATAAAAGACCATATATTGGGTACAGTATACACTGCTCAGGGGAAAGGTTCATCAAAATCTCAGGAATCACCACTAAAGAATTTATCCATGTAATTAAACATCTCCTGTTCCCTAAAATTATTGAATTTTTTTTTTGAGAAGGAATGTCGCTCTGTCACCCAGACTGGAGTGCAGTGCATGATCTCAGCTGACTGCAAGCTCCATCTCCCAGGTTCATGCCATTCTGCCACCTCAGCATCCCAAGTAGCTGGGACCACATGTGCCCACAACCATGCCTGGATAATTTATTTATTTATTTATTTTTTAGTAGAGACAGGGTTTCACCATGTTAGCCAGGATGGTCTTGATCTTCTGATCTCATGATCCACCCACCTCAGCCTCACAAAGTGCTGGGATTGCAAGCGTGAGCCACTTGCACCCAGCCTGCAATATTTTTTAAAACCTAAAGTAGATGCTCTTCCAGGAGGGAAATCTGAAAACATGTACTCAGAGGCAAATGGTTGCAGAGGATGGAGACTATAAGACTCCTGAAGTTAATTCCTTCTTCCAAGGACTTACCCTTATTTAAGGAACTTAACTGAATCTCTAAGTTTAAGGGATTTAACCTTAACTTACTAAAATCAGAATTTTTATTCTAATTTAAAGGTGTGTCAGTGCATATGTTCCTTACAGCACTATTCACAGTGGCCAAACTGTGAAATCAACCTCAGTGTCCATCACTGGATGAATGGATAAAGAAAATATGGTACATATACATCATGGAATACTACCCAGCCTTAAAAAAGAATGGAATTCTGTCATTTACGACACAATGGATAAACCTGGAGGTTATTATGCTAAGGAAAATAAGCCTGGCACAGAAACACCAATACCACATGATCTCACTTCTATGTGGAATCTCAAAAAGTTGATCTCATAGAAGGAAAGGGTAGAATGATGCCTGTTAGGAGCTCAGAGAGCAGTGGGGGGCTTGGAGAGATGCTGGTCGAAGGATACAAAATTTCAATTTGACAGAAGAAGTAAGTTCAAAGAATCTATTGTACTTGTGCTGACTGTAGTTAATAAGAATGTGTTTTAGAGTTGAAAATTACTGATAAAATCTACTCAAAGTGTTCTCATCACAAATAGGTAGGTGGATGAGGTAATGTGCATTAGCATAATTGAGCCATTCCAAAAGGCAGGCGTATTTCAAAACATCAAGTTGTACACCAAAAATCTATGCAATGTTTATATGTCAGGGTTTTTTTACCCAAAGGACAATAAAAAAGAAAAAGAAATTTAAAAAGGAAAAAAATTAAAAAGAAAACTGAATTTTAAAATAAGAAAAAATAAATAAAAATAAAATATTAATAATATAAAAAGAATAAATACATGCAATTTATCATTACCCGAAATTTTTAAAACATCAGATTGTGTATGGAATTGGTTCCTTCCCGTGGGTTCTTTGTCTCACTGACTTCAAGAATGAAGCTGCAGACCCTCATGGTGAGTGTTACAGTTCTTAAAGATGGTGTGTCTGGAGTTTGTTCCTTCAGATGTTCAGAAGTGTCTGTAGTTTCTTCCTTCTGGTGGGCTCCTTCCTGGTCCTGCTGACTTCAGAAGTGAAGCCACAGTCCTTTGCAGTGAGTGTTATAGCTCTTAAAGGTGGCATGTCCAGAGTTGTTTGTTCCTCCCAGTGGGTTCATGGTCCCACTGACTTCAGGAATGAAGCTGCAGACCCTCACAGTGTTTCAGCTCACAAAGATAGTGCAGACCCAAAGAGTGAGCAGCAGCAAGATTTACTGTGAAGAGCGAAACAACAAAGCTTCCACAGTGTGGACAGGGACCCAAGCGGGTTGCCACTGCTGGCTCGGGTGGCCAGCTTTTATTCCCTTATTTGCCCCACACACATCCTGCTGATTGGTTCATTTTACAGAGTGCTGATTGGTCCATTTTAGAGAGTTCTGATTGATGAATTTACAATCCTTTAGGAAGACACAGAGTGCTGATTGGTGCATTTTTACAGAGTGCTGATTGGTGCAATGACAATCCTCTAGCTATACAGAAAAGTTTTCCACATCCCCACTCAACCCACAAAGTCCAGCTGGCTTCACCTCTCAATCTCCCCTCTAAACAGGACACCCCAACTTAGGAATTGGGTGATGACCATTCTAGCTACTTCCTGCTGAATAGGGCAAAGATGGGGCCCTGTATTTATAGTGTCCTCCAGAGAGGAACTCGTTAGGTCAGCAAAAGGGCCAGTGGGTTGGTCCAGGGGTTCTCAGTAGAAGTTGTTAGTTGAGCTCATTTGGGGTTCCATTTGTAAAAACAACTGTACCTTGATGGCCTCGATTCTAGAGGAAACAAATTTGACAAGGAGGTTAAAAATACAAGGCCTGAAGGTGAGTAATAGCAAGATGGCTGTCACAGGACCTAGAAAGGGGAGAAGCCATGTCGCCCAACTCCAGAGGTTGGTATAAGAGTTTGAAAGGTGTCTGATTTCAAAAGCCTTTTCCTGTAAACGCTGGGCAGCATCTAGTCTATCCCTGACTGATTAGTGTAAAAACAACACTCTTTCCCTAAGAAGGTGCAAAGTCCCCCTTTCTCAGCAGTGAGGAAGTCTAGGTCTTGGTGGTTTTGCAGAGTCTCTGCTGCTAAAGAGTCTATTTTGGATTGTAAAGTAAGGATAGATTTATTTATTTCTTGCAAACTGTCTGATAAATCCTTTGAGAGTGCATGGTAGTAGGATAATGAAGTAGATAAACTAGCTATTCTAGTTCCTGTAGCAGTAGCCATTCCTAACCCTGTAAGTAGGGATATTAGTTGTATGGCTCTGTGTTGACAGACTTGAGCTTTGAGGGACAGTGATAAGTTCTGATTTCCATAAGATTAGAAGTTAGGATAATACATGTTATACTGTTAACTTTTAGCAAACTTACTTTTGTTGAAAATCTTGTAAGTTTGGGATTTCAATTATTCTTTGCTATTAATAAGACCTTGTTCAGTCCATATTAACTTAGAATTGGTATAGATGGCTCCTTCCTGATTCTGTAAGTACTTTAAGGTTTGGCTGAGTGCAAACAGCTCACACCCTTGAGCAGACCAATTATTAAGCAATTTTCCTAACTCTTACTCTGCAAGAATTTCCTTATCACTTACTGAATACCATTGTGTCTTTTTCCCTTAATCACCTGGGAGGAACCATCTATCATTCTATTGTCCTGTCTTCAAGGGAGTTCCTCCTAGGTCTGGTCGGACCTTTGTATGGTAATTAGTTAAGATTTAGATTCCATTAGGAAACTTTCTGGGTTAAGGATTTTTGATAGGAAGGCTATGGGTTGTCAGTGGCCTCAGTGCTTTTGGGCTACATCCTTGTTTACACTGAAAACAAGGTGGCATTGGAGTGTTATAGGGTTATGGAAAAGACCTTCAATTGTCAATTACAGGTTTTTAATTTACCCTGGCTTTTAGAGGAATAGAGTATACTGTTTTTTCTTTACTACTTCCATTTCTGTTTCTTTCTCTTTTGACTTCTTTTTTGTCTCTCTTTCTGACTCTTTGTCTCTTTCTGACTCTTTGTCTTTCTGACTCTGTCTCTTCCTTTCTCTTTTTGATTTTCTGTCTCTCTGTTTCTTCCTCTGTCTGTCTCCTTCTCTTTGTCTCTCTGTTTCTTCCTCTCTCTCTCTCTGACTTTCTGTCTCTTTCTCTCTCCTTTCTGCTGGTCTTTGCCTGCCTCTGCCAACTGCTTATGCTGCTGTTCTCCCCACTCCTTCCCCTTTTGATGGCTTTGGCAGTATGAAACTGCCACCTCTTTGGGTTTTTGCACTGCATGCAATAACTCCATGATTGCCTTGTGATACTTAATGGGTCTTCCCCCAGAGGTTAGGAACAACTTTTCTTTTCCATATTGCAGCATGGGCATGTAGGATTAGATAAGCATACTTACTATCTGTAGCAAAGTCTCCCAGTTACAGCTGAGGAGGTGGGAGAAATACCTGGTTACAGGCTGTCCCAGGATTCCTTGGATGGTAACGTACTTTGAGGACAGCTTTCTGGGACAAGAAGCTAACATTAAGAAAGCCAAGCCAGTGTCCAGGAGGAAGTCAATTTCCTGGCCCTCCAGGTTTATATGTACCTGGGGCTCAGTGAGGGTGATGACATGAGCTGGCACTTGCCCCAGGCCTCAGTCCTGTTGTTGGATCATCTGTTTGGGGGCTTCTGGCCCAGAGAACCTTTGTCCATGGGGCAGTGCACCTTCTAGTGATTGCCTCAGCATAGTGGACATGGGCAAAGGGGCAGCTTGTTTCTTGTTGGACAATCTTTTTTAAGGTGTCCTTTCAAACCACACAGGTAACAAGCCCTACTGGGTGATTGGCTCCATTTTCTGTCCTCTCTGAACCACCAAGGTTTGTTTGTCTGAGGGCCATGACCAAGCCTGCAGCCTTTCTCTGATCTCATTTTTCCTTTTTGGCCTGTTCCTCTTGGTCCCTATTATAGAACACTGAAGTTTCCAGGTTTAATAATGCCTCTAGATTTTGTTCAGGGACAAAGGCTCACTATTGGAGCTTTCTCCTCATATCTGCAGCTGATTGGGTAATAAACTTATCTTTTAGAATCAGTTGACTCTCGAGTGAGTTGGGTGACAGAGGTGTATATTTTCTTAAGGCCTTCCATAGCTGCTCAAGGAAGGCAGAAGGATTTTCTTCATTTCCCTGAGTTATGGTGGACATCATTGAATAATTCATGGGCTTTTTCCTAATTCTCCTTAGTGCTTGTAGAACACAGGTCAACAGATGTTTGTGATTCCAGTCCTTATGATCTGAGTTGAGGTCCCAGTGGGTATCCATACTGGTGACAGTTTGCTGACCAGTAGGGAATTTGTCACTTTTCCTCAGTTGTCATTCTATCATTTACTTGACTAAGATACTAGGTATCTCCAAACTCTCAGGCTGCAGCTAAAGCCACATTCTTCGTATTAATGGCCACGGTTTGATCTAACAATACCATGACATCTCTCCAAGTGAGAATGAAGTTTTGTAGGACATCTATATACCAATCAGGATCATCTGAAAGCTTCCCCAGGTCTGCCTTGATCTGCTTTAAATCAGAGAGGGAGAAGGGGACATGTATCTAGGTTAGGCCAAATTCCCCTCCCTTCAGCTTGAAGTGGACATATCCAATAGCCTGGGGTTTTTTGTGGTTTTGTGGTCCTTTGGAGATTTGTTTGCTTGTTTTCTTCTGGGCAGGGGAGATTAGAGGAGGCTTATCATCAATAGGAAGGGGTGCTATAGGGAGGCTAGTAGATGAGGATAAGCTGAGAGGTCCTCCTGTGGGAAGTAAATTGCAAGCTTTGCATAGTTGTGGATTCTCTTTCAATGAAAAGAAAGCTGAGACATAAGATATTTCACTCCATTTGCCTTCCCTCTTAAAGAAAAGGTCAAGCTGCAGGATAGTATTGTAATTTATACTTCCCTCAGGGGGCCATTTTTCCCCATCAAGGAGAGAATATTGGGGCCAGGCTGTACTGCAGAAAAAATTGAGCTGCCTCTTTTTCAGGGTTTGCTGGTCAAATTGGTCCCAATGGCTTAGGATGCATTTCAAGGGTGAGCCTGTTGGTGCCTGAGTGTTTTCCATCTGAAAGACAAAACCATCTGTGGTTTTGGTTTGTTTGTTTCTCCCCCTACCCAAGAACCTGGAATGATCCCTCGACCCTGCTGATCAGAATAGTTGCACTCACTGACACAGCAGCAGAAACACCTCTTGTCCAAAAACCCACAATGGTCCCTGGACCCTGCTGATCAGAATAGTTGTGCTCACTGACACAACAGCAGAAACACCTCTTGCCCAAAAACCCATAATGGTCCCTGGACCCTGCTGATTGGAATAGTTGTGCTCACCAATACAGCAGCAGAAACACTACTTTTCCTCCTAGACCACAAGATGGACCAAGGAAGGTCAGATTTAGTGGCTCTTAATGATGCATTCTCAAAAACCTGCACCCTTGTCTGTCCTCTTAGACCACAAAGAGGACCAAGAAAAGTTGGATTTAGTAGCCATTACCAATACATTCTCGAAAACCTGTTAGGGTCCTAAGCATTAAGCATTCTACTGTTAGTATTGGGACTTTACCCCTGTCCTATAATGATGTTATGCCCCAAAAATGAAGTGGAGAGCCATACCCTGAGGGAGGGAAAGGATCTCCAGAGTTGGAAGAGTGATGCCTTTTGTCCTCACTTATATGAATAGGAAAGATACCATTTCTGAAGCTCCCCATACCCTACCTTCAGGAATAGCTTTTGTTAGGCCTGCTAGTCTGAGGAGGGAAAATTCCAGAAAGTCCTCTGCCCCAGTGTGATTTTGGGCTAAAGGTATGTCTTTCTGATTGGTAAGCCTGGGTGCCTAATGAAGTTAACAGAGTCCTGAAGTTTATCTAGAAATCATTCTTATAGGAGAAACTAGAAAAGTACCAGAGACAGGGAATGGTTTTTAGAAGCAGGACTAGACTTGTAGAAGAGAGGCAAGAGGAAGTTTGTCTGACAGGCATTAGGACTCAGGATGCAAGGGTCAGGATAGATGTGCAAGTCTCACTTGGGCGACGTGACTTCAAGAGTTCCGCTCATGGCTGCAGGGTCAACCAATTTGTTGTCAGGACCTCAGAGCTGAATGGTTTTCCTCTCTGTTGACCCTTGGCTCTGCCCAGAAGTATAGGGAAAGTGGAAGCTGGTTCCAGGCAAACCAACGTTCCCAACTCCAAGGGTCCAGGGGTTGTTAAAGAGCCCTTTCCCAGAAAGCCTGACGCCCGTGTCTTTAGTCTGGTGGCCACATTA
Organism: Homo sapiens; assembly: GCF_000001405.40. Taxonomy (NCBI): domain Eukaryota; kingdom Metazoa; phylum Chordata; class Mammalia; order Primates; family Hominidae; genus Homo; species Homo sapiens. Next base: position 12,266,184 of record NC_000024.10, read on the forward strand.
GTCACTTTCAACTGGCCGACAAGTGCCTGGTATTTAGCCCCCGAATTCTAAGAAAAAATAGGACAGAATAACAAGTTAAAATGACCCAATGGTACTCACCACTTGGTGATTGTCCCTTCATGGTTGCCAAAATGTGTCCAGAATTGGTTCCTTCTGGTAGGTTCCTGGTCTCACTGACTTCAAGAATGAAGCTGCAGATGCTCGTGGTGAGTGTTAAAGTTCTTAAAGATGGTGTGTCTGGAGTTTATTCCTTCAGATGTTCAGATGTGTCCATAGTTTCTTCCTTCCGGTGGGTTTGTGGTCTCTCTGACTTCAGGAGTCAAGCCACAGACCTTCTCAGTAAGTGTTACAATTCTCAAACTTGGCGCATCCAGAATTGTTAGTTCCTCCCATAGGTTCGTGGTCTCGCTGACTTCAGGAATGAAGCCACAGTCCCTCATGGCGTTACAGCTCATAAAGGTAGTGTGGACCCAAAGAGTAAGCAGCAGCAAGATTTATTGTGAAGAGTGAAAGAACAAAGCTTCCATAGCGTGGAAGGGGACCCAAGCCTGTTGCCACTGCTGGCTGAGATGGTCAGCTTTTATTCCCTTATTTGGCCCCGCCCACATCCTGCTGATTGGTCCATTTTACAGAGAGCTTATTGGTCCATTTTACAGAGTGCTGATTGGCCCATTTTACAGAGCACTGATTGGTGCATTTACAATCCTTTAGCTAGACATACAGCGCTGATTGGTGCATTTTTACAGAGTGTTGACTGGTGCATTTTTAGAGTGCTGACTGATGTAGTTACAATCCTCTAGCTAGACAGAAAACTTCTCTAAGTCCCTACTCAACCCAGGAAGTCTAGCTGGCTTCACCTGTCAAGATAGCAGTGACTCACATCTATAGTACCAGCTCTTTGGGAGGCTGAGGTAGGATAATCAGTTCATCACCAGCCTGGGCAACACAGTGAGACCTCATCCCTACAAAAAATATAAAAATGAGCTGGGTATGGTGATGCATGCCTGTAGTCCCAGCTACTCTGGAGGCTGAGGTGGGAGGATCGCTTGAGCTTGGGAGCTCAAGGCTGCAGTGAACTGAGATTGTGCCACTGCACTCCAGCCTGGGCTACAGAACAAGACCCTCAAAAGAAAAAAAAACTGTAGGGATAGCAGCTTTGGTTGGAGAAAGGAAAGACAAGCAAAAGGTAATATAATAAGGAATTACCAAGTAAAGGAAAAGTGGAAGCTGAGGAAAGAACTGAATTGAGGAAAAGAAAGAAACATGGAATTTGAGGACCACTGCGTCCAGTTCATAGTTTTGCTCAGTCCTGGCTGAGGTCATATTTTCTTAAGGAAACACATGACACTTTTCTCAGCATATCCCTACTCAGTTATCAGGTAATGAATATTGGACATGGGATTATTGATTCAATCCCTATCTCGTCTCTATACTTATTTCAAAACTCACTTCAAATATCTCCTCTGAGAGGAAAAACACAAACAGGAGTTCATCCCTATTGTCTCTCAGAGTCCTTTGTAAATACTCTGAGACAATGATAGCCACAGATGATTACAATTTTTCTTTTTTTTGAGATGGAGTCTCGCTCTGTCAGCCAGACTGGAGCACAGTCATGCGATCTTGGTTCACTGCCAGCTCTGCCTCCCAGGTTCATGCCATTCTCTTGCCTCGGCCTCCCAAGTAGCTGGGACTACAGGTACCCACCACCATGCCCGGCTAATTTTTTTTGTATTTTTAGTAGAGACAGGGTTTCACCATGTTAGCCAGGATGGTCTCGATCTCCTGACCTCATGATCCACCCGCCTCAGCCTCCCAAAGTGCAGAGATTATAGGCATGAGCCACCGCACCCGGCCTACAATTTTTCAAACATCTCCTTGAAGATTAAGAATGTTTTGCAGGCAAAAGCTACATGCTCAGGACTGTGGGCCAAATCCCCAAAGTTATAGAAATGCTTTTCATCTATGCAAAGTTAGTTGAATTTTTTTGTCACCCCATTTTTACCATATTTTAAAATCATATATATGGCTGGGCACAATGGTGGCTCACACCTGTAATCCCAGCACTTTGGGAGGCAGAGGCAGGAGGATTCCTTGAGCCCAGGAGTTCAAGACCAGCCTGGGCAACATAATGAGAACCTATCTCTACAAAAAATAAAAATACAAAATTAGCTAGGCTGGTGATAAGCACCTGGGGTCCCAGCTACTCTGGAAACTGAGTCTGGAGGATCGCTTTAGCCCGGGAGTTGGAGGTTGCAGTGAGCTATGACTTCAACACTGTCGTCTACCCTGGGTGACAGAGCAAAACCCTGTGAAACCCTGTCTCTAAAATAAATAAAAATAAACATAAACTCATATGTATCTGTTGGAAATTTACAGTTTATATTTATATCAATTACCTCTCTCCTACCTTTTTAAAAAAATTCACACACTTATTAAGCAAAGAGAATGAACTTAGACATCTTATGGCCAGCCATATAAAGACAGCATGTTGACACATAGTAGTTTACATGAAAAAGAACAAAAGGCAGATGATATTAAATGTCTCTACCTGTGAGGCTGGATTCACAAATACAGAGAATTATACATTAAATTCAATGTGCTCAAAATTCCATATATGGCTTTATCTATCTGGGCGTGATTGTGCAGCTCGGAGTACCTTCTTGTTGTCTTTGGCAGAAGACATAGACAGGATTAAAAAGAAAAAAAAAATGTGTCAATTAAATTAGTTTCCAGCATGAAATTCTCACTAGACTTGGGAGCCATATCCCTAATTCCACCTAATTCCAACATTTTAAAATTGATTTTCTGAGGCCACTACTGCACGAATCCTGAACTCTTAATGAGTTCATTATTTTGACCCTTTTTTTGAGATGGAGTCTGCCTCCTGGGTTCAAGTGATTCTCCTGCCTCAGCCTCCTGAGTAGCTGGGACTACAGGCATGCACCACCAAGCTAGGCTAATTTTTGTATTTTAAGTAGAGACAGGGTTTCATCATGTTGGCCAGGCTGGTCTCAAACTCCTGACCTCAAGTGTTCTGCCGGTCTTTTGGCCAATTTTTAAAAGAACTCCTGCTGCCCCAAGCCCTGGGGCTCTTGGATGAATTTTCTCAGTGGCAAAACCTGCCCTGCAACATGCTGGCACAAGAGAATTGTCTCAATGTCCTGCCAAGCCTAAAAGCTTAAACTCAGAAAGCTTCTGTGTCCTGAATAAAGAAAGAGCCAATTAATCAAAATGAGCTGCCTCTTTTTTGACTGCAAAATGCAGAAACCACTGAATGACTAATGGTTGTATTTAATTGGCAGTGGCAGAGGGGTTAGGACTAAGGGATATACAGCCAAATGCATTACAATGAAAGAAAAGCCCATCTGTAGTCTGCAAGTTACTACCCATATTTGTACCTTAAAATAACACTAAGGACAAAATATAAACTCATTCCTCCTTAAACTCATTTTGCTCCAAAGCATGGATACTCTGGTCACATACTACACACACTACACACACACACACACACACACACGTGCGTTCTTTTTTTTTCGCATTTTTTTATTATTATTATACTGTTAAGTTTTAGGGTACATGTGCACAATGTGCAGGTTAGTTACATATGTATACATGTGCCATGCTGGTGTGCTGCACCCATTAACTCGTCATTTAGCATTAGGTATATCTCCTAATGCTATCTCTCCCCCCTCCCCCCACCCCACAACAGTCCCCAGAGTGTGATGTTCCCCTTCCTGCGTCCATGTGTTCTCATTGTTCAATTCCCATCTATAAGAACGTGCGGTGTTTGGTTTTTCGTCCTTGTGATAGTTTACTGAGAATGATGATTTCCAATTTCATCCATGTCCCTACAAAGGACATGAACTCATCATTTTTTATGGCTGCATAGTATTCCATGGTGTATATGTGCCACATTTTCTTAATCCAGTCTATCATTGTTGGACATTTGGGTTGGTTCCAAGTCTTTGCTATTGTGAATAGTGCCACAATAAACATACATGTTCATGTGTCTTTATAGCAGCATGATTTATAGTCCTTTGGGTATATACCCAGTAATGGGATGGCTGGGTCAAATGGTATTTCTAGTTCTAGATACTTGAGGAATGACCACACTGACTTCCACAATGGTTGAACTAATTTACAGTCCCACCGACAGTGTAAAAGTGTTCCTATTTCTCCACATCCTCTCCAGCACCTGTTGTTTCCTGACTTTTTAATGATCTCCATTCTAACTGGTGTGAGACGGTATCTCATTGTGGTTTTGATTTGCATTTCTCTGATGGCCAGTGATGATGAGCATTTTTTCATGTGTCTTTTGGCTGAATAAATGTCTTCTTTTGAGAGGTGTCTGTTCATATCCTTTGCCCACTTTTTGATGGGGTTGTTTGTTTTTTTCTTGTAAATTTGTTTGAGTTCATTGTAGATTCTAGATATTAGCCCTTTGTCAGATGAGTAGGTTGTGAAAATTTTATCTCATTTTGTAGGTTGCCTGTTCACTCTGATGGTAGTTTCTTTTGCTGTGCAGAAGCTCTTTAGTTTAATTAGATCCCATTTGTCAATTTTGGCTTTTGTTGCCATTGCTTTTGGTGTTTTAGACATAAAGTCCTTGCCCATGCTTATGTCCTGAGTGGTAATGCCTAGGTTTTCTTCTAGGGTTTTTATGGTTTTAGGTCTAACGTTTAAGTCTTTAATCCATCCTGAATTAATTTTTGTATAAGTTGTAAGGAAGGGATCCAGTTTCAGCTTTCTACATATGGCTAGCCAGTTTTCCTAGCACCATTTAACACATACGTTCTTGGTTAAGAAAGAAAAAGGAAGAAAGGGAGGGAGAGAAGAAAGAAGAAAGGGTATGAGAGTAACAGAGAGAAAACTTACCTACACTAAAATTGATTTAGAATCAATTTCTCAATGCCTAAGCTGATCCATTGAGTTTCAGAATACAATAGGTCAAAGGATCTTTCAACTCTGCCCATTTCAACTAGAGGTTAAAAAAAAAAAAAAAGACTAAGAAAATGTGTCCAAACAAGCCTTCCCCAACTCACCTATCAGTTGTATTTTCTCTCTAATGTCTATGAACAGAACAGACAGGCTGTTCTGAAAAGGCTTTGCCTCTTCTGGCAGCTGCCTTGAATCATTACGAAAGCATTAGCCACTCCATCTCACCTCCCTCTTCTATGGGAGGGCTGGTCCATGCTAGGCTTACCCAGATTGTTCATCTTGATAATGTGCAAATGAGGCAATCTGCGCCCCGCATTTGCAATTCCTACTATGCATCCAGGAAAAGAAAAAAAAAAAAAAAACAGCACACCAACAACAAAACATTACATTCAGCGAAACACCTACAGCTTTTCTTGCTGATGCTGAATGTTCTTATCTGTGACAACCACCAAAGCCATTCATCACACCAGGATCAAGACTGGCTGTTTTGAGCCAGAGCAATCCCGTTTGATGTCCCTTGCGTTGCGGTGACCTCATGGTCTATAGCAGTGCCTCAGGGACATCTGTGCTTCCAATTAAAGGTGTGGGTGGGGTGGACAGAAATGGAAGGTCTTCCCTGTCGTTATATCTTAATAATATTCAACAAGACAAAGTGTGGGCAATAATTTGGAAGATGGTAGGTATACTGTTCATCAACACCCTGCCCCAAATGGATGGCTATTATATTAAACAGCACAGATGGAAAGCCAGATAGTAACTCTCCCAGCATTTTAAATAAAGATTTGAAAATATCAGAGGGCATACATAACTGTCTCCCAACAAAACACCATTTTGTGAGATGGAACACTCCATTAAACATGCTATTATATGATTCCGTAAACTCTAGAAACCAGATTTCTTTTTTTTTTTCTTTTTTTTTTTTTTTTTGAGACCGAGTCTCTCTCTCTCTCTGTTACCCAGGCTGGAGTGCAATGATGGTGATCATAGCTCACTGCAGCCTCAACTTCCCAGGCTCAACAATACTCCTGCCTCAGCCTCCTGAATAGCTGGGACTACAGGCACCCGCCAGTCCATGGATAATTTTTGTAAAATACAAAATCTTTGTATTTTACATAATTTTTGTATTTTTACATAATCTTTTACTATGTTGCCCAAGCTGGTCCCAAACTCCTGGGCTCAAGCAATCCTCCCAACTTGGCCTCCCAAAGTGCTGGGATTACAGGCATGAGCCACTGTGCCCAGCCTGGAAACCAGATCTTGCATCAGACCAGAGATGCAGATTTCTTCAGGTAAAAGTACTTGGAGAGGAATTCTGAACTGGAATTGTCTAAAAACACCAAAAGAATATATGTTAAGGAGATGTGAACTTATTCCCTAGAATGAAAATTTACATACAAAGGGCACATGCATTTTTTTGAGATAGAGTTTCACTGTGTTTCCCAGGCTGGAGTGCAGTGGCCCTATCTCAGCTCACTAAGATCTCTGCCTCCTGGTCTTAAATGATTCTCCTGCCTCAGCCTCCCAAGTACCTGGGATTACAGGCACCCACCACCATGCCTGGCTAATTTTTGTATTTTTAGTAGAGACGGGGTTTCACCATGTCGGTCAGGCTGGTCTCAAACTCCTGATTTCAGCTGATCCACCTGCCCTGGCCTCCCAAAGTGCTATGTTTACAAGCATGAGCCACCACGCGTGGCCACATTTTCAACCCAAGCAATAAAATACAAAGAATAAAAGTGTCTGTAATTCAGATTTCCATGGCAGCTCCATGACCATTGGTTTGCAGTCTCATTGGTGAATTAGTTAAGTGACTCTGCTTTCCACAGATTCCTCTCCTCCCAGCTTCCAGGACTCTCTTGATTCATTCTGTTTCTCCATGGAATGAGTATTCACTCTGAGGACTTCTTTCAGAATCCCTACTTATAATCACAAAAAGGTTTTCCACCTTCGTGCAACTGCTCATGGTAAAACCTTGGTTTCTAAAGAATTTACTAATCTCTTTTTTTCTTTTTCTTTTAGATACAAGGTCTCATTCTGTCACCTAAGCTGGAGTGCAGTGGTGTAGTAATAGCTTGCTGCAGCTTTAGCCTCCTAAGCTTGAAAGATCCTCCGTCTCAGCCTCTGGAGTAGCTGGAACTACAGGCATGCACCACTGCACGTGAGTAATTTTTTTATTTTCTATTTTTTTGTAGAGATGAGGTCTATGATGCCCAGGCTGGTTTTGAACTCCTTGCCTCAAAGAATCCTCCTGCCTTGGCTTCACAAAGTGCTGTGATTATAAGTGTGAGCCATCATGCCCAGTCTAGATTTACTGATATTGATATGTTCTGACTTTTCTGAGTCCATTTTATGTTGACAAAAGCAAGAAGTAGCATGCCTGTGGTCCCAGCTACTGAGGAGACTGAGGCAGGGGATCGCTTGGGCCCAGAAGTTCTGGGCTATGGTGCACCATGTTGATCGGATGTCTGCACTAAGTTCAGCGACTCCCAGGAGGAGAAGACTACCAGGCTGCCTAAGGCCAGGTGAACCACCCTAAGTCACAAAGGCAGCAGGTCAAAACTCCCGTGCTGATCAGTGGTGGAATCACATGTCTGAATAGCCACTGTACCCCACCCTGGGCAACACAGCAAGACCCTATCTCCTAAAAAAAAAAAAAAAAGAAAAAAAAGAAAAGAAAAAAGAAACAGTAGCATAGCCACACTTAGCTAAATTCTAAACTTTGGTTCCTGCTATCTAATCAGTCATGTCTATTTAATGCAATAATGCCAATGCACACAACTGTCATAAGGGCAGGAAAAGAAAACAGTAGAACACACATTGAAAAGGAACAAACCTTTGACCAAACCAGGTGTTGTTTCTTGAGCAGTGTAAAGGCAGCCCTATTAAAGGTCATGATTTGCAATGTTCTGGCGTCCATTGAGTTGTTGTCGGGGTAGGGTGCTTGTGTCTGAATTCACCCAAATTGTTCAGAAATGGCACTTGCCTGCCATCTCTGAAAGACATAGATGAATCTTAATACAGTCCTTGTACATAGCTTTTCTATGTTGTTTTTTTTTTCCAGTAGGACAAGAAATACATGAAAGACTTCATTGTCGTGCTGGTTATAGTGACCCAGTGAGGATAAAGCTCCCCTAAGGAAAATGATAGCAGGTCTATTTTATCAAAGTTTGCATTTATTTCAAAGGTTAGCATCTGGCCAGGAAATATAATGTTCCCTCTTCTAGGAAATAAAGTGAAATTGTAATAAATGCAATGTTTATCATCCACACGCCTACATTCCTGAAATTCTTGGAGTTCACTTTTCTCATGGGTGAAATCAAGATTGGCGTGTTATCTGTGCATAGCCTTTGATGTAAAGATGATGATACTCCCTAGCCACATTCCCTAGACGATTTCAGCTGCCTCCTAATAAGACGTTCTGACTGTTACTCTTCAGAATTATGGGATGAAGAGGGCTCCATAAACCATCTCACTCAAATAGAATCAGAACCACTCACTCTTCCAGGAGCTGAAGGGAGATTTTAAGCAGATCACAGATGACCAAGTGTCCTAGTAATGTCAGAGTTTCTGGGGAAAAAAAAAACGCTAATAAAGAACAAAAGTGCTCCCTGCATTTGTGATGCAGGAGATAATTCTTGCTGAAGTGAAGCAAAACAGACAAATTTTTTTTGCTTCTCATTAATATAAATTTTGCTTAACAATATTCAGCTCCATAGAGGATATGACACATGTCATTTTGCAATAAGCAACTTGCTGAGGTGTTTTTATGAAAAAATATCCAGGGATCTATCAAATGATGGGCAACTGACTCTTTTACCCCAAAGCCAAAGTTCGTTTGTTCATGGAATATTTATAAAATCCCAGCTGAGCATCTGACTTCCAGGGTAGACTTTGGAGTCACAATGAATGGAATCAGAATAGCTCCTCTCTCAGCAGAGAGGATCAGTGTCAGTCGTGGCTATTAAAAAGTTCAATAAAGTGTCACAGACAACAAGCTTAATGTATCCTGGGTTGAAACAGACACAGGTTAGAAAGTGAAAGGAATTCTACCTAGGGTGATCGGAAGAGAATCATAGAAAAAGATCAATGTTCTCCCGTTTTCTAATAAAGCAGTCGGCCTGTCTACAAGAAAATTGAGTGAAGCAGATTTTGTTTAAGATTGAGATAAAGTCAGCACTGCCTCCATCTGTTTCAGGTTGGGTGGAGAGGGTCATTCTCTTCAACAAGATGTTGTTTTGATACGATCCAATATGTTCAATTATTTTAAATGTCTAGACTAGACATTGAAATTAAGAATGATGCTTCCTCCGAGAGTGGTGGTTCATGCCTGGAATCCCACCACTTTGGGAGTTGAGGCAAGCAGATGGCTTGAGCCCAGGAGTTTGAGACCAGCCTGGCCAACAAGGCAAAACCCTGTCTCTACTAAAAATACAAAAATTAGCTGGGTGCGGTGGCACATGACTGTAATGCCAATTATTCAGGAGGCTGAGACAGGAGAATCACTTGAACTCAGGAGATGGAGTTTGCAGTGAGCCAAGATCGCACCACTGTGCTCCAGCCTGGGCAACAGAGGGAAACTTCATTTCCAAAACAAAAAAAAAAAAACCACACAAAACAAAAAAAAAGGAATGATGGTGCGACCCAGCACAGTGGCTCACACCTGTAATCCCAATATCTTGGGAGGTTGAGGCAGGCAGATTGATTGAGCCTGGGAGTTTGAGACCAGCCTGGGCAACATAGAAAGACCCTGTCTCTACAAAAAATATTATACAAAAATTAGCCAGGCATGGTGGCACACACCTGTGGTCCCAGTTACTCAGGAGGCTGAGGTGGGAGGATCACTTTAGCTCAGGGGTTTGAGGCTGCAATGAGCTGTAATTCCGCTACTGTTCTACAGCCTGGTCAATAGAGCAAGACCCCATCTCAAAAAAAATTTGTTTAATTAAAAATTTAGTCAAAAAGAATGATGCTGCATTTTTTTTCAAACCTTAAATCCAAGTAGTTTATTAGGGAGGTAATTGAGGCAGCATTGATCAGGGAAAGAGGAAGAGAGACAGGGAAAGGCAGGAAGCCAGTAGAGATTGTACTTATGAAGCAGCTTGCCACTGGGCTATTGAAGCTGAGTCTTGTGCAGAAACACTGAGATTCAGCGAGAGACCCTCAGAATTATCCAACCCAGGGACGATGAAGATGAGATATTTATCCTAGGATTCCTTTTCATCCTTCTGTCCCAGCACCTTTATTTGGTCTTCCATGCAGAGGCTGACAGCAGAGTCAATAGGACAATTTTGCCATGTGCTATGATGGCTAGGACTATGGGGCCATAAGCTGCATGTAGACAGCATTCACCATATATACATATTTCTGTGTTAACTTGGAGGTTTCCTTGATCATTCTTTACACTTCCTGACTGGTTAACTTGAAGAAGAGGGATGAGGGGAAGCAGAAACCAGGCAATCTTGCTCAGCAATAGTTTGAAATAGGCATAGTTCACTCCCAAAAGTAGGAACTGGGGCAAAGATTGGATTTTTTTTTTCTTTTTTTGAGACAGAGTTTTGCTCTTGTTGCCCAGGCTGGAGGACAATGGTGTGATCTTGGGTCACTGCAACCTGCGCCTCCTGGGTTCAAATCATTCTCCTGCCTCAGCCTCCCAAGTAGCTGGGATTACAGGCATGCACCACCATGCCTGGCTGATTTTGTATTTTTAGTAGAGATGCGGTTTTTTTCTCCATGTTGGTCATGCTGGTCTCAAACTCTCGACCTCAGGTGATCTGCCTGCCTCGGCCTCCCAAAGTGCTGAGATTACAGGCATGAGCCACCATGCCCAGCCAAACATTGGATTTTAAGTGCAGTTTTGGCTGGGTGCAATGGCTCACGCCTGTAATCCCAGCATTTTAGGAGGCCAAAGTGGGTAGATCACTTGAGGTAAAGAGTTCAAGACCAGCCCGACCAACTTGGTGAAAGCCCATCTCTACTAAATACAAAAAAATTAGCTGGGCTTAGTGGTGCATGCCTGTAATCCCAGCTACTCAGGAGGCTGAGGCAGGAGAATCTCTTGAACCCAAGAGGCAGAGATTGCAGTGACCCAACATTGTGCCATTGCACTCCAACCTAGGCAACAACAGCAAAACTCTGTCTTAAAAAAAAAGAGCAGTTTCATGCATTGATCCTAAAGGTTGGATTTATTGCCAGCTTATCTAAACTTTCATGAATGCTTAGCGATTTGAATTCCATAGAGAAAAGCAGACAGCGCTAAAAGACTTCATGGGTTTTAAGAGGACACTTAGTCAGGCGCGGGGGCTCACACCTCTCATCCTAGTACTGTGGGAGGTCAAGGCAAGAGGATGGTTTGAGACAAGGAGTTTGAAACCAGTCTGGACCACATAGTGAGACCCTCCCCCATTTCAAGTAATGATAATAATAATAACAATTAATAATAATAATAGAGGGGGCTGATTGTAGGCTGCAAATTTTTTAATAAAGAAAATGGTCATTGTGGAGCCACCTTCCTGAGGAAAGGCATTTGTAAGAAGCTTGTGAGGAGACCCCCTAAGAACCAGGGGTGATGTCCCTTCAGGAAGAAAAGAACAGATCATCAATGCTGGGACCTTGGAGGTAGTAATAGAGAATTTGGATTTTATCTGACAGTGAAGGAGAGCTGCCCCATGATTTATAACCAAGGTCCATCCACTCTGGCTTGTGTTTCAATATCAATATACTTGACCAAGTACAGCATACACTATAAAGTGAGTGTGCAGCTGGGACCAGGAACAGGCATTCTTCCTTGAGAAACTACAGTGTGTCTCTGAAAAAATGTCCAGTACATAGGCTGGGTGCAGCAGCTCATGCTTATAATCCCAGCACTTTGGGAGACTGAAGTGGGTGGATCACTTAAGTCCAGGAGTTCGAGATGAGCCTAGCCAACATGGTGAAACCCCCATCTCTACAAAAATAACCTGGACATGGTGGCATGCACCTTTGGTCCCAGCTACTTGGAAGGCAGAGGAAGGAGAATCAATTGAACACGGGAGTTGGAGGCTGCAGTGAGCAGAGAAGGTGCCACTGCCTGGGTGACAGAATGAGACTTCATCTCCAAAAAAAAAAAAAAATTCAACAAGGTTGGCAATGCTGAGAAAGACTCCCTGCCAAACAGGGAGGACTGGAAGGGGCTCTGCAGGACATCATTGAGTCTCTAATACTTTCCTACAGGGGTATTTGATGCCTTCCAAAAGTACGAGATACCCCATGGAAAGGCTAAATCTCAAAGGAGCAACCAAGTCAGGCCATGAGTAGGGACCCTTCTGTAACCAAGTTATGGCTTTCACACCAAAAAGCTGGGGCAAGGCAGTCTACCACAAAAGCAAAATTCTCCAACCAACTCTCTCCCTTGTTTCTGGCTGCAACTCTGATCCTGGCTTCTAGACCCAGATAGGGTAGAAACCACCTTCTGTCTCCTCTGTTTCCTGCCCACTTTCTTTAAATTTATTTATTTATGTATTTATGTATGTATGTATTTATTTTCAGACAGGGTCTTGCTTGGTTGCCCAGTGTGGAGTGCAGTGGTGCTATCAAAACTCACTTCAACCTTGAATTCCTGGACTGCAGCAATCCTCCCACCTCAGCCTCCCAAGGAACTGGGACGCACCACCATGCCTGATGAATATTTTAATGTTTTGTAGATATGAAGTCTTTCTATGTTGGCAAGGCTGGTCTTGAACTCCTGGCCTCCAGTGATCATCCCACCTTGGACTTCTTAAAGCTGGGATTACAAGCAGAGTCACTACACCTGGCCTCCTGTGCACTTTCTAGGTTTCTAGAAAGTAGGAGACCTTAAGAAGTCATGATTAAAGAATACAACCCCCTCAGAGTTGATTTTGGCACTCCAACATTACCAAAGAGATAATCCTATAACATACAATCTAGAATTCCACTAAAATGGGGCCATGAGACTTAGCAAATAAAATTTCAGGGTGCCCAGGGAAATTCAAATTCCCATTAAGCAAGGAACAATTTTTTAGTACAAGTACATTCTAGACATTGCCTGAGGTACTTATACTGAAAAAACAAAAGTTCATTGTTTATCTGAAATTCAAATCCAATTAGGAGTCCTTTAACATGTCTGGCAACCATACACAAGGATGAAATATGGGTAAGATCAGTAAGACCAGTCCTTGTAATTCACTTGAAATTAGATAATATAGAATTGGTTAATGTAGTAGCTGACCTTATCGGGTGGAAGAAAACAAGATCGGACTATGAATAATAGCCAAAAAAAGGCCAGGTTTCATGGCACATGCCTGTAATCCTAGCACTTTGGAAAGCCAAGGCAGGCAGATCACCTGAGGCCAGGAGTTCAAGACGAACCTGGCTAACATGGTGAAACTGCTTCTCTACTAAAATTATAAAAATTAGCTGGGCACGGTGGCTCAAACCGGTAATCCCAAGTACTAGAGGGGCTGAAGCAGGACAGTCACTTGAGCCCAGGAGGTCAAGGATGCAGTGAGCTGAGATCGCACCACTGCACTCCAGCCTGGGCAGTGTGACTGTGAGACTGTGTCAAAAAAGAAAAAAGAGAATAGACCCAATGACTACAGATACTTGAAAATACAGGTTGACTGCAAATTTAATGAAAATATATTTTGTCTTTAGACTGTGAACTCATTTTCTATTGCTACAGGAAACAATGACCCCAAACTTAGGAAATTAACACAACACAGCATTATCTCATAGTTTCTGTGGGCCAAGAGTCTGGGGACAGCCATGTTTTCTGTTTCGGTTTCAGGGGGCTGGAGCCAGAGTGTTAGCAAGGTGTGCTCCTTACTGAAAGCTCTGAGGATGTGTCTACGTACAAGCATATTTAAATGGTAGAGAGGATTCAGTTGCTTATGGTTGTAGGACTGATGTCTCTGTTTCCTTACTGGCTGTGAGCTACAGTTTCTCTTAGCTGTGCTGAGATTCGATCAGACTGGTGGGAAAAACATTAGTTATCATAGCCACAAAACCCTTTTGGATGGCCTGAGAGTTTTCACATGACTTCGGTGAAAGTGGCCTGGTCCCATTACTTTACTTAAATAGATTAAAGTAGTAAACACCAGGGATGTGGGGAAGCTATCTAGCTAGCTTGTTTACTCATGATCTTAAAATTAACCTTTGATGTACCCTGGGTGCTTAAGTGCTTTTTACTTTGGAAGTCCACAATGTCAATTACCCTCTAATGGTATTGACTCAAGCTTTTGTTAATTAATCTTACTGAATAAATGTTAGTCTGACTACCTGTTCAATGCTGGAACTGCAACTGTTTACCAGACTCAGCAGGGAGTCTGTAAGTGGCTAGGACCCTCAGCCGGACTGGCAGAATAGAATATCTGTGTGTCAGTGCACGTTTATTCATCTGCCGCTGAATCAGGGGTCTGCAGGAACAGATCCCTCGCAGCCAGTGAGCCCACAAAAGGAGTGCTGCCTCAGGGTCCTAGAAGCTATCCACATTTTCATGCTTTTTTATGGTGCATTGACTCCCTCTCATATTCTAAATCTATCTGAATTCCTCTTCAAGCAATGTGAGGTAAAGGACTGTCACCCCCAAATTCCCTACACTGTCCCCTATGGTTGGTGTGCAGCACCAATCACACAATGACAGTGGCAGATTGCAGCAATGATCGCCCGATAATTTACCCCTTTTTCCATCCACATCTTGGCCACAGGGCTCTTCTACAGGGTCCTCTTGCCCCAAGCTTAGGCACATGATTTGGCTCACCATTGGGTTATTAGAAAATGGGATAAGCAAAGCCTCATGACACATGTATGGGGGAAACTGAAATGCATATGGCTCGTGAAAGAAGCCAGTCCCAAAAGTCTACATACTGTGGGCTTCCAACTCGAGGAAATTCTGAAAATGGCAAAAGTATGGAGACAGTAAAAAAGATCAGGGGTTAGTCTGGCACAGTCGCTCATGCCTATAATCCCAGCACTTTGGGAGGCTGAGGTGGGTGGATCACTTGAGGCCAGGAGCCAAGACCAGCCTGGCCAAGATGGTGAAACCCTGTCTCGTCTAAAAATACAAAAATTAGCTAGGTGTGGTGGTGCATACTGTAATCCCAGCTACTCGGGGATGGTGAGGCACAAGAATCTCTTGAGCCTGGGAGGCAGAGGTTGCAGTGAGCTGAGATCCCACCACTGCAGTCTGGCCTGGGTGACAGAGTGAGACCCTGTTTCAAAAAAAAGATCAGGGGTTGGAGAAAGGAAAGCATGAACAGGTGAAGCACAGAGAATTTTTAGGGCAGTGAAACTGCTCTGTGTAATACTACAATGGTGGATTCATGTCACCATACATTTGCCCAAATCCATAAAATGAAAAACACCAAGAGTGAACCCAATGTAAACTATGGACTCTGGGTGATGGCAACATGTCAACGTGGGTTTATCAATTTCAACAAATACACCACTGTAGGGGGGATGTGGATACTGGGGGAGGCTGTGCAGGTATGGGGGCTGTGGGTGTAAGGTCAGCTGAGAGAAAGGATGAGGAGACCCAAACTCAGGCAAGCAAGCTTTATTGAGTCATTAGAGGAGGCAGCCTGGCTTACAGACTATAGCAGGATTTTATAGGGCCAGAACCAGGTCGGGGTGGGGGAGCTGAGTCGGGGGTGCAGAACAACTGGGTCGGGGTCGGGGAGCTGGGTCAAGGGTACAGGTGTCTTGACTGCACCCTGCAGAAGTTTTTTGCCAGCTGTGTTATGCGAGGTTAACAAACATGTTAACCACAACCTGTAACCGTCTGGACAAACAGTTACTGGAGGGGTCACTGAAGGAGGGGTTTGTCTTTTGCCCTGGGGGAGTTGTGTGGAGAGCGCAAGAGACTGTATTGTAAGGCCTGTGGGAGGGGAAGGGAACAGTCTGGTTGGGGTGACCTTGACATTTTAGCCTTTTAATAGATAATAGGAAAAGAGGCACCATTTTTCATCTGGCTACTTTGAGCTGAGAGGGGGCAGTAGTTAGGGAAAAGGCTGGAAGGTAGAGGTTGGTCCTGGTACTGTTTTGAAATTGGTGCTATTCTTGTAGTAGCATCACATCTTGTATGGTTTCGTGGGTAAAAGTTGGGACGCGGTTCTGTAAAAACTGAGTAAAGAGACATAAGAGGCAGGGCGCAAAAAGTAGGAAAAGGAGAACGGTTATGATGGGTCCTACGAGTGGGAGTAACCAGGAGGCCTAAGAGCTGAGAGACCAAGGGGGCCAAGAGGGCCAGGCAGAGGAGCTGGTTGGTTTTTTTTGGTTTGTTTTTCGTTTTTTGTTTTTGGACAGGGTGGGGGAGCTTGGTCTTTTAGTTTTTGACTGCATCCTGAACCAGGCCTGACAAATTGAAACAGAAGCAACATTCCTCATCTACGAAGATGTGGAGACCTCCTTTTTCTGCAGTAAGTAAATTAAGGCCTTTGCGGTTTTGTAGGGTAACTGCTGCTAGGGAGTCTAGTTGGTTTTAGAGGTGGGTAATAGAGTCTGCAATTTTTTTTTTCTTTCAGGAAAGCTGGTAAGTCTGTAGAGAGTGCCGGGAAATATGATAATGAGGTTCCTCTTAACTGGTGTGTAGGAATAGATGGAGAGCAGAGGGCCCCTTGGGAGGAACTGACTGAGCATAAATGATAGTTTGAGGTTATGTTTTTTAGTAAGATAAAAAGGTGGGGGAAGAGAAATATGGGTGAAGGAGAAGGTACAGGGGGTGCACACCAACATGGAAAGATTGGTGAAGGGATGATAGAATTTTTTGTTTGTTTGTTTGTTTCTTTGTTTGTTTGGTGGAGGATGAGTTTTTCATTTTTGATTATCTAGTTCCTTTGGAAGGAGGTTCCTTGTTGTAGTAGTGATGCTTTCTTTTTAGTGGGGGAATATTGGGTTTGGATTGTAGGGGTTATGAGGAGGAGAGAGACAGGGGCAGAAGAAAGGGAGACTTTTTTGGCTTCCTTATTGGCTTTCATGTTTCTTCCTGAGATTTTATCTGATCCTGTTTGATGTCCTTGACAGTGTATAACCCTTGCTTTGGTTGGAAGGTGTGCAGCCTGAAGGAGTTGGTAAATAAGGGGGCCATTAGTAATGGGGGTTCCTTTGGTAGTCAGGAATACTGTCTTTTGCCAGATGGCAGTGTGGGAATGAAGGATGTGATATGCATATTTGGAGTTTGTATAAATGTTGACTTGTTTGCCTTTGGAAAGGGTTAAGGCTCAGGTGAGAGTTATAAGTTCTGATTTTTGGGAGGAGGTTCTGGAGATAGGCGTCAGGCTTTAATTACTTAGTCAAAAGAAGCAAGTGCATATCCAGCAATTTTGGGGGAGCCACTGGGCCTGAAAGAGGAGCCATCTATGAATAGCTGGTTATTGGGGTTGGTGAAAGGCTTGGAGGAAATGTTTGCGAAGTATAGTTGCAGGTGGTCTAAGATGCCAATGCAAGAATGACTAGGAAGGGAAAAGGATACGAGGAGTAAGGATGCTGGGTTGAGAGGAGCACTTTTGGCAAGGCAGAATTTGGGATTTTTGCTAAAGAAGTCATGGAGTAATTGAA